>NC_000002.12:112944163-113247193 GCF_000001405.40 Homo sapiens
GTACCTGATTTTCTTTATCCATTTATCTGTTGATGGACATTTAACTTGTTTCTGTATCTTGGCTATGGTGAATAACGCTGCAACGAACATAGGAGTGCAAGTATCTTATTGAGATACTGATAGTATTTGAATGTATTCCTTGAAGTGGAATTGCTGGGTCATATGGTAATTCTATTTTTAATTTTGTTAGGGAATCTCCATACTGTTCTCCATAATGGCTGTACTAATTTACATTCCTATGAATAATGTACAAGGGTTTCCTTTCCTCCACACCTGGCCAACACTTATCTCATTTTTTAATAATAGCCATTCTAACAGGTGTGAGATGATATCTTGTTTTGATTTGTGTATTTCTCTGATGATTAGTTATGTTAAGCAGCTTTTCATACATCTCTTGGCCATTTGTATGTCTTCTTTTGAGGAATACCTATTCAGGTACTTTGCCCATTTTAAAAAAAAGTCAGGTTATTTGGCTTTTGTTACTGAGTTGTGTGAATTACTTATATATTTTGGATATTAACCCTTTGTCAGATGTCAATATTTTCTCTCATTCCATACGTCATGTCTTTACTCTGTTGATTGTTTATGCTGTGCAGAAACTTTTTAGTTTGATATACTCTCACTTGTTTTTGCTTTCATTGCCTGTACTTTTGATGTTATATCTGAAAAATTACTGCTAATGCCAGTGTCAAGGAGCTCTTTCCCTATGTTTTCTTCTAGGAGTTTTATGGTTTTAGATCTTACATGTAAGTCTTTTTCTATTTTGAATTAATTTTAGATTTTGTGTAATACAAGGGTCTAATTTCTTTCTTTTGCATGTGGATATCTAGTTTTCCCAACACCACTTATTGAAGAGACTTTCCCCATTGTGTATTCTTGGTACTCTTGTCAAAGATTAGTTGACTATACATGCACGGGTTTATTTCTGGGCTCTCTATTCTGTCACATTGACCAATGTGTCTATTTTTTTCCCAATGCCATACTGTTTTGATTACCACAGCTTTGTAATATAGCTTGAAATCAGGGCATGTACTAGGTCTTTGAAATCTGCTGTGTGTTTTATTCTCAGAGCACATCTCAGTTTGGACCAGTCTCATTTAAAGTGCTTGATACTCACCTGTGGCTAATGGCTGCAATGTTGGGAAGCACAGTGTTAGACTTTTGCAGAGACTGCAGACAGACAATTTTCTGTTTTTTTTTTTCCACCTTAGTTAGAGAGACAAATGAAAATATAAACTCACACAGTCCTTGCATTACCACTACAGTCCTAAAACTGGCCCAGGGCAGACACTTGGATGTTGTCATTTCTTTCCTCAGCTCTGCGAACCCAGCAAAGAAAAGCTTTCAGTCTTCAATTGTCCCCATTCCTCACCTAGTGGCTTGTATTTTCACAGCCAGAGTGGAGGGGCTGGGGGAGACAGATAAGACAGCAGCTTGGCCAGCTCTTGGAAGATGGAATATGCCAGTGGAAAATGGTCAGACTGTTTATATAAAATAACTCTGATCCACAATCTGCAGAAATCAGCTCAGGAAACCCACTTATTATCCACAATAGCCAACCCAGGAAGCCTATTACCAGAAAGTCAGACTTGCAGGAAGTGAAGACCACTATTTCTAGCAAACAATCCAGGGAGCCAGTCACTCCTGTAACAGTCAGTCAAAAATGGCCAACACTTGATTAATAACTGACAACTGCCCTAAATTTTTTGTTCCCTCTTCCAATGTAGGACCAACCAGAGAAAGCCAAACATGCTCCTAATCAATCACACAGGAGTCCCCATTTCTAGTTAGCCACCTGCAACTCACCCACATCTACAGCTGCCACTCAGGGCATACATGAAGACTTCCCTTCTTTCTGCTATGAGGCTTTCTCCCCTGCTTACTTCTGAGTCTCTGCCAAGCAAGTGATGGTTGCCGACTCCCTTGTCAGAGCAAGCTCTGGATAAATAGTCTTTGTTTGTTCTCATTTGGGTGGTCTTTGTTTATTTCCACACCCAGCAGAGGTTAGAGTTGAAACCTTTACCCAACTTTAGGCATCCATCCATCTCTACAACACAGGCCTCACCCCTCCCCCAGCCAACAGCCTGATGTTTTTCAGCAGGTGGGTTCCCCTTCCCTTGTCAACCCCACCTGTCGTCTCAGCCTCCCAGAAGACTCACAGTCAACTTGAGACCATTTGTTTTTGGACTTCACTTTCCCTAGTCATATTCATCTCCTGGGTTGGAGCCATAATTACCCTAAACACGGGCTAAGCTGGAGCTGCTCCATGCCTCAGACTGCCATTTCATTGCATGGCATGGCCTTCATCAAATGATTCCATCTGACATTTTAAAGAGAAAATTGAAGCCAGCAGGTGAGCACAGCCTCACATTTACCACCAAACCTTCTTCCTGAACCATCTTGGCATCTGTCCCTCCTCCCTCCCTCTTGCTACACTGGGGGAGGTCCTTCTTCTGTTCACAGACGGCTTCTGCTCTGGATTCTGAGTCCCAATCCTCTCAGCCTTCCCAGGACCTTTACACCATGTTCTTCTCTTCTGAATATTGGGTGCTCCTGTCTGAACTGGATCCTTCCTGTAGAAATTTAAAGCTCAATGCTTCTCATAGTTAAAAACAACACAACAACAGTATCTCTTTACCTATGTTCTTACCTGAGCTGTAGTCCTGGCTCCCCACCCCTTTCAACCCAGGTGTGAAGAGTGGTTTCTGCTGTCTTAGTTCCTTGTTGCTGCTCACTACTGGCCTGCCCTGTGCCCTCCTTTTCACTTGCTCAGCCTTGGTGAGGGGAACCAGCTGAGGGAGAAGAAAAGGAAAAATCTGATAGGTAGACAGTTAAGGCTAGTCTTCAGAGAAGCAGCCTGCCTGAAAAATCATAGCTACAGGCAAAAATAGAGCAGCCTGGGGAAAACTCAGGCTGCACCTGAATAGATAAGCGGCACAGAAGCCTCTTGTTCTTTGTACGATCAGTGAGCTCCCAGAGAAAGCTTCCTCCACTTCTCAGATATGCACATGGTGGGCTCCATGGGAGCTTACACAGGGAGGGGATGGGGGCTTGCCTAAAACAAACCCACAGTTATACAAACAAGAGAAGCTACACTTTATGCTTACCTGGAGACATCCCACAGCTGCATAGATAAGGGAGAGTTATACAGACAGTTTTATAGGTAAGAGAAGTTACTCAAACAGCTGCAGATATGAGAAGAGTTTCTTATAAAAGCTTTTGGATTCAGCTGTCAAAGTGGCAACCCACTCAGACTCCCCTCTCCACTGCAGAGAGCCTTCTTCTTTCACTTATTAAATTTTTGCTTCAACCTAACCCTTTGTGTCCATGCTCCTTAGTTTTCTTGGTCGTGAGACAATGCATGCAGATAACATCTGAGACAATAAGACCTTTGACCCTGACCTGTTTTACAGCCACTCTCTTTAGATACACACAGTGGATGTTTTCACATGGACATTCTCACATGACTCGACCTCCTGGCAGCATTTATAACAGATCTCCCTCTCTCCCACTGAGCCCTGCCCTGGGCAGGGTGAGGGCCACTCTCCCAGAATCCTTCCACCTTCTTTGGTAGCTCCTCCATTTTCCTTGTCAGCCCATGGGCTGAGCCACTAAAGGGTGCAGCTTGTCCAGCTCAGTCCTAGGCATCTCTCCACTTTGCCTTTTGTTCCTAAGTAATTACATTCATGCCCTTTCTTAAAGTATTATTTATAGGCTGTTGGCTCCCCTGTTTGTATTCCTACCAGTGCTTGTCTGAGTTCCAAACAGCTATATGATCTTCATAAAGCTCATTCTGGGAAGAACATGTTATTATTACACCCATTTTCAGTTGAGAATTTACATGCCCACAATCATACAGCTGGCAGCATGGATTGCTGGCCAGGCTCTGTCCCTATCAGGGTCCTCTGGAGTCTCTGAGAAAGCCCTGAGATGCTCAGCGTGGAGGTTCTGTCTCCTTCTTGCTGCTGCTCCTCGCAGGTCAGGCAGGATCCTGATGAGAGTGTGGATGGTATGAGGGCTGCTGTGCAGGTAGCACAGTTGGACTGGCTGGTGGCTGAGTGAGGGAGGGAATTTGGTAAGAGAAAACTAAGAGAAAGATCAGTTGTATAAACTTGGAAATCATCAAATATGTATATTTTTCATTCATGGAAAGAGAAGGAAAATTGGGAAAAATTGGAATATGTACTTTTCATTTTTAGCACCTCTTAGAGATCTAATATCACTGCATTCATTTGCAAACATAAAATATATTACCTATGAATTATAATAAGGAAGAATAAAGCAGAACATTTTAGGCTTTGGGCTGGTAGAAGCTAGATTTTAATTCTTTATAGTTGTTAAACTTCCCTGCAGATTCTACTTTTTTGAGAACGTAAGTCTCATGTGTCTAACCTCCATTTTAAATCTCTTTTTGGGCAATATAACATTTATTTAAGTTTATTTTTTTGCTTTCTCCCATTTCACTTAGTTTGTGAAATTTTAAGGACACAAAAGCCATGAGACTATTATTCTCACCTCTCAGCTTTAACTGTCAATATATTTTTACTAAAAGAAAGGAAACATTACAAGGGTCTCTTCTGGCTCTCATCCTCTTTTCCATCTCTTGTCTCCTACACCCTTCCCAGAAACAGCCGCTGTCATGAGTTTAATCAGTCCTTTCTGCTTGTTAAAACATCTGAATACATATTCAGTTGCATTTATGTATATAACTGTGAGATTTTGAATATTTAAAAATGTATGTAGGCATATATTATTTTATAGTCTTGTTGATGAATAACTGATGCACAATGAAATACATATATTTAAAGTGTATAATTAGATGAGCTTTGATCTCTATATATACCCATTAAACTATCCCCACAATCAAGATAATGAATATATTTGTCATCCCTCCAATATTTTTGTGCTATTTTGCAATCCATCCTTTCGTCCCTTCTGCCCCATCCCTAGGTAACCACTCATCTGCTTTTCTGTCTATAGATTAGTTTGCCTTTTCTGTAATTTTATGTAGATGTGATCATACAGTATGTAACTTTTGTGTGGCTGTTTTCACTTAGCATAATTGTTTTCAGATTCATCCATGTTGTTGCTTATGTTAATAGCTCTTTCTTTTTTATTACTAAGTAGTATTTCATTGTATCAATATACCACAATTTGTATGTTCCAGTCATCTGGTAATGGACATTTGGCTTGTTTCAACTTGGGGCTAGTATAATTAAGGCTGCAATGAACATTTGTGTATACATCTTTGTGTAGACATTGCTTTTATTTCTCTTGTTTGATTGTTGAGAAGTGGATCATAGAGTTTGGGTATATTTAACTTGAAAAACTGCCAACTGTTTTCCAAAGCGGCTGTGCCATTTACGCAGAAGCGCTTAAAAGATTTAGTTGTGTCACATCCTGTTCAACACTCAAGTATGGTCAGTCTTTTAAATTTTAGCTGTTCTAGTGGGTATGGAACACACATTCCAAAGTGCACGTTAGGTTCTTTGCATGGTCCCAGTCTGAGTGAGTGTGGGTGTGTAAGTTCTCCCTGCGGTAGGATGGTGTCCTGTCCAGGGCTGGTTTCTGACTTGTGCGTGAACGTTAATAGGTTCTGGTCACCCGAGATCCTGAACTGGAACAAGTGGGTTGTAAGATGAATGAAGGAATGACTTATAATTATTATGAAATAAAATGCTGGGCAAGGTGCTGCTGGCTCATGTCCGAAATCCCAGCATTTTGGGAGGCTGAGGCAGGAGGATTGCTTGAGCCCAGGAGTTGAAGACTAGCCTGGGCAACAAAGCACAACCCCTGTCTCTACAAAAAATAAAAAAGAAGATAGATGGGCATGGTGGCACACAACTGTAGTCCTAGCTACACTGGAGGCTGAGGTGGGAGGATCTCTTGAATCCGGGAGGTTGAGACTGCAGTGAGCTATGATTGCACCACTTCACTCCAGCCTGAGACACAGAGTGAGACCCTGTCTCTAAAAATTATCATAAAGCATTTACAATAATCATACAAACGCATAAGATACGAGTGGTACAAAAGTGCTTAGCGAGCCCACCGTGTTTTCTTGTTTTTTGTGTGGTGGTAGGAGAGGATCTTTAAAATTTTTGTTTTGCAAACATTTATTTCTTGACTTAACCCACTTCCACTATGACCACATAACTCACTGATTACCAAAAATCCCATAAATAATGATTTTACTTGTTTTTATTAATCTTTCTTAAATTCTGTATAACTCATATTTATTTTGATATTTAATATTAGAAGTGTTTTGTGCCTTTATTTACAAGTTTGATGATGTTCTTGTGACCAGAAACATGCTGTAAAACCTAACTCTTCTTCTCCTGCCTGGGCGATAGAGCGAGACTTCATCTCAAAAAAAAAAAAAACAAAAAACCTAACTCATCTTTATATCAATTAGCCTATGGTAAAATTGGTTTCACTGTACATCATTTTGCTTAAAGTCAAAGTTTCCAGGAACCTAGTGACATTAAGTCAGAACTTACTGTAATTTGATAACTTATATTTATGTTGGCGTGTACATATATATGTATCTGTAAAACCATTATGGCTGTATACATATGATGGGTAATGAGCATGTCCATCATCTCTTAAGGAATTCTCATTTCCGTTTGTAATCTCTTCCTGTCTGCAGGCAGCCACTGATCTTCTTTCTGTCACTATAGAAGAGCATGCAATTTATAGAGTTTTATATAAACAGAATCATACAGTATGTACTTTGTTTTGATCTGGTGTCTTTCACTCAATAATAATTTTGAATATCATTCATGTTATCACATGCATAAGTAGTTCTTCTTTTGTATTCTAAGTAGTAGTCTATCATATGGATATATCATGATTTGTTTATTCATTCACTTGTTGATGAAAATTACATGTTTACCCATTAAGTTATCAGTTCTGGATCTTTTTAGTTCCTTGCAGGGATCCAAATATTCACCTTGTATCATTTTCTTTCTGCCTAAAGGACTTCCTTTAACATTTCTTGCAGTGATGAATGCTAGTGATTAATTTTTTCGCTTTTGTATTCCTGAAAATAATTTTTTTATTTCACCTTTGTTTTGAAAGAAATTTTCACTAGGTATAGAATTATGGATTGATAGTTTGTTTCTGTTGCTGCACTTGTTTTTTTTTCTATTTGTAAATCTGCTGTCATACTTATCTTTATTTCTGCGTATATGATGGATATTTTGTTCTGGTTGCTTTTAAGATTTACTCTTTATCACTGATTTTGAACAATTCAATTCTGATGTTCCTTCATGTAGTTTCATCATGTTTCCTGTGCTTGGGTTCTTTGAGCTTCTTGGATCTGTGATTTCATAGTTTGTGTCAAAGTTGTATTGCTGGAGGGCTCAGGAGGGTCTCCGGATGCTGGTGAGTCTCCAGCCCCAGCCAGTGTCCACGTTCTTGACACCATCACGAGAAAGAATTCAGGGACAAGTCAGAGTGAAGTGAAAGGCAGGAAGTTTTTATTGCAAAGCAACAGTAGACACTTAAGGGAGAAGTATTGTCTCTCTTTATTTTGAAGTCCTGGGGTACGTGTGCAGGATGTGCAGGTTTGTTACATAGGTAAATGTGTGCCACAGTGATTTGCTGCACCTGTCAACCCATCACCTAGGTATTAAGCCCAGCATGCATTAGCTATTTTTCCTAATGCTCTCCCTCCCCCACCTCACCCCTGACAGGCCCCAAATGTGTGTTGTTCCCCTCTCTGTGTCCCTGTGTTCTCAGTGTTCAGCTCCCACTTATAAGTGAGAGCATGCAACATTTGGTTTTCTGTTCTTGCATTAGTTTGCTGAGGATCATGGCTTCCAGCTCATCCATGTCCCTTCAAAGGATATGATCCCATTCTTTTTTATGGCTGCATACTATTCCATGGTATATATGTACCACATTTTCTTTATCCGTTATATCATTGATGGACATTTAGGTTGATCCCATGTCTTTGTTATTGTGAGTCTATAAGGAGCTTAAACAAATTTACAAGAAAAAACAAACCCCCATTAAAAAGTGGGCAAAGGACATGAACAGACACT
Source organism: Homo sapiens (assembly GCF_000001405.40). Lineage (NCBI taxonomy): Eukaryota > Metazoa > Chordata > Mammalia > Primates > Hominidae > Homo > Homo sapiens. The sequence goes on from NC_000002.12 coordinate 112,952,209, forward strand.
TCTCAAAAGAAGACATTCTTGCAGCCAAAAAACATATGAAAAAAAGCTCAACATCACTGATCATTAGCAAAATGCACATCAAATCCTCAACGAGATACTGTCTCTCATGCTAGTCAGAATGACGATTATTAAAAAGTCAAGAAATAACAGGTGCTGGCGAGGTTGCAGAGAAATAGGAATGCTTTCACACTGTTGGTAGGAATGTGAATTAGTTCAACCATTGTGGAAGACGGTGTGGAAGATCTCGAAGATCTAGAACCAGAAATACCATTTGACCCAGCAATCCTATTGCTGGGTACATACCCCCCAAAATAGAAATCATTCTATTACAAAGATACATGCACCCGTATGTTCATTGCAGCATTATTTGCAATAGAAGTGCTCTCTCTTAAGAGAGAAGGGCATGCTTGTAAGAATGAATCACACACAAGAGAATTTTGGTTTCTAGTTTTATGAGCGTTTCTTTAGTTAGGAAGTGAAATAGTCATAAGGTATTCTGGAAAAGGACAGGATTATAGGGACCTCCGAGTTATCACCCCCTTTCTCCTTTGTTTGGATGTGCGCAAGGGTCATGGACATGTCTCCTGGATCAGCATTTTGGCTGTTTTCTCTCCCTTAGTTTAGGTTTACTGTTATCCTTTGGTTTCTTTGCCTAGTTCCTGTTTTAACTGCTGTTTGGGTCTTTCCAGCCTCCTGTGACTACCCAGTGCTATTCCTATCTCAGTTGGAAATTTAAAAATCATGATTTCTTCAAACATTTTTTCTGCCCCTTATCCTCTGTTTAGAAACAAATAGAGGATAAGAGCTAAGTCTCTAAAGTTATTTTTTCTCTCTGTGTTTTTGTTTAAGATAGTTTATACTGTGCTGTATTCAGGCTCATTTTTTTTTATCTTATGCAATGTGTAATCTACTTTTAATCCCACCTAGTGTATTTTTATCTTAAATATTGTAGTTTTCAACTCTAAAAGTTCATTTTGGATCTTCTTATATCTTCTACATCTCTACTTAATATGTTTAATCTTTCACTTGTTGAACATACGGAGTACTTAGTAAACTGTCCTTTTCTGTTAATTATAGTATCTTTGCAAGTTTGGGTCAGTTCTGAAGTGTTGATTTATCTCCTTTTTATGGGTCATATATATATATGTATTTTTTTGAGATGGAGTTTTGCTCTTGTTGCCCAGGCTGAAGTGCAATGGTGCGATCTTGGCTCACTGCGGTCTCCTTCTCCCAGGTTCAAGCAATTCTCCTGCCTCAACCTCCTGAGTAGCTGGGATTACAGGCGCCCACCACCATGCTGGGCTAATTTTTATATTTTTAGTAGAGATGAGGTCTCACCATGTTGACCAGGCTGGTCTTGAACTCCTGACCTCCGGGTGAGCCACCCACCTTGGCCTCCCAGAGTGCTGGGATTACAGGCATGAGCCAATGTGCCCGGCCTTATAGGTCATATTTTACTGCTTCTTTGATGGCCTAGAAAATTTCAATTGAATGCTAGACATTGTGAATTTTACCTTGTTGGGTGCTAGATATTATTTTTGTGTTTCTAGATATTAATATTTTGTGTTTTTATAACTAGTCGAGCTGTGTGCTGGGATGTGATTAGGTTACTTGAATACAGTTTGATCCTTTCAGATTTTCTTTCAAGATGGGTTAGGCGGGAACAGAACAGCATTTATCCCTCTACTAAGGCAAGACACTGTGTACTCTACCAATGCTCCATGAAATATGAAGTTTTCCCACCTGACTGGTGAAAACTGCTCCTGGCCCTGTGTGAGTACTGGGACTTTCCTGTCTCTCTTTAATGTGCTTATGCTCTTCTCTACCTTCTTTAACATATAAAATAAATTAATCATAACCATTTAATGTCTGCTAATTTTATCATATGTATACTTTCTAGGCCTGTTTCTGTTGATTGCTTTTTCTTTTCATTATGAATAATATTTTCCCGCCAATTTTCAAGGCTGGTAATTTTTTAATGGATGCCAGACATTTTGAATTTAACCTTGCTGGGTTTGATCATATTTTAATATTTATTTAAATGTTCTTGAATTTTTTTCTGGGACACAGTTAAATTACTTGGACACGGTTTCATTCTTTTGAGGCTTCCCTCAAAGCTTTGTTAGGCATGTCCAGACAAAGCGGGCAGGCTTTAGTCTCAGTTAATTTGAACTTATTATTGAGGAAATATTCGTTTGAGTACTCCATATGCGTTACAAGGTTGTTCCACTCTGGCTGGTGGAAACATAAATGATTCCTGTCTTTGGGTGAGCTTTGGACATCATTCCTTCTGTTCTTTTCCACATATTGAGTAATATCCTTACATGTATGCACTGATCGGTACTCAGCTAGTGACGTCAGGGCAATCTTCTGCGGGTCTCTGGAGCTCTCGCTGTCTCTCTGTAAAGCTCTCTTTTTCCCTACAACTGTCTCCTCTCTGATACTCTTGCCTACATATCTGTGTTAGTGTTCCTAAATTTTCAACTTGGTTTTCTCAACTCAGGTGAACGCCAGTCTCTGTTGGGTTCTGCTTCTTTGTGCTGCAGCTATGCCCTTACTATGCCCCTTAGTAAACTGGGGCAATTCTAAGACTCAGCTCATTTCACCGCTTTTCTCAGACACGACTATCTAGTGCTGTCTGTTATCCAATGTGTAACAAACAATGCTTTGTATATTTTGTCTGATTCCTAAGTTGTTTAATGCGGAAGGGTGTATCTGAATCTTGTACTTCATCTTGGCTGGAAGTGGACAGAAGTCAATCTAGCCTTTGACTTTTGCCACCTATGTAAGAGTCCACAAATAATAGCATAGTGTTTAAGAGCATGGGCTCTGGTTACTAATTTGAGTATCATTCCTTTTTATTTATGTAACCTCTCCTTAATCTGTACCATGGAGCTAATAATTATATCTCTTCACATAATTATGACAGGGAGCATTTGAGTCAACTCCTAAAAACATAATTAGCCTAGTGCCAGACCCACAGGAAGTACCCAACACATGTCAGCTTTTATTAATAATTAAGCACTTTTACATGAGTGCTCTGGATATTTTTCAAAAAGCATCTTAATATTTTGGTGGATTTCTGAAATGCCATTACTGGGCCAATGCTTGGCTGTTTTAAATTTTTTTCTAGTCTCTTGTCCTTGGATCTTTCAAATCTGTAGCTATTAATACATGGCAGGCAGCCCTGCACACCTATGGCCACATTTCCACCTGTTCCCTGCAGCCAAGGAGAGGCCACATTAGTGCATCCACTGACTGTGCTCCTGATTAGGAGGGAAGGGGGCAGGTGATCCATGGAAGGACAGGGGCTAGAAAATCAAGTGTGAAACTCAGAGCCTTAAGCGAGTTTGTCAGCTTGGTCAATGGAAGATAATCCTCTGGTGGTTCCCAGCCCAGGCTATACATCAGAGTCACCCAGGAGGCATGCCATTGGACAGCAATCCCATTCTAGGAAAGTCTGATTCAGCTGTAAGAGGCAGAATCCTAGGATCTGTACCCTTTAAGCACCCTAGATGACAGCCAGGTTTGCCTTCTAACAATTCCTCACACCTGGTAGCACCTTGGATCTCTGTCCCCCAAACCCCATCTCAGGATCACCAGGCAAACTTTGAGAAATAGCAGTCCTGAAGCTCCATTCTCAGGGATTCGGGTGAACAAGTGCTATAGGTGATTCTGAAGAGCAGCTTGAGTTGACATCCATTTGTATAGGACAGAGTTTCTCAGGCTTTAACTTGCATCAGAATCACCTGGAGGACCTGTTGAAATAGATTGCAGGGCCCCATTCCCAGAGTTTCTAATTCATACATAGCTCTGGAGGACCTGATAATTTACATTTCAAACAAGCTTCCAGTGATGCTGATGTGCTAGACTGGTGGACGGCACTTTGAGAATGACTGGTTTGGAGTTTCAGAGTTCACAAGGCACTTGTACCTTCATTTTCTCTGTTAACCCTGAAGTCAAGCCTGCAAGGAGCCACAATGAGCCCTGACTTACGGGAGCAAGAGATAGAGGCTTAGGTGAAGTCACTTACCCAAGCTTTTCAGTCCTTCAGCCAAGAACCGTCTCACACTGACTGGGCGTGACAGCATCCTGGTGCAAGGAACTCAGCTTAAGGTGCTAACACTGCAGGTGGCTGTGGATGAACTCGGCCCTGTTACCTGTCACCAGATAATCCAGAAATCTGCTTTCTCCCAGAAACTCAAGCTAGGAAATTCTCCAGATTATCCTATTGGTGAATGTGGCTAAATCCTGGCCACCTTCCCAAGGAGTCTGTACTGCCGCTCCTGGTAGGTTCCACCCAAACCCTCCTGGGCCCCTTGAATCCTCTTCTCTGTCCCAGCCCATACCAGAGGCTCATTCATCCTTCATGCAGTTAATAGGGTGCGTTGGAGCCTCACTCTGTGCACCCTGGTCCAGGAATATCTGCCCTGTTTGCATATCTGGAGCCTTCAATGCAGCCAACACTGGCTCACTCTGAGAGGTGAGAGAATCACTGCTGTGCCCCGGCCCAAGTGGAGGAGGGTGGGGAAGGGAGGGCAGGACCCAGGGAGATTTCATGCAGCGGTGAACATTTAAATTTAATGATCCTCCTCAGTTTTGAAGTCCATTGGCCAGGAGTCTGTGTATTGTTTTTGTAAGTGTGTGTGCTATGTTGTAGGAGGAAGGAATATGACTTTCCTCAGACTTACACTCTTGCTGCTGCTATCTGTCTTTGAAAATGGGGACAAAATTGATTATTTTCTTTATCCTTGTTTGCATCAATCACCCAGGCCATCGTCATCTCTTGCACTGTAATTTTGATATGGCTTTTTGCATCTTCTGCTCCAATTCCATCCACTCCTCTCCACCTCCAGGGGCTCTTTCAGGGTGTCTCTGGAATGCTTGGTTCATCCTCAGCATGTTTCTGCACCTCTTTAACCCTTCCCTTCACCCTCCTGCTCTTACTGAAACCTGGCTCTGCCTGAGAATACTGCTTTATCTCAGTCCTTTCCAGGGGTGGCTGTCTTTTTTCCTCCCTTAACCCTTATGTCACAGGGCCCAGGGATGGAGTAAGGTCCTCCTCGATGCTTCCAGATCATTCTTCCTCCTCCAATTCACTGCTGTAGCTCCAACTCCCGCCGCCCTCTAGTGTGTCCTCTTAATGGCAGTCATTCACCATCTTCCTGTCCCTCCCCTTCATTTCTTGGATGGTGACTGTCACTTTGCTGCAACAGAACCCTGTCCCAATCCTTGATGGTTCAATACACACATAGACATTCTTTTTAACAGGGCGGCCTCTCAGGTCTTTAATTTTCTTCCCTCCAATAACCTTGTGATGATCCCCCAGCTTAGCCACTTACTGCCAGATCATTACCAGTAACTCCAGCCCCTCCTTAATTCTAGTTTCTAATATCCTAATCTGTGACCTCACATTCCAACTTCTTCATTCTTATCCCCTGAGTCAAAAAATCCTTTGATCCATGCAATCCATTAAGTCATCTACCTTTTCACCATTCTTCGCCCCACTAGGGTTCTCATTCCTTTATTACCCAGATGAAATTCCAAGGCCTGTTGGAATCACTCCCTTGCAGCCACTGTCAATACTTCTGCCCCTTTTACTTCATCACCCTTATGTGGCAAAACCACAGCCCTGGTTGAGTCCAGCCTTACCCCTGCTCTGTGCCAGCACCCGCACACGCATGGCTGATGGAGGTTGGAAAAATCCACACATGCACAGGGCCCTGTATGTCAATATACGTTTCCAACCTCCAGCCTTGCATATGCCTCAGTGCTGCCTGGCAACACATTATATGTTTTCCTTAGTTCCTTCAGTCTCCTGGGTTCCTAGGTGAGTATCTCACACATTCTTCTCTCTCTGCAAACCTCCAACACCTCCACGTCACTTTCAACTGATGACTTTGTTTCCTATTTCACTTGAAACACAGAGGCAAACATAAACAAATCCCACCCACTGCCACCACTCTGCCCATCTGCCAGCATGGCACCCCCCAATCTAGGCCTTTCCTGCTGTCACTTGGGGTGGGCTGACTATACTCCATCCAAGTCCTTTTTACTTATGCACTCGTATCGTACCCTCTCACCTGCTCAGGACGTGCCTCTAGCAAGTCCTCTCATGCTCCGGCAACATCATGGTTCCTCTTCAGCAGACCAGTTATACTGGCACAAAGCATGCAGCTGTTCCTCCCATCTCCACCACCCTCTCCATCTCTTTCTCACGTTGCTCTATCCTTAATTATAGCAAAACCCATAGGAAGTGTTATAGAGACCCCCCTTTCTGTAATTTCTCCTGTTCTATTTTAAACTTGCCCCCAAAGTACACTTACCAAAGTGGCTGTAGTCTCCGCCACTGCACCTAAACTTCCCTTGCTGAGGTCATCACCAGCCTGCACGTGGCCAAACCCACTGCTGTCTCTGCTCTCCTCTTATTTGACTTTTGAGTCATGTGAGCACATAAATGATCCAAACGGCAACACTCCTAAGAAATGGTTGTACCTGGACAAGAGGCATAAATTGGGGCCGTCTTAGGAAAGCAGATATACAGCCATCCTACCTTTAGGCACTCACTGTTGGATGCAATTGGTCACTCTTCCTTGGGACCTTTCCGCCATTGGCTCCACTATACGCACTCTCCTGGTTTCCTCCCCTCTAGCCGCTGTCTTTGGTCTCCTTTCTGATTTTGCTGCGTCCTCTGTCCCCTGAATGATTGCTTCTCCACTACGGGGTGATTTTGCTCCCCAGGGGACATTTGGCAATATCTGGAGAGGTCTATGGTTGTGTTTGAGGGTGTTGCTACTGCCATCTAGTGGGGAGAGGCTAGAGATGCTGTTAATGCCCAGGACAGTCCCCATAACACAGAATTATTCAGCTCAAAATATCCATGGTGCCAAGATCAAGAAACCCTGCTCAAATATTAGCATGTGCTGAAGGCCCTTCTCTTTCCTTTAGCAATATCTGCCTCCTTAGGGATCTTTTCTAGTCTCAGTGGTTTAACATTTAAAATCCCAAATTAGGCAATAAATTGGGCCCCAAACTTCGTTAGTATAAAATGTAGAACTGTGTTATTAGAAGGCTAATAAAATGACCTGGTGAGCATCTGCAGCTAGCCTCTGAGCAATTCTGGGGACCACGTGCAAGATAAATCCATCTGTTCCCTCTCTGTAATGTGGCGCTACCTTGTGGCCGATTTTTCCTCGGGTTAAATATCTCTGGGGATGCAACTTGTCGTGGTTAATGGCTGTGTGAGGCCAGCGCGTGGTGATAAAGGAATCAATCAAGACAATATTGAATTTAGAAAGGCAGATTTATTTAGAGAAAAGGAGAGATACGTTGCAAGGGAGCAATGGGCAATACAGCAGAGGGAAGGCTGTCTGCAAAGAGGCAAGGGCTACGTATGACGTAGGGCTGCTTAGGCTGAATGCTTGCAGACAAGATGCTTGCGTGCAGGTGGGCTGTGAGCTGAGTGCTTGGGTGCTAGTGAGCCATTGGCAGCTGACCCTATTTCTTGGAACATTCGCTCCCTGCAAGCATTTTAATGTTAAACCGCCAGGTCAGTTTGAATTTTCTTTTTTCTTTTTTTTTTTTTTTTTTTGCCTTTAGTAGGACCTGCCGTTGTGAGACTATCTGAGGTAAATTAGACACCCTCCTGGTTTAAGTCACCGCTCCAGTGACTAGGCAGGGAGCTCTTCCTTGAAGAGGGTGTGGGCAGTGGGTACTTTGCATGTTGTCCACACCAGGCGAGCTGCTGCTTCAGGGCCTTTGCATTTGCTCTTTTCTTTGCCCAAAATGCACTTCTCTCACTGTTCACATGATTTTTCTCCCTCTTTTCCTTTTAGTCTTTGCTTAAATATCACCTTCTAGGGAGGCCTTCCCACACCACCTCTTCAAGATTTGAGGGTATGCACCCCCACCCCTAGCCTTCTTATCCCTCTCCACTGCTTTCTTCTCAAAGCACTTGTTACGTTCAAATAAAATAGATTAGTTACTTTATAGTTCTAATTTTACTATTTTTTGTTTACTTCATCAATACCCATGTAATCTCTGGAAGGAACGTTTCTTTTTGTAGTGTATTTCTAGCACCTAGAACAGTACTTGGCACATGGCAGGTGTTCAAAAGTATTTGTTGATTATTTTCTCAAAGGGCATGGAGTCTTAGAAGTTTGAGAACACAGTTCTAAGCACAGCTGTTTAGAGACTATGGATGATGCTAATGGCTGTATTCCCAGTAGGTGGGGCAATTCTCAAATTGACCTGGAATCCTTGAGATCTGGGGACAGTCACCAAGCACTGGGCTCTGTGGGGAGAGATGTGCTGGTTTTTAGAGAGGAGAATAGCATCCTGGGGGACTTGGCCCCAGGGCTTTCCTGTCCCAATCTCTTCCCAACTGAGTCCCAGAGGCAGGAGGCCTTGTCTGTAGCTGGTCAGTCCTGTAACTGTTTCCCTCCCATCTACACAGATGCAAAGAAGGCTGAGAAAAGCAAGCTGTCAGGTGAGCAGGGGCCCTGACTCCTCCCCAGAAGGCACTCAGAACTTCCATAGGGCAACTGGAAAGAAGGTTCTACTTCCTCACCGGCAGCTGTTGCTGGGGAAAAAACCAGCCTCAGGCCCTACCCTGTGCTGAGAACCTGAATCCAGTATCAGGTTCTCCAACAAACTTGGATCCAGCTGACCCTCACAAGGGGTCAGATGCAACCTTGTAGCATATGGAAAATGGCAGCAAGGTCCTTGTGTGGACTATGCCTAGAATCTAAATTAAGACAAGGCCTCAGAGGGGCTAAGTGACATCTGTCTCCAAAGTTTCACAGCTAGTGTGTGACTAAATCTTGATTCCACCCTCTCAGGTTTTACCATAATCCCAAAAAAGGTTGAAACAAGAAAAGTTATCTTTGGGCAATTACCTCTTTCTGTTCCTTGCTTTACCTACTAATGTTCTAGGCTCACCCTCTGGTCTGCAATCTCACTGAACTGACAGATCCCTCATGGCCTAAAGGGTTTTCACACTGGGTTGACTAGGCTCTCCCATTGCCTGTCCTACTGTCTAAGGCACCTCCTGGGTAGGGTGCCCAGCGTCATTCTGATGCTGCCTGACTTTCCTTCCAGCTACTTTTGAAACTTGGTATCCATGGCAGAGGCTTAAAGGGCATGTTCCAGGTACTTTTATTTCCAAATTCCCCAGTGGCATCAAGGAAATCAGCATCTCTGGATAGCTCTACTAAGGCTTAGTTCTCATTGTCCAATCTAGCTCCTGGGTCATGGGAGGCATTCAGGAAATATTTGAGTGTAAGAGTGAGTTGCTTTACCTCCAGAATATCCTTCCAATGGCTCTGAAGCAGGCTGTGGAGTCCTGCTGGCTGATCACAGTTCACAGGTGGCTCCCAAACCTGTGGTCTACATCCATCCTTTGTCAGTGTCACTGCCATTGTCCCACAAATGTCATTTGGGCCTAGCCCCTGGGATAGTAATCAGTCTTTACATAGATATACATTGTGCTTTACATCCACAGTAATTCTGAGTGGACCTTAAAATAAATTCCATGTCAGGTCTCACCAGCCCATGGGTTACAGATGGGGTTACCTTTCAGCCTTGTAAGGTGCCCCGTCTTTGAGTGTAGACATGGACTCACAACGAGTCCACTCCTGCTGTTCCTCTGCTCTTGCTGAGGCTTCTGCTGCTGCTGCTGCTGCTTTGCAGAGGCTGGCCAGCTGTGGTGCCTGAGGCACCTGTGTCTTCACAGCACCAACTTGCATGGTGGCCACGGTGTAGTTGGAAAGGGATGCTTAGATGGGAGGCCAATGGGAGCTGCTTCAGGAGGCAAATCCAAGTCACAGAGATCGAGTCACCGAGAGCATAGTAAACTCAAAATCCCTTCTTCTGCTTAATAACTGAGATGCTGTCACTGGGTTAACCTCACCAAGCCTTGTTTTGTCTTCACTTAGAGTGATTTCTGTCTTAGAAGGCTCCTCATATCCTTCTGGGGAAGGCTTCTAGTGAGTCCACAGATAGCTGGACCAGGCATGTCCAGAAATAATCTGATTCTCACATTTGAGTTAGCCAGCGTTCCCAGCTATATCCCCATTTTGTGTCTATATAAGTTACCAAAGCCCACAAGGATATTAGGTGGCTCCTTAGTTTGCTTTATGATTATGCCTTGTGTGTGTGTGTGTGTGAGTGTGTACGCCTATGAGGATTCCTTCTCTCCCGTTCTTGCTATGGCTTCTCTTCCCCACTGATGGGCTGTAGTTCCCTGTCCTTTTGACTTTGGGCTTAGTCATGTGACTTTTTTGCCAAGGGAATGTGGGCAGAAGTAACTGGGAGCCAGTCCCAAGCTAAGGCCTTGGGAAGCATGGTGAGCCTATGCCAGCTCCCTCAGAACTCCTTCCCTTGGCCATGAAGAGAGAATAACCTGGATTGTACCTTCAGCCCATGTCCTAGAATACAAACATGGAGAATAATGAACTTGACTCAAAGGCTGAAGGGCAGCTGAGCCCACATGAGGTCAATTGAACTGCAGCTACCTACAGACCTGAAAGTGAAATAAACATGTATAAGTCTCTGACGTTTGGGGTTTGTTTACATAGCATTATTGTAGCAGAAACTTAAATAATACTGGGGGCTAAATATAGTGGACCAGTGACAGCACAGAATGGTAAAATGGAGTGATTGTTACTTACATCACAACCCTTCATCTCTGTTGATGGACACTAAAATCAAAGTGGCAATTACTCAGAGTTGGGAGTCATTGAGTTGCATCATTGTTGTTTAGAATCATTGACAGTTTGAGCTCTAAGTGATTACAGAGATGGTTTCCTCAGCTACAGGTAAATAAACAAAGGCACAGAGAAGTAAAGTGACTTCTAGAGGGCTTCATTGATATTTAGCAGCAGAATCAGAGCTAAACAATGAGTCTCTCATCTCCAGCCTTTCTATTCTTGTTTCCTAGGTTGGGATTTTGGGAAATAGTGCAGAGAGATTAGCAGTAGTGACATGGAACAATGTGAGCCTCAGCTTCCATCCCTGAGGCTGCCTTCATCTGCCAGGGAAATGTCTCTGTGTGCAGCCTTGCCCTCTGCACACAGTGTGTATGGCCACCTGAATAAGTGTCCTTTCATAGCGACTAATGGATTGAAATGGGTGCTAGAGCAGTGCTTCTAAAAACTCCATGTATTAATCATCTAGGGGTCTTACCAAAAACGCATGCAGATTCTGATTCAGTAGGTCTGGAGTGGGGCTTGACATTCTGCACTTGTAACACATGGACCACACTTTGAGTAGCAATGTATTAGATCATTCCAGTGGAAACATGTATGAGTGATGGAATGAACAGATATAATTAATCCAGGTCTGGTAAGTGAGGTACTGATACATATTAAGTTGAAGTGAATTTCACATCAAAAATAATGGTTACACAGTGACTTTTACTGCCCCCAAATTCTTTCCTTTTGAGTGGTTTCAAAGTGAACTGAGCCAGCCAGGTTAAGTCCCTGGTTTAGTGTGTGATTAGAAGATTTGATCCAGCTTTCTCCTCCTTCTAATTCTTTAAATATGCAATGGCCTTCTAGAAACTTGTCTCTCAGGCTCCCCATGAGCCACCTGTCTTAATATCTTCCCCCCCAGGACATTTCCTGGGTCAAGGAAGGAATCAGGGACTAGGAAAAGTAGAAAGGTTGCCTGACAGTGAGAAACTTTTTGCACTCCTATTTGTTCAATTCTAAAATGTGGGTATTGTTGGGGCTTCTAATTGGAATCTAACCTGAAATTCAGGCATGTCTAGCTATATATGACCAAGAATTAGGATGAGTTCACTAGAAGCCTATTTTCAGGAGAGCGGTCAGTTAAATTGAAGTTTATGGGTTTATGGTAATGGGTTGGGGAGTTTACTTCATTAGCAATAGCAACGTTTTTGAATCAGAGAAGTGATTTTGAACACACTGTACATAGTTTTCTCACTTAGATTTATCTCTGGGTCAACCCTTGTTGGACCTATATTAGAATCATTTAGTGAAGAAAAGGTGGGTGTCATTAGGAAAAGAGCCATTTATTCAAATGTTCTGTTTGACATTAGGGCACTGGCAAGACTACAGAATCAATAGATATTTAAAAACAGCCAGGTGCGGTGGCTCACGCCTGTAATCCCAGCGTGATTTGGGATTACTTTGGGAGGCTGAGGCGGGTGGATTGCCTGAGCTCAGGAGTTCAAGACCAGCCTGGTCAACACGGTGAAACCCTATCTCTACTAAAATACAAAAAATTAGCCGGGCATGGTGGTGTGCGCCTATAATCCCAGCTACTCAGGAAGCTGAGACAGGAGAATCGCTTGAACCTGGGAGGCAGAGGTTGCAGTGAGCCAAGATCACACCATTGCACTCCAGCCTGGGTGACAGAGTGAGACTCCATCTCAACAACAAAAAAAAAAAAAAAGTATAGTGAAAAAATGCCCTAAAAAATTCAAAAGCCTAAATGAAAGAGGCCAATACACATCAAGGAAACCGAAATGGCATTCTAGAGTCTCCTTTTTGTAAAAGCCCTAGATGGGGATAATTTTCTGGATGATTATTATCAAACTTTCAAGGAACAGTTAATTTCTTCTATACACAAATTGTTTCAGAAAAAAAGAACAAAAGTTGCCCAACTTACTGTATGAGGTGAGTATAATTTTGGTTTCAGAACCAGAAAAATATAATAGTAATAGACACTATAGTGCCATTTCACTTATGGATGTGACTGAAAACGTTCTAAATAAGGCGTTAACTCTTCAAATCTAACAATGTATTAAAAGTATTTTATGATCCCATAGGATTTACCCTACAAATACAAGAAAGAGTTGGCATTAGAAAATTGGTCTAATTCATTACATTAATAAATAGTAAAAAACCATATGATTATCTCTATAGATGCAGAAAAAGCATTTGATAATGTTCAACATCTATTTATGATGATTTTTTTAAAAAATTAGGACTACTAGGAAAGCATTTTTTTTTAACCTGTGAAAGGCTATATATCACAAATCTATATCAAGCATAAAACCTGACAGAGGAAATTTAAATTTATTCTCCTTAAGATCAGTAACAAGACAGAAATTCTTATTACTATTTAATGTTATAGTGGAGATCCTGGAAAATACTTTGGGATAAAGAGGACTGAGAGATATAAGCATTGGAAAGAAAGATATAAAATTGTCATTATTTGCAGATTATGTTATCAGAACTAAGAAAGATTAATTAAAAACTATGAGAACTAATAAGAGTTCAGCAAGGTTGTTAGAAACAAGGTAACTTAGAAACACCAGCAACATTTCTCTGTCAGCAATAACCAACTAGAATACATGGTAAAGAAACACTACTCATAATAGCAATAAATACTGCATATATCTAGGGATTAACAACCAAAAATACACAAAACCTATATGAACACATTAAAAAATCTTATGTAGATTTTCTGATATAAACATGATATAGAAGAGAATCTGAACAAATGGAGATGTTGCAGGAGAATTGACTCCAGGACTGCCATGGATACCAAAATCTGAGGAGGCTCAAGGGCCTTATATAAAGTGGCATAATATTTGCATGTAACCTAAGCACATCCTCCTGTATACTTCAAATCATCTCTAGATTACTTATAATACCTAATACAGCGTAAATGCTATATAAATAGTTGTTATATTGTATTGCTTAGGGAATAATGACGAGAATAAAAGCACGCACTTGTGCAGTACAGATGCAGCCATTCTTTTTTTCCCAAGTATTTTTCATCCACAGTTAGTTGAATCCACAGTTGTGAAACCCATGAATACAGAGGGCCAACTGTATTATCATGTACTTATATTTCTCCCAAATTAATTTGTAAGTTTAATATGATCCCGCAGTTGAGTTCTTTAAGAAACTCAATAAACTTATTCTGAAGATCTCCAAAAAGCTAAGTCAATTTTGAAAAGAAAGAGTAAGTAGAGAGACATATTAATTAAATCATTAAGTGGGGGACTGATAGCCTTAGGGCTTCGGAATATTGTTTATATTTTCAAAACATTGTCCAAACTCTTATTGTATTTAAATCTTGTGAGTAGTTTAGAAATTCTATTGTTGAATTAAACAAATTTATTATCATATTTTAAGTTTTTCAAATATTTTATCCAATTTGCTTTGAAATGTCTTTAAGAATAGAGAAAACCTAAATTTTTAGGAATTATCTGAAGCCATAAAGGCCTTTGTGTACTTTATATATAAATAGACATACTGTTTTATGGATATTTATTTTCTGGCCAGTATAATAGATAACTTTTTATTAAAGCTGGGAGTCTCAGGTTTATAACGTGATCACTGTTTGTTTTGTTTGGAGAAAACCAAGAAGAAATAAAAAATGTAAATCACCAATTAGGCGATATACTAAAGAATTTCTCCATTTGGATCTGCCTTTCCTGATAATTCTTCTCCTCTTTAGCCTAAATATCTTGTTTGCATGGAAAATTATCAAAACAATCAATATGTCAAACCAAACACTCTAGCAGTCTACTATAATACATTCATTGTGTTTTCTTTTTTAAACTTTATTTTGAAATAATAGTTACTGAAAAAGTTGAATGAACAGTGGAGTTCATATATACCATTCTCCCAGATTCCTCTAATGTTAAAAACTTAACCATAGTATAATGATCAAATCTAGGAAATTAATATTGGTACAATACTATTAATTAAACTACAGAATGTATTAGAATTTCATCAGCTTTTCCTCCTAATATCCTTTTTCTGTTTCAAGATCCAATCAAGAATGCCATGGTTCCATTTGTGTATTTAGTTGTTGTATCTCCTTAGTCTCCTCAAATCTGTGACCATCGCCTGGTCTTTATGACCTTGACAATTTTGAAAGTATTGGTTAGTTGTTTTATAGAATGTTTCTCAGAATAGGTTTGTCTGACATTTTCCTTAATTACATTAGAATTCTGTTTTTGGTAAGAATACTGCAGAAGTCATGTGTCCTTATCAGTGTATCAGATTGGAGTCCAGTATGTCAACAAGCCCTATTACTAGTGACGTTAACCTTGATCACTTGGCTAAGGTGGTGTCTGCTGAGTTTCTTCACTATACAGTTGTTATGTTTCCTTTTGTAATTTATAAATAGCATGAGCTATTTGGAGACTATGTTAATATCCTGTATCTCCTCAAACTTTTGCCCACTGGCTTTGGAATTTATTTTTGGATATTGCCTGTAATGATTATTACTGTGGTTGCTTAATGGTAACGTTGTATTTCCCTAATTCCTTCTTCATTTATTAATTGAAATTTTTCTGTAAGGAAGAGCTGTTATTTCTCCCCCCATTTATTTATGTAACTATTTATTTATATCAGTATGGACTCGTGGGTATTGATTTCCTTCTATGGGTTCTATTACTCTGTTTTAATTTTAAAGTATGAATAAAAGATTACAAGTTTAAAAAGTGCCTGCAAGTACAAAATAAGAAACACATTTCTTTCATGAAATTGAGCTTAAGATGCTAGTTATGGAGTGCCACCATTAATAGCTAAGGGCACGTGGCAAAATTGCTCATTTCCCAGTCTGTGTGGTAGTTGTTGGTACCAGGCTTCGGACCAGTGAAGTAAAGGAACAAGAAAAAGGTGCCTTTTGGCAATAGTGCTATTGGTAGACACAAAGCCATCATGAAAGATGTTTATACAAACAACAGAATTCCAAAGACTAATAAGTAAAAAAGCATTTCCTGTGAATTTATGAATAAACAGATACTAGTATTACTCAGTTAATAACATTGATTGGAATTATTGAAAAGAAATGCTTGGAAGCACATCATTTATTTTGTAAAGAAGTACCAAATAAAACTCCTGCACATGAAGTATTGAAAGTGATAAAATATTGAAACTCTGAAACTAATAAAATATTACAACTCTGTTGGGATCTGTGTACTGGTGGTGTGGCTGCAATGACAGAAAAGTGTAACATTATATTTGTCAATAAAAGAAAGGAAAGAGGTATAGATTTAAAGGATAATTGTACCCTGGAAGCACAATTTAAATGTATCAAACCATCCAGAGTAGTGGCAAGGAAAATTTCATCAGGCAAAAAATGATAAACACGGCGGGGGCGCGGTGGCTCACGCCTGTCATCCCAGCACTTTGGGAGGCCGAGGCGGGCGGATCACGAGGTCAGGAGATCGAGACCATCCTGGCTAACACGGTGAAACCCCGTCTCTACTAAAAATACAAAAAATTAGCCGGGCGTGGTGGCAGGTGCCTGTAGTCCCAGCTACTCGGGAGGCTGAGGCAGGAGAAGGGCGTGAACCCAGCAGGTGGAGCTTGCAGTGAGCTGAGATCGCGCCACTGCACTCCAGCCTGGGCGACAGAGCGAGACTCCGTCTCAAAAAAAGAAAAAAAAAAAATGATAAACACCCTGCCATTTGCTACCACTTACTTGTGTGAACAAAGTTTCTTATTGATGGTGGCATCTGAAGAATTTGAAGAGATAGATCATGGTTTAAAAGGCTTGATTAGACATTTTAAGTGTCAAATCTGTTTTAAAATAAATATCTCACAGAAGCAAGCTCAAGTTTCTCACTAAAAATTTAGAAAAATATTTGGAATATTTATATAAATTCAATATTTAGTGCTTTCCATAATACTTTGTATTTTAATTTTAAAAAATTATACATTTTTCCACAAAACTTATATAACCATTCTTGAATCCCCTCGAGTTTTCCCCAATGTTGAAACAATGCAAAAAGTTGGGGAACATTGGCCTTTGAGTCTAGAACCCAGCCCTCTGGGTCTTGAGAGCAGAGGTGAAGACCTCTTTTTGTGAATTTGTGAGTAACCTTGGATGGTTACATTGAGTAGGAGAAAAAACAGAGGCAATGATGTTAACCACTGTGGACTCCAGACCCTTCCTCAGTTTTCCAGTGGTAGAGAGAACCTCAGTGATGACTGAAATTTACCTTCTCTTTTATAGGTTGGTCACTGTGGGGGACTGAGTGAGCAGACTTAATTTGATTTAGGTAAATGAATGTGACATTTCTTACAGCTGAATGTAAAATGTAGTAACACTACATTATCATGGTGGCAGGAAATAAAGTGCAGGTGGATTGTAGGGCAACAGGAAGTCAAGTGCTCTGGTGACAATGGTGATTTTACAGATGATGGAGCCAGCTGGCTTCTTTGGACAGGTTTGGAGACCATGCAGGAGAGAAAGACAAATTAAAAACTGTGAATATCTCCTTGAGAACAAAGTGGACAATCAGCAAAACTTCATGGCGGAAGGCATCCCTCATTTCTTGCAGTTCCAGGGAAGAAATAAATGAAAACGAAGCTTAGTGCTTCCTGCTAAGGGCTACAGTTGTACAGGACCGATTAATCACTTAACCTGCCAGGTTTGTTATGCCGAAGTCAGGGCACTGATGGGGAAGGAGTTGACTCTGAGACACCATATGGGGACGTTTGATCAGGCATATATGAGTTGAGAACTTTGAACCTTCGTATGTCCTTGAGGCTCCATTGACAACTGAGGTAGACAATCACTCTCCTTTCCCACTGCATGTGAAGCATTTGAGTGTCTGCACCTGAGCCAAGTTGCCTCACAGGCTAATAAGAGGTCTCCTCATGACCCCCATGGAGCACTGACAGGGAATTTACAAGGCTACTGTGAAAGGAAATGGCCTAAACTCCAAAAAGTTAAAGAAACTCGTCAACCGGATATTGTTCATGGAAATATATTCTAAATGTGTTCAACCAAGATTGGGCTGAATTTGTCAATAAGGGTGGGCCCATCTGGGATTTGGGATGCAATGAATTGATTTGAGTACCTGGAGGTAATGTTAGTTTATTGTCTGCTAGGTTGACTAATGGATGCTTAGATATGGTGGTGGTTTACAGTCAGTAAGGCTGAAATACTATAATTTCTTCGACATAATGTAATGATCCTTAAAATTGGAGCTTTAAAAAACATTGATGCTTGAGTGACTCCCTGGAGATTCTTATTTAAGTGGTTTGTGTTGCCATGTGGACAGAGGGATTTAAAGAATGTCCTTAGGTGATTTTCACATGTTGCTAAGGTTGAGTGATTTCTGTAAAGGAAAATCAGGGATGAAGATGCTGGAGTACATCTATTATGTGCAATCCACATAGCTGTCCATTAATCACACACCTCAGGATGACCAAGGGACTAAGAAGAAATGTATTGGCGAGGGGCACACCGGCATCCAGGAGAGCTCACTGGTAGCTTCCCTCTCTAGGCTGGAGGTGATGGTGTGGGTGCTGCAGCAGGTTTTCAGCTTTGATAGGAATTAACAGGATTGCAGAGTGGAGGAGGCCAGATGGTGGCACCTCTCATCATAAACAAGGTGAGTGAAATGATCACAGTTAACCACAGGGGCAGGATACCAAATAGAGTATTTGAACTTCAGGACCCCGTGGCAATGACAAATTCATCTCAGGGTCTGTAGAAATGAAATACATGGAAAAGCTTCTAAGGTGCTGCTTAACACATATGGGAGGAAGATTTTTAGGTCTGGTGTACAGAAAAGAACTCAAATTACTGTGGTGGAAATGTATAGCTTTTTACCCAATTTCCAGGTCTAAGGAAGATCGAAGCCCTGGATTCCTAAGATGAAGGCCAGGTCCATTTGAGGAGGAACTTTGCATAGTGGCATGTTATGGTCTGAATTTTGTCCCCCCTCTTAATTCATACGTTGACGCCCTAAACCCTACTGTGATTACTTGGAAATAGGGTGTTTCAAGGGGTAATTAAGGTAAAATGAGGCTATAAAGTGGGTCCCTAATCCAATGTGACTTTGCAATGTGAGGAAGAGACACCAGGGATGCACACAGGGTCATGTGAGAACAGAGAGAAGGCGGCCACCTGTGAGCCAAGGAGAGAGCCCTTAGGAGACACCAAAACTATTGACACCTTGATCTTGGACTTCCAGCCTCCAGAATGGTGAGAAATGAAGTTCTGTTCTTTCAGCCACCCAGCCTGTGATATTTTGTTATGGCAGCCTGAGCAGACTAATACATGGTGACTGGTATATAGTAAGAATCTTTCTCCAAGACTTTGCCAGACATACTTATGGCCATTTATCAGGGCTATGCAGTGGGAGAGCGAAATAGTATCTGGGGGTTTCAGATACTGCCTCTGTATTGATGGAAATCTCCAGGGGCAAAAAAATGCCACAATGGTCCATCAATCACAGCAGAGGATTATAAAGCAGAGGAGACAGATGAACTCTGGGACTGATTTTGTCTAAAGAGGCAGCCTGAGATTATTTCTTTGGGCTCAAAATGTACAGTGCAACAAGATAAATTTAGTGACTGGCAGGATGTCCACATTGGGTTCCTTCTTATAAAGTGAAAGTTGTTATGGAGAGAGGGTCAAGGGGAAGCCCCTAGAATTTCTCCTGACCCTCTGCCAAGATGATAAACCAGAAACCCAAAGCAAAACTCCGTCCCTGGGGGAGTGACTAGAGTTAGTGTCACCGTCACAGACTTGAAAGATATTAGGGTATTAATTTCATATCCCTACTTAATTTGCCTATTCTGCTGGTACAGATACTACATGGGTTGTGGAGAATGCCAGTAAATCATTACAATTTTTTTTCCTTTTTTTTGGTTATTTTATTTTATTTTAGATTCAAGGAGCACTCATGCAGTTTTGTCACCTGGGCATATTGCATAATGGTGAGGTTTGGGCTTCTGGTGTATCCATCACCCAAACAGTGAACATTGTACCCAACAGGTGATTTTTCAACTTTTGCCCTTCTCCCACCCCACTCCACTGTGGAATTTTCATGTCTGTTATTTTCATCTTTATGTCCATATGTACCCATTGTTTAGCTCCCATTTATAAATGAGAACATGCAGTGTTTAATTTTATGTAGATGGGCAGAAAGGGATCACCTTACTGGCTGGGCTGATTGATCCTAATTGCTCAGGGGGAAAACTGGATTGCTGCTACTCAGTAGAGGTAAATAGGACTATGTCTGGAGCCCAGGAGTTCCCCCGGAACATGTCTTGTTACTCCAGGGAATCTCTTGCTTCTTTCATGTCTGGTAGTTTCAGTCAATGGAAAATGGAAGCACCCAATAAAGAAGAGCACTGAGGACCTGGATTGCACAGAAATGGAGGCTTGACTCAACTGTAAGGTGAAGAACAGCATCCAGCAGAGGTGCTGGCAAATGTAAGCGGAACATGGGATGGATGGTAGAAGAAGGTAGCTATGATTACCAAACTTGGCTTTGGTGAGTAACTACAGAATCAAGGAGTCTCGATGTTCTATTTAACTGTTTGCTCCCTATCCCTGCCTTTTTCTCTAACCACCTTACATGAGTAACACTGGGGGTGGCTTTTAAAAGTTTCAGATAGGAGTATGACTACATTGACCTAATGTGATGATTCAGAATTTCACCTGTGAGAGGGAACACAAATGTCTTACCCAAGAAAGAAGAATATGGTCCTGAGGGGCAAGAGGCATGGACTATGCTGGATAACTTCCAATTACCTTTCCAAATCCACCCTCCATGCTTCTCTCCTGGCTGTCTGCCCAGGAGGCTGACCTGCATCTGTGGGCTTCCTTGCCTTCTGGCTTCTAGTTGCCCTTGGCTTCTGGGTTTGGCCAAGGGGGTGTAGTGAAAGGAACTTAGAGAATGGGAATGTCATGTCGGGTTAAAATCAGCGTACTTGTGCTAACTTGAATGGGAGTGGGGGTGAGGGAAAGAGGTTTCACAGTGACTCAATGGCCAATTAGATGCTCATGAATTCATGGCTTATTGCAAGGCTTTCATACACTAGCAATCATGCAAATATATTTTGCAGGGGGTTGGAGAGAGGTGGTTCTCATTGCTCTTTTCCCGGTAGGGCTCCTGGTGGCGATGCCAGATGGAAAAAAGGACTCAGAGTTCTCATGAGCAGAGCTTCTACAGGCATCTCGCCATGGCCAGTTTCTTTGTGGTTTTTATGGCCCTGCACAGGAGTGTTCATAGCCATGATCTCAGCAGCCCTTGGCTTTGCTTTCTTGTCCAGTCTTGGGAGTGCCTGACCACAGCAGGTATATGTAACATTATCCCCTCAGATGCATATGTTTATCACTTTGAGGGGTCAGCAATTTCACTGTATAGTATCATGCTGTACAGGTTTGTACAGGAGCAATAGGCTGTACAATATAGCCTAGGTGTGTGGTAGGCTGTGCCTACACTCTGTGATGTTTGCACTGTGAAACGTCATTAAGCCATGCATGACTGTATTCCCTGGTTCCTTTCCCATGGGGTCACTGCAGGCTATTTTTCTTGATGAAGGTCACAGCTCCTATTAGGTGGCCTTGTTCACAAAGTTCTTTCTCTCTCTGCGTTCTAGTAACCTCCTCTTGTCCTTTCAGGCCTAGGGGCGGCCAGAGGTATACCCCACTTTTAGTAGCCTGAGTTTCTGTACTATGCCTTGGGATTTCCCTGTACTCTACCCATATCTTTATAAATAACTCCTTCATGACATTTACCTCCAATTGCCAAATTTGAACATGTCATCTGTTTTTTTGTTAGCACCCCAATTGACACAGCATGGCTCCCAAGTTGGCCCAAATAGACTAGAAAGTCTTTGATAGTTGTAGGGGAGATATTCCTTTTTTCTACAAGATGTGAATGACTGAGCATACAGTTCTGATTGACACAGGCAGCCCTCTAATGGCCTTGGAGAAACCTGGCCTTAAGTTATGAATTAAACTTAAGACCAGAGAGAATTTTTAAAAATACTGGTCCTTGCTCACCTTATACAACTATCAGGTCAGCAACTCTGATAATTAATAATCCTAGACTTCCAATTATGTAACCTAGTAAATATTTTTATTGTTTTAGCCACTTGAATAGGATTTTTCAGGTTTCGAAGCTGAAAATAACTTAAATTGATAGACTCTTATAAGTACACATATGGGGCCAAGCGTAAACACATTATCATTTTTAATAGCCTCTACAAAATTGCTTTCCAAAAAGTCTGCAATGATTCACACGGCCATCCATGTGGTGAGTGAATCTATTGTCTCACACTATTGCCTACTATCTTTTTAATCTGTGCCTTCCTAATGGGTGGAAACTGAATCTCAGTATTGCTTTGATTTGCATCTTGCTAATTACCAGTGTGGTTTACTATAATTACTTATATTTATTGGACATTTATATTTTCTACTCAGTGAAATACTTTTTACGTCAATTGCTCATTTTTCTATGGAATTATTTGCACTTTTCCTGCTGCTTAGTAAGAATTATTTATAAACTTTGGATATTAATTATTTGTTAGATGTGTTACAAATATTTTATCTTGGGTAGTCTGTCTTTTTAAATTCATTTCATGATGTGTTTTGTCCAAAATTCTAAAATTTGGGTGATATTCAATTTATCATCTTTTTTTTTTTATATGGATTTTGCACTTTGTGTGATTTGGGGCAAAGAAGGCTAAGGGTTCTCTGTCATTTGGCTCTTTGTCTAGGAATTTCAAACTCTAGGCATTTAACCTGGACCCCTTTCTCAGGAGTTGCACTATGTGCTGTCTAATTAAGGCTTTTTATTGCTTTAGTTCTTTGTTGTTGTTGCACATAAATGACAATTTAACCAATAACTGTTTTAAATTTAGAGAAATATGCCTTTACAATAGTCCTATATGGTTTGGTTCTTTAGTCTTAACTCTTTTAATGTTTCTATTTATTACTGCCATTTTGATGTGTAGCTTTGGGGTTATTTTTGTTACTCTGTCCTTCATTTAAATAGCGTGTTGGCCTATGTGCCAAAGTCTGGGGTTTCATAGAAACCAGCTTCAGGAAGATGTAATGGATCAGCTCATAGGAAGCAAGTCTTTGATAATGGGCTTGGGCTATGTGGAGGAGCAGAGGCTTTCGGCCATGTCCATGCACATCATTCCATCTACGTTGGGTAAAGGCTTTACCACAGAGCCTATGCCAAGAGCTTCCTTGGCATTTTCCCAAGTCCACTAGAGTACAAATGGCCCCACACTGGTCTCTGTGGTTCATGGTACACACCATGTTGCCCCACCAATTTAAGCGAGATGAATGCCAACTTCTTTCCAGTGGCAATCTTCAGGCCAGGTTGCCAGCCTGCTTGTAGATAGCCCTTGATAGGTAATAGGCCACATGGCTTTGGTCCTCTTTGGGGGCCCCAAGGAGGACCTATGACTCCAGCAGAGAGCTCTGCATTTGGAGTCCGGAGTTATAGATTCTAAGTTTAATTTTACTACTAAGGTGATTTTTTTTATGGTTGGCAATGGTGGGGGCTGAATAACCTTTACTGCTCCATGGCTCCCTCTGCTTTGTTATGATTGTGTGCCTGGTTTCATGAAAAAGGTGTTGTAGAGATTCTAGAGATTGTAGTGGTGGTCAGTAATCAAGTTCTCTTACCCTACCTGCATTTCATTGATATTCCCTCAACTTAATAAGGTAATGAGCATGTTAAGTGAACAAACTAGTAGCAGGGCTTATTACCAAATGAATGTAGATTGACAGTGTCATAGAGCTTGGAAATTAGAATCTGGACTAAGTGTTTTCTTAAAATCATTTTCATATCTAGGGAATTTGGCCTTGTCAGTACTTATGGTAATTAAATTCAAGCCACACTTAATGATAAGCATCATTGTCATTGTTCTCCATGATAATAAATCGTTGATAATAAATAAAACAATCAATGGTAATAAATAAAATATAGCAACGCTATGTTCTTTACTTTTTATAACCAGAATCAATATTGATGGTTTTCTCAAGTACAGCCAGGGTATCATGTAATTATAACATCCATCCCTTCCACTTTAAGATAAACGTTCGGGGCCATTTCTTCAGTAGATGTGATCTCTGCTCTTTACTGATCAACCCCAGTGATTCAGTTCTCCCCTTTTATCATCATCACTCCTACTCCCTCCAATTTCTCTGATACTTATTCACACTAACAGTTAAACTAGGGACTTCAGGATGGATGCTGAGTGCTGGGAATTCTAGGAAGGGCTGGATTCTCTGAGTGCTTGGAATCTATTGAAGGGTCAGGACCAAGTGGAATGAGGGCGGAGGCTGAAGAGGACACATGTCACCCTCTTTTATAGTTTTTGCAACCTTCATCTGGGCGTGGGAAGTTCTAGCTGTACCCACAGGCTTTTGAACCAAAGAAAATTCAGCTGTTAGAGCTGTGTCCTGTGAGTCCTCTGAGCATCCTCTTCTTGACCCCTCCCCTCCACCTTCATGCTCCAAGCATTGACCAGACTGTACTCTCTTTTCAGAGGTCTGAGCATCAATTTGGCAGAGAACGCCTCACCTCCGACTCATATCTGGGGATAAGTCCTACAAAAGCGCTCCTTTGAGACCTAGGTTCTTTTGTTCCCTTTTGTTTCCTTCCTGTAGTTGTTACTATCTGAGATACCACAGCAATCCCTTAATCTTCTTTGGCTTTCCAACACACGTGTATCTAGTTCCTTTTATTCAATTCCCTTTGTTTGCAATTCCTAGCATGGATTCTGCTTTCAGAGGGATCCCAGTTGGAAATTCAGGCTTAAGGGATTTGGGGGGTCAAATGATGG
Source organism: Homo sapiens (assembly GCF_000001405.40). Lineage (NCBI taxonomy): Eukaryota > Metazoa > Chordata > Mammalia > Primates > Hominidae > Homo > Homo sapiens. The sequence goes on from NC_000002.12 coordinate 112,976,757, forward strand.
GAATTTTAGATGCTGTTTTGTGGTGAACATCCCAAGAAAGGAGTTATGTTGACTGATGTGTAATGGAGGGGATTTTTAACAGGGCAATGGAGACTCAAGTGAGGTGGCACTGGCTCAGGTTGACTTTGAACAAAAGTGCACCTGGCATTACCACACTCTTTCCTAGGGTCACAGAAACACTGGAAGCCAAAAGTGATAGAATTGGGGCCATGGCAGGAAAGGACTGTGTTCTTCCAAGGCCAGAAAGGAGATTAGGGTGAAAAGTAAGAGACGTTGAGTCAGGAGACTCTTTGCAGGGCTGGGAAGAGGGGCTCATGGATGAGCTTATCTGGAAGGTTCTGTCTCATTCTTTGTGCTTTTCTTCCTTATAGATGGGTAAACCTGAAGCTGTTAGTGCTTCAAGTCTGTCTCCTAAAACTCACTTCACTCTAGTAGTTAACTTATACCTCAGTAAATTTTTAGGCTTGGCTACAGCAGATAGGATGGGGTGTATAAACAAGATATAAAAATAACTATTACCACTGATCAGGAACCTAGGGCAGAGGGTGGGGGATAAGCTGGCATCTGGGGCTCAGATTTGGGAGAAATCGCTGCCCACCTCTTTACTTCCTTAGGCAGTTCTGGAGTCCACTGCATTTTGAGGGTACCTGAAACTAGGATTGCCTCAGTTAAAAGACCAGTCTGCATAGTCCCTGTGGCTCCCCATGTGGATGGAGCTGAAAGAGTGTTAGGTAGGGGAGCTCTACTGCCTGGCTTTCCATTCAGGTGTGGCCTTAGGTGGGGTAGTTGAGAAATGCCACAGGGACCTTGCCTGAGACGTGTGGCTAATTTTGCTCTTACAGGATGCCTTTAGCCTGACTGCAGAGGGCAAGGCTCCCAGTCCCAGGAGATGGAGTCCCTGACATGAGAGTGCCTGGCATTTCCAGTTCTAGCTCTAGAATGACATGACAGGAGAGCTGAACTCTGGGAAATTCCCTTAGTTTCCCCTTTATGAGAAACCTAGGATCTGTCATCAACCTCATTTCCTTGTGGTTGATTTTGTGCGGATTGGCTCAACACTTATTTCTCAGCGAGCCCGGACAGGTGATACTTGTGCTAATTCTGTGATTTCTTCCTCCGAGCCTCACAGGATCTTCTGGTAGGAGGAGCTGGTTTTCTTTCATGTCATACGTTTCTCATGCCCCACCCAGGAAGCTGGAGCCTCCTTCTCTGCTCATCCAGATAAATGATCCAGGCTCCATTAGAACCCATCACTGACCTTGGAAGCTGCTGGAGCCACGATTCAGTCCCCTGGACTGTAGATAAAGACCCTTTCTTGCCAGGTATAGTCAATAGCTGGAAAACCTCTTCTCCCTCCCTCTGGAGCCTTTCCTCTCATCTGTGCTTTGGGCTTAATGAAGGGAAGGGCCACATCAGGCTGGCTCTGTGCTTTGTCCTATGTGTGGCTGCTTCTTACTGGGGAGTTGCTGGGATCCTGGCAGAGTGGCCCTGGCATGGGACCCTCCCCTGCTCCTAGGCAAAAACAATGCCGATGAAGGGGTGGAGGCTTCAGAGAAGAGGAGTCAGGGCATCAGGTGCCTGTGGGTTATTTAAGGTCAAATTTTATGCCTGGCCTTCGAACTCCTAGGGGAGACACTACCATACTATCTGGATCTCCAGGTGGAGGAAAATTCTACCTGTTCTCCCTTTGCTGATGCTTCCTTCAAGTTTCGTCCCAGATGTGGCTCAGAACTTCTGCCCAGAGCTTCGTGTCAGGCCAGGTTTCCCAGCTCCCTGTCTAGAATGAGGGCCTGTGGAGCTAGTGTCCTGGAAGGTCTTGGAAACATCTCTTGTGGTTCATCTGTTCTATGTCTGCTTTCACAGGTGCTGAGACAACCACACTATGAGAGGCACTCCAGGAGACGCTGATGGTGGAGGAAGGGCCGTCTATCAATCAAGTGAATCAAATGCTGTTGGGATGGGGCTCTGGAGGCTTAGGCCCTCTGCACTCACGCTATCTCCTGTGGAAGCCCCAGCCTTCTCTGCTCCTCTCTGTACACTGCCCTTCCCACCTGGTGCTGCCCACCTACCACTGGGCCCTGGGCTTCTGGAGGGTGGGAGCTATTGCTTAGTCACTGATCCAGCTCCAGTCCCCAGCACCGGGGCCAAGCACAGAGTAGGCACAAAAGAGGGTAGCTGGGCCTTGGCACACAGGTTCTGTGAGACTGCTCATTGCCCTCTGTCTTGATAGTTTGCCCTCTTAAACCAGTGACTTCCCTTGGTAGCCCTTGCCTTCCTCACCAGAGCTCACAACTTCACTAGAAAGAAAGGCTAGGCTGATGGGTGATGTGAGTGCTGTCAGTTTGGGGATGCAAACCCCACACCTTCCTTACAAAATGGCCTGGGTTAGATACTTTTCTCCTGGGTCTAGTAAAGCAGCCTTGATTATAATATTTCTTCATTTTTTTCTCTATCCCAAAATCAGTGTGTAAACCTATTACTGGGACTATTAATGATTTGAATCAGCAAGTGTGGACCCTTCAGGGTCAGAACCTTGTGGCAGTTCCACGAAGTGACAGTGTGACCCCAGGTGAGTGGTCACCCTGTGCCTTCCCCACTGTTTGCACTGCTGTGGCTGGGAAGCTGGCATCAGCCTTTTGTAAAAGTGTGACTTTACAATGGGGCCCACCAGGAGTGGGGAGAATTTCACACCTAATTGGGAAGAGAAGTCAGGGAGAACTTTGGGTTCCACTAAGATGAAGAAGCCAGAGATGGTGGAGGAGCCTCCAAGGGAATAGGAAAGCTGCTGTCAGTCATCTGAAGCCCTGTCTTATGGAAGACTAGTAGCTTGTTCTGCATGACTTCAGGGTGTCCTAAAATGACTAAATGGGTGAATACCACAGAAAGGCAGGTTTCAGCATCACATTGGGAAAAACTTGCAAAAGGGACCAAGCTCTCCAAGAATCAGAGGGGCTGCTTGATGTAGGAGCTCCCCATCTCCATGTGCTCAAGCAGAGGCGTGAGAATCTCAAGAGCATACTCTGTTGTCTGCTTAGCTCTCTGTGTTTGCTCATTTACTAGGGCAGTGATTGGCACATGGTATGAATGAATGAATGAATGAATGAATATGGGGGTTGGCCATTTGGTGGGTCTAGTTGGGATTACACTCTTCAGCTCTCTTCCAGATCCACTTGAGGATACTGCCCTGCTAAATCAAATAATCTTTCTGACTTCAAAAGGAAACTGATACCATCTCTCCTCTTATCTTTACAGTCACTGTTGCTGTTATCACATGCAAGTATCCAGAGGCTCTTGAGCAAGGCAGAGGGGATCCCATTTATTTGGGAATCCAGAATCCAGAAATGTGTTTGTATTGTGAGAAGGTTGGAGAACAGCCCACATTGCAGCTAAAAGTGAGTAGCTAAGAAAAATATTTAAAAAGCCTTTCCTTTTAGAAGTGTTTGGTTGAATACCTAATTTTAGAATTAAAAAAGAAATAGTCTCATCTTCCTAAGCATATTTATTCCCAGCCTCTTTTAAGTTATGTGCATGCAATACACTTTTCTTTTTATTCTGGCTGTCAGTAGTTAAGGTCCTTGTTTTGCTTTTTTTTTTTCCAAGCCAAACTGCATCCAGCTTTATTAAAGATACTTTCCATAAACATTCATGGTATTTCAGGCAGGATATGGGCAGACAATTGTTAAGAGTATGCAGCAAACTTCAAACTCCCTTGTTCAAAGGACTACCAAAAATCAGAAAGCCACTATAAAACTCAATGAAGTCTTCATCTGATGCTCTGAACAGGGAGAGTTTAGAGTGAGAGTTGACATTTCACATTTAGCATGTGGTTTAAACTTTTCACAAGCCAACCCTGACTTTCAGGAAGTGAAATGAAAATGGTAGAATTTATCTGAAGATCCACGATCTAGAAACAGAACCACTGCTCTTTTGACAGGTGCCATCTCAGTGGCATCACTGGAAAGTCCAGAGTGCCTGACATACTGGTAACCAATGATTGAGGGCCAGGTCCCAACAGATGTCTGGCTTAAAGGAGTTAAATCTATGCTGAAAGATGGAAAGGGAGAAGAGGACATAAAAATGAATTTATTTTCCATACCACAAGGCTTTTCTGCCAAGGTGGCCATGTGTGTCAAAGTCAGAGAATCCCTCCTCCTGGGAGCCAAGAGGAACTCTCTCAAAACTAGAAGGGAAAGGTGTTTTCCCCACATCGATCCAGCTTTGGAGACATTCTATTAGTGACATATGCCCCTTCCCCTAAAAACAACAATGAAGTGTTCTGGGTGCTAACAACATAGCTTAAAAAGAAAAGTAAAACAAAATTCTGCATTTTTATAAAACTTGATAAAAAATAGTTTTTCAAACTGTACAGTCACCAGAAGTACACAGTTATCAAAAATGCACACACTACACTTGGCATCTGCAGCACCTTCAGCTTTCTGTGCCTTCCCTGTTTTGGCATCTCTATTTTCTGCAGAGTTATTCCCCTCCTTGCCAGCATCAGCTTTTCCCTTTTTCCCTTTGGGTACCTTCTCTCCCTTCTTTGCAGGGGCATTTTTAGGCTTGGCCTCTGGATTTGGAGGAGCAGGTTTAGCAGACAACTTTGCGGGCCTTCTCTGTGGTTCGTCCTTCACCTTGGCTTATCTCCTTCAGCATCCCCTTCAGCCTTTCTCCTGGGCATGGTGGTGGCCACCCCAGCGGGATATAGGCACTGGATGCAGGATGCAGCATTGTGCGGGTTTTGGTCAGTCTGGGGGCTGTTCTTGCCTCTTCTTCACACTGCTCTGTCTTTCTTAACCTTTGATATATTCTTGGCCATCATTTCTTCAAGTATATTCTCACCCTTATTTTCCTTTTGGAATTCCTATTCATCCATCGTTGGAAGTTATGAATCTCACTTCAATATCTCACGATATCTCATCTAATTTTTTATACTTTCTATCCCTTCATTGCTTTTTAAAATTTTGGTGTTGCATCTGGAAGAATTTCTTGCTTTGCTCTGCCAGCTCATGGTTACATTTTCAGTGTTGTCCCTTCTGGAAATCATCCTTTTATAGCATTTCCTGAAATTTCAATCTTTACTCTTTTAATTCCCAAGCTCTCTGGTTTGTTCTTTTTTTATTTTTTAATGACTGTTTGTCCTCGTTCCACAAACTTCAGTTTAATTCAGTTTGATTCAACTCAATCCAATTCAATTAAGCGCATGTATGGGTACTTCCTGGCCTCTAGCACTGCGTAGATGCTTGAGATATAGCTGTGCACAGAATGGCAAAGAACCCTGACCATGTGGGGCTTGGATTCTAGTGAAAGGAGAGAAATGGCAAACAATAAATGTAATAGTAGGCAAATTTGTGCTATGTTAGAGGTCTTTACCTCTCCTAGAAAAATAAAAATGGTTACAGCAGGATAGATAGACCAGCAGTACCAGGAACACAGGCGGCGTCAGGCTGCAGTGGTGAATAGTGCAATAGGCATCATTGCCTAGGTGAGATGTTAGCAGGGAGTAGAAAGAGCTAGGGAAGTTAGTTAGCAGGTGTCTAGTGAGGGCACGTCCCAGGACCAGTGAGGACCGGTGTGCAGGAGTGAATTGAGGAATGAGTCCAGAGAGATAAAGGCAGACATGAAAGTCTTGTCCTTTGCAAGGACTCAGCCTTGCAATCTGAGTGAAATGGGAAATATTAGAATGTTTTGAACAGAGGAATGGCGTGAAGGGGCTTAGGTCTAAAAAGGATCTCTCTGGAGATCTTAGACTGTGGCGGGCAAAGGTGAAAGTCCTTCAGGAGACTTTGAGGTGGTCTAGGTGTGATTTGATGGGCCAGGAGATAGCAGCAGAGGTGGGGAGCAGTGAGTCAGATTCTGGTAGTATTTTAAGTGGAGGAAACAGGATTGTGAGTGTGATCAATAAAGTCAGGACTGAGAATGACATTTGCTACTTTGTCCTGTCAGCTAAGTCACCCTTATGTTGTGCGTTTGTTCTCAGATGGGGACTAAGAATTGACTGTTGCGTTTGGCAATGTGTGGGTCTTTGGGGACCTTGGCAGGAGCAGTGTTGGTGCTGTAGTGGGGGCAAAAGCCTGGATGGAGTAAGTTTAAAGGGAGGAATTACAAGAAAGGGATCAGAGACAGCAGATATGGACAGCGATTGCAGGAAGTTTTCTGCAAAGTGGAACTGGTGGCGGTGGTGGGTAAGCAAAGTAGTTATTTTGTTTAAGATGGTAGAAATGACAGCAAATATGCTGATGGGAATGACTAAGAAGAGCAAGCAAAATTGATGGAGCACAAGAGAGCAGGGAGAACGGCTAGAGGGATGTCCTTAAGTTGCAAGTGCAGATAGGACCTTTCACCCAGTCCTCCTCAAGCAGGGAGGTGCAGATATGGGTGCCATGTGCTGGGAGCCCATGTTATGGTGTGGTTTGTACAAGTTGTCTTCTAATTACTTCAATTTTCTCAGTGGGTAGGAAGTTGAAGGTGATGATGGAGGAGGTATGGGAGTTTCAAAGGAGGAAGCATTCTTCCATTTATTAAACAGCAAATCTCTGTTGAGTAGAATGCTGGGGGCTTTCCTCTGTGTTGAGGAATACAGTGATGAACAAGTCTAACAATCATTCTGGGATTGATGAATAAATACGCTAAGTTTAGATAGCAGTTGGTACTAATGAAGAAAATAACTCAGGAATATGATCGCAATGAGTAGGAGGGAGGATTCCAAACCGATTTTGGCTGGGATGGAATGTTCAGTAAAGTTCTCCCCAAGGAGGAGACCCAGGTGATGGGGAGCAGCTGGCCTTGGGAAGATGTGGGGCTGGTGTGAGGTGCAGGGAGAGTAAGTGCCAGGACCTTGGGTGGGAACAGCTTGGTGTCTTGGAAGGCAAAGAAGAAGACAGGTTGGTGGGGGCAGAATGAGCATGCAGGAGAGTGGTAAGAAGGCAGGGCAGCAGGTAGGCAGGAGCTGGGTGGCGTAGACCCTGTGGGCTTTGCCGAGGAGTTTCACTGTAATAACAATAGAAAATCATGCAAAAGGGTATCATAATCTTATTTATTTACTTCAGTTTAAAGTTCACTTACCTGCCTTATGGAGAATGATTATTAGAGAATAGAGTAGGTTCAAGGAGAACATTTAGAAGGTCACCCTAATTGTCCAGGTGAGAGAGTGATGGCCTGGATTGGGGTTGATGCCATGTGTGGAGTGCAAGAAGTGACTCGATTCAGGAAATATTTTGGTATTTTGGAAATAGAGTCCACAGGCCTTGCTCCTGGGTTAGATGTTAGGGGATCAAAAAAAGAAATGTCAATAATGACTCCTAGGTTTCTGGCCACCCAAAGAATCAGATTAACTGGAAGCCATTAATTGAGTAAAGGAATCCTGTGGGAGAAGAACTTCTCACTCAGGGTGGAATGTGGCTGAATTACAGATCATTTCTGTGTCTCTCTTGAGATCTTGAACACTTGCAATTTACTTAGAAATACTTATTTTACCTAAATATACAATGCATGTACATACAAATATATAGACATACAGAATATAGTTCCATATACAATATAGAAGGCATTTTTTGATTGCTCTATTTACCTTCTTCCTTTGATACAAATCCTTTGATTTGTTAGACCCTCTTGGGTCTTTTTCATTGGTATTTATCTTTCTCATATATGTGGCAATTAGTCAGAAATTCATACCCTAACCTGGCTGTCCTTTGTCACGCCGGTGGTTCTTGCAGGGTAGTGACTCTCACTGTTGTGGTATTGGTAAGGGAGGTAATTTCCAATTTCTTCCTCTTCCTAAGGGTCACCTCAGCCTCTTGTGTGAGAAGAGTTCTAACTTGTTGTTCAAGTGTGGCTGCTTGTTCATTAAACTCTCCCTTGTAAACTTCCTACACCATCTCTGGATTTGAGGGTGGGGGCTTGGAAGGTAAAATTTCATGTATGTTTACTCTGCTGCTCCTTCAAAATGTGTGTTTCTCTAGGCCTGCTCTAATAGATGGATAAGGTTTTCTGGAACTTTGGAACATTTATTGAATTATTATGAATAACCTTGAATATCTCAAACAGCTTCTGTTTCTCCTAATGGGTACTTGTTCTGACATTTCAGGAGCAGAAGATCATGGATCTGTATGGCCAACCCGAGCCCGTGAAACCCTTCCTTTTCTACCGTGCCAAGACTGGTAGGACCTCCACCCTTGAGTCTGTGGCCTTCCCGGACTGGTTCATTGCCTCCTCCAAGAGAGACCAGCCCATCATTCTGACTTCAGAACTTGGGAAGTCATACAACACTGCCTTTGAATTAAATATAAATGACTGAACTCAGCCTAGAGGTGGCAGCTTGGTCTTTGTCTTAAAGTTTCTGGTTCCCAATGTGTTTTCGTCTACATTTTCTTAGTGTCATTTTCACGCTGGTGCTGAGACAGGGGCAAGGCTGCTGTTATCATCTCATTTTATAATGAAGAAGAAGCAATTACTTCATAGCAACTGAAGAACAGGATGTGGCCTCAGAAGCAGGAGAGCTGGGTGGTATAAGGCTGTCCTCTCAAGCTGGTGCTGTGTAGGCCACAAGGCATCTGCATGAGTGACTTTAAGACTCAAAGACCAAACACTGAGCTTTCTTCTAGGGGTGGGTATGAAGATGCTTCAGAGCTCATGCGCGTTACCCACGATGGCATGACTAGCACAGAGCTGATCTCTGTTTCTGTTTTGCTTTATTCCCTCTTGGGATGATATCATCCAGTCTTTATATGTTGCCAATATACCTCATTGTGTGTAATAGAACCTTCTTAGCATTAAGACCTTGTAAACAAAAATAATTCTTGTGTTAAGTTAAATCATTTTTGTCCTAATTGTAATGTGTAATCTTAAAGTTAAATAAACTTTGTGTATTTATATAATAATAAAGCTAAAACTGATATAAAATAAAGAAAGAGTAAACTGAAATTAGCAAGAGTAGTTGAATAAAGCCATTGCAGTGGGTAAACCTGGGACTGGGGCTTAGCTGGGGACAAAAGGGCCTTCCTTGGTGGATAGTGATGGGGTGGGGGTGAGAAATTCAGTATGTAACAGGGCTCTGCTGTTTGGCTCCTTTCTTTATGGTCGAATAGCCTTGGTTTTTCCCTGCTTCCTCTAGTCTTTTCCTTTTAGACCATCTCACCATTCACATACTTTTTTCAAAAACTTCAGTAAAGATGTCTTTTTTTTCTTCTTGGAAGAGAAAGCCTTGCTTTCCCAACAGCCACCTTTAGAAGATATATTCTGACGAAATTAAATAACTGACTGATATAGTTTGCATGTTTGTCCTCGTCCAAATCTCATGTTGAAATGTAATCCCCAGTGTTGAAGGTGGAGCCTGGTGGGAGGTGTTTTGGTCATGGGGGTGGATCACTTGTGGCTTGATGCTGTCCTCACCATAGTGAGTGGGTTCTCACAAGATCTGGTTGTTTAAAAGTGTGTGGCACCTCCACCCTCACTCTCTCTGTTGCTCCTGCTTTTGCCATGTGATGTACCTGCTCCCCCTTCACCCTCTGCCATGATTGGAAGCTTCCTGAGGCCTCCCTAGACGCCAAACAGATACCAATACCAAGCTTCCTGTAAAGCCTGCAGAACAGAACTGTGAGCTAATTAAACCTCTTTTCTTAATAAATTACCCAGTCTTGGCTATTTCTTTACAACCATGAAAGAACGACCTAACACACTCACTGTGGGTATAATTGTAGAAATATATACCTCAGATCTGATTCTGTATATAATAGATTTCTTTATTTTTACTCTAACACTGAAAATGCAGAACATTCTGTTTGCTTAAGTACATTCTTCAAAATAGCATAGCAACTTATTTTTTTTTCTACTTTTGGGCAATCAGACTGCATCCACTACTAACAATTACAATAAGCAATCAGCAAGCATGGATTTAATGTGATACCTCTTTATTCTTTAACTTTTTCTTTTTGGGGGGTTATTTTTAATTAAACATTTAAAAATAATTTTTAAAGCTCAATTTTTACATATCTTTTTAAATTGACAGATAACAGTGTATGTTTTTATTGGGTACCACATGATGTTTTGAAGTACATATACATTTGTGGAATGGTTAAATCTAGCTAATTAACAAATGTACTGCCTCACATGGTTATCATTTTTTGTGGTGAGAGCACGTAACATCCACTCTCTACATTTTTTGAGAGAATATATCATCATTTACTATAGTCTCCTTGCTGTAAAATAGGTCTCTTGAAAGTTATTCCTCCTACATAACTGTAATTATGTAGCCCTTGGCTAACATCCCCCCATCCCTCCTCCTGGCTAACTACACTAGCCTCTGGTAACTACCATTCTACTTTCTACCTCTATGAGATCTACTTTTTTTAAAATTTCACATATGAGTGAGATCATGTGGTATTTGTCTTTCTGTGCCTGGCTTGTTTCATTTAGCATAATGTTCTCCAGGTTCATCCATGTCGTCACAACTGGTGGGATTTCAATCCCTTTTTATGGCTAAATAGTATTCCATTATGTGTATGTACCACATTTTCTTTATCTACTCATCTGTTGATGGACACTTAGGTTGACTCAATATCTTGGCTATTGTGAATGGTGCTACAATAAACATGGGAGTGCAGATATCTCTTTGACATAAAGATTTGAATTCCTTTGCATAGTGTGATTGCTGGATCATATGGTAGTTCTATTTTTAATTTTCTGAGCTTCTATAATGTTTTTCAGAGTGGCTGCACTAATTTAAATGCCCCCCAAGGGTGTTTAAGAGCTTCCTTTTCTCCACAACATTGACAGCACTTATCTTTTGTCTTTTTGATAATGGCCATTCTAACTAGGGGAAAGTGATACGCCATTGTGATTTTGACTTGCATTTCTCTGATTAGGAATATTGAGCATTTTTTCATATATCTATTGGTCTTTCTTTTTGTGAAATGTCTATTCAGGTATTTTGCCTGTTTTTCAAACAGGTTATTTATTTATTATTATTATTATTTGCAACTGAGTTGTTTAAGTTCGCTATGTATTTTTGATATTTACCCCTTGTCAGATGTATAGTTTGAAAATATTTTCTCCCATTCTGTAAGTTGTCTCTTCACTCTGTTGATTGTTTCCTTTTCTATACAGAAGCTCTCTTGTTTGATATAGTCACACATTTGTTTATTTCTGATTTTGTTTTTTGCCTTTGATTTTGAGGTCTTATCCAAAAAATCCTTGCTCAGACAATGTTTCTCCTATGTTTTCTTCTAGTAGTTTCATAGTTTCAAGTCTTACGTTTAAGTATTTAATCCATCTTAATTTTTGTATATGGTGAGAGATGAGTCAATTTTATTTTTCTGCGTGTGGATATCCAATTTTTCTAACATCATTTATTTATTATTTTTTATAATAATAATGACAATTATAGCATTTACTACAATGACTTTTAATACTCTAAGGTGCATGTGTGTGTCTCTGTTTTAATATTTTACAAATTGTCACAAAGGCACTCAACCCCATAGAAGACGTAGTATTTTTTAGTGTAAAGCAATTTTTGTAGTCTTGACAAAAATCATTTAAAATTCTGTCACAAAGCAAATTAATTTCCTATTTCATGAATTAAAAATGAAAAGAGACTACAAAAAGCTTTATTTGTTTTAAATCATGTTTCCCTTCTTTTTTGGGGACAAAACAATGTCTACTTTAATTAGGTAAATCTTCCTCAGACTTTGATGTTGTATCATAGCATATATCATAATCTTACCCACTATGTTTAGAGATTGTTTTTTAAATTAAGTGTGTAATAATGCCCACACCTTTATTAACTCTGTTTAGCTGCATTAGTTATGATGATGCTAAAATCTCTCATATTTCATTTTTTCTTGATGTCATTTCATCAAACCATTAAGACTCATGGTTAAAATATAATAAATATATAATAGAGGCATATGTTTATTTAACACAAAGCTTGTTGTTAGTATCATGTTCACAGTGGTGGGAGCCATGACTAATTCATCAGTGTTCCCAGTGCCTTGGCAGTAGGTCTTCACCATTAAATCTCATGTTGTAGAATTACTTTATCACTTGATTTAAAAAGAATCATTTGCTTAATAATTTGCTTAGAGTAATGTTTGCTATTAGTGTATAAAAATGCTACTGTTTTTTCAGCAAAGACTTGGGACTAACTTAAATGTCCATCAGTGTTAGACTGGATAAAGAAAATGTGGCACATATACACCATGGAATACTATGCAGCCATAAAAAGAATGAGTTCCTGTCCTTTGCAGGGACATGGGTGAAGCTGGAAACCATTATTCTCAGCAAACTAACACAGGAACAGAAAAGCAAACACCACATGTTCTCACTCTTAAGTGGGAGTTGAACAATGAGAACACATAGACACAGGGAGGGGAACATCAGGCACTGGGGCCTGTCAGGGGATGGGGGGTAAAGGGAGGGAGAGCATTAGGACAAATACATAATGTGGGGCTTAAAACCTAGATGATGGATTGATAGGTGTGGCAAACCACCATGGCACATGTGTGTAACAAATCTGCATGTGTATCCCAGAACTTAAAGTTAAAAAAAATGCTACTGTTTTTTGAACGTTGATTTTGTAACCTGCAACTTTATTGAATTAGTTTATTAGATCTAACAGTTTTTTTTCGATGTTTAAGATTTTTAGTGTATAAGAGCATGTCAAAAGCAAACATGGACAATTAACTTTCTCCTTTCCAATTTGGACGCCCTTTATTTCTTTCTTTTGTCTGGCTCTGGCTAGGACTTCCAGTACTATGTTGAATAGAAGTGGTGAAAGTGGGCATTCTTTTTTTCTTCCAAATCTTAGAATAAAAGCTTCAAACTTTTCCCCATTCAGTATGATGTTAGCCATGGGTTTGTTGTATATGGCCTTTCTTATGTTCAGATACATTCCTTCTATACCTAATCCATTGAGAGTTTTTATCATGAAGAGATGTTGAATTTTGTCAAATGTTTTTTTCTGCGTCTTTTGAAATGATTATATATTTTTTCTTTCATTTTGTTAACGTGGTATATTATATTTATTGATTTGTGTGTATTGAACCATCCTTGCATACCTGGGATGATTGGCTATGGTGAATAATCCTTTTAATGTGCTATTTGAGTTTGGTTTGCTAGTAGTTTATTATGGAATTTTGCATCTATGTTCATTAGCGATGTTGGTCTGTAGTTTTCCTTTTTGGTGGTGTTCTGGTCTGATTTTGACATCAGGATGATGCTGGCCTTATGGAATGAGTTTGAAAGAATTCCACTCTCTTCAACTTTGTGAAATAGTGTGAAAAGGCTTGGTGTTAGTTCTTCACTAAATGCTTGATAGAATTAAGGAATGAAGCCATCAGGCCCTGGGGTTTTCTTTGATGGAAGAGTTTTAAACTGCTAATTAAATCTCCTTCCCTATTGATCTGTTCAGTCTTTTTATTTCTTCATATTTCAATAGTGGTAGGTTTTATGTGTCCAGGAATTTATCTATTTCTTCAAGGTTTTCCAATTTGTTGGCATATAATTGTTCATAATAGTCTCTATGATTCTTTGTATTTCAGTGGTATCAGCTTTAACATCTCCCTTTTCATTTCTGATTTTATTTATTTGAATATTCTTTTTTTCTTAGTCTAGCTTACAGTTTGCTTATTTTATTTATCTTTTTAAAAATCAGCTCTTCATTTTGTTGATCTTTTTTAGTCTCTATTGATTTATGCTCTGATTTTTATTATTTTTTCTTCTACTAATTTTAGGTTTAGTTTTTTCTTGTTTTTCTAGTTCCTTGAGATGCAACATTACATTGTTTATTTATAAGAGTATATAGTATATAATGCTGTATACTCTTTTTGTCTTTGACAGTTTGATGATTATATGTTGTTGGGTAGTCTTATTTGGGTCCTTTCTTTTTAAATATAGGTGTTTATCACCATAAACATTCCTCTTAGGACTGCTAATGCTGTATTCCATAAGTTTTGGTATATTGTGTTTCCATTTTCATTTTTCTCAAGACATTTTAAAATTTTCCTTTAAATTTCTTTATTGGTCCATTGGTTGTTCAGTAACATGTTGTTTAATTTCCATGTATTTGCAAATTTTACCAGGTTTCTCCTGTTAATTCTTTCTAGTTTTATACCACTGTGGTCAGAGAAGATATGTGATATGATTTCAATCTTTTTAAATATGTTAATACTTGTTTTGTGGCCTAACATATATTCTGTTCTGAAGAATGTTCCATGTTGCAATTGAAAAGAATATGTATTCTGTAGCAGTTAAATGCAATTGTTTTTTGTAAATTTCTGTTAGGTCTATTTTGTCTAGAGTGCCATTTAAATCTGATGTTTGTTAATTTTGTGACTGAATGATCTTTCCATTGCTGAAGGTGAAGTGTTGAAATCCCTTACAATTATTGTATTGCAATCTATCCCTTTCTTTAGATCTATTAATATTTTCCTTGCTGAATTCACCCCTTTGCCATTATATAATGACCTCCTTTGTCTCATTTTTACTTAAATAAAAATTAAGTTTTAAATTTACAATCTATTTTATCCAATATAACTATAGCTACTTCTGCTCTCTTTTGGTTTCCATTTGGGTAGAACATCTTTTCCATCCCTTCACTTTCATTGTACATGTATCCTTATAGATGAAGTGGGTTTCTTGTTGGCTGTGTAAGTTGGGCCTTGTTTTTTTTTTTTTTTTTTAAATTCAGCTACTTTATGACTTTTCATTGGATAATGTAGTTCATTTATATTCAAGGTAATTATTGATTGTAAGAACTTACTCCTGCCATTTTGTTACATGTTTTCTAGTTGTTTTGTGGATCCTTTTTTGCTTTCTGTCTCTCTTACTATCTTCCTTTGTGGCTAATTTTCTTTAGTCGTATGTTTTGATTCCTAATTATTATTTTTAGTGCATAGGTTTTTGCTTTGTGGTTACCATGAGACTTACAAAGACTTTTTATGGTTGTAACAGGTTATTTAAAACTGATGACAACTTAAATTTGATTGCAAAAATTTCTACTTTTTAATTTAACTCCTCTCTCAACATTTTGAATTTTTGATGTCACAGCTTATATCTTTTTATGTTGCATATTCTTTAAGAACTTGTTATAGTTATTATTTATAATAGTTTTGTCTTTTAACCTTTTATACTAAAGATATAAGTGATTTACATACCACCATTATGTTAATAGAGTATTCAGAGTTTGACTATGTACCTACTTTTACCAACGAGTTATATTCTTTCAGATGTTTTCGTGTTACTCATTTGCATCTTTTTTTTCATCTTGCAGAACTCCCTTTAGCATTTCTTGTAAGACAGGTTTGGTGGCGATGAATTCCCTCAGTTTTTGTGTGTCTGAAAAGTCTTTATCTCTCCATCATTTTTGAAAGACAGCTTTGCTGACTAGAATATTCTTGGTTGGCACGTTTTTTTCCTTCAGCATTTTAAAATTCCATTTTCTCCTGGCCTATGAGGTTTCTGTTGAGAAGTTTGCTGTTGGGCATATAGAGACCATTATATGTTATTTGCTTCTTTTCCCTTGCTACTTTCAGGATACTCTTTTTGTCTTTGACAGTTTGATGATTATATGTTGTGGAGTAGTCTTGTTTGGGTTGAGTTTGATTAGAGATCTTTGACCTTCCTGTACTTGGATATTTATATCTTTCTCCAGGTTTGGAAAGTTTTCCATTGTTATTCCATTCCTTTCTCTTTCTTTACTCCCTCTTGAGTACCAGTAACCCATACATTTGCTCTTTTGATGTTACTCCATAAGTTTTATAAGCTTTCTTCATTTATTTTTATTCCCTTTTCTCCACTGACTGTATATTTTGAATTACCCTGTCTTTGAATTCACAGATTCTTTTCCTCTTGTTGTTCAGTTCTACTGTGGATGGTCTCATTGTATTTTTAATTTTTTTTTTCTCAGCTCCAGAATTTCTATTTGAGTTTTTGAAAGTTATTTCATTATCTCTGTTAAATTTCTCTGACCAAATTTTGAATTGTTTTTTGGTATGTTCTTGAAGTTTGCTGAGCTTCCTTAAAACAGGTATCTTGAATTCCTTGTCAGGCAGTTCTTCCATCTCCATTTCTTCAGGGTCAGTCACTGGCACCTTATTTTGTCTGCTTGGTGAAGTGAACATTCCCTGATTTATTGTGATTCTTGTAGCCATTTGTAGATGTCCATGCATTGATGTAAGTACCTAATCTAGTCTTTGCAATCTGGCTTTGTTGGGGAGCTTCCTTTAGCAGTAAGCCTGTCCAGAGATTCAGAGAAGTTTGACTGGGGAGGTCCCTAAGCCTGTGACCATTTCAGCAATTGCAGCACTAGGAGCTGCTCTAAGTCCAGGATCACAATGGCCAGAATCCTTTGGCAGCAGAGGCTGAGGTAGCACTGGGTCACATCCAAAGCTTAGAGTCTCTGAGACCAGCACAGCACTACATAGGGCATGCTCAACACCATGGCCACTATGGCCTGCCCACTGCTGGCAGTGACTTGTACCAAACTGAAGTCCATCTCACTGGTGCCACAGGTTCCTCTCTGGTGCTGGGGTAGATCTAGAGGCTTCATCTACAGGTATAAGTCTGGTGGTAGGGATCAAGTTGTTTGCCCTGTGGTGGGTTTTACTGTGGCAGGCATGGTACTGAGTTCCAAGGTGAAGTCTTACTCTTAATTCCTTTTTCTTTCCCCAAGAGATAATGTCTCTCTCTATACTGCACTGCCTGGGGTTAGGGAAGGGGTGATGTGGGTAATGTAAAACTGTCCTTCCTATTCTCTTCAATGTATCTGTTATTATTATGATGCTAAAATCAAGTACTGTGATCTCTCACCTGGTTTCCTTTGCTCTTGTGATTTTTTTTGTGCATGAATAGTTGATCAAATTGATGTTTCTGTGTGGGATGATTAATGCAAAGTCCTACTTTCCTCCTTCCTCTGCCACTCTCCTCTAAAGTTTTCTTCCTCAATTGAATATAATGTTGGCATTGCAGTTTTATAAAAATCAACACTAAAATAAGTGTTAAAGTTAATTAATTCTGGAATATCCAATAGAAGAATTAGTCATTGGATATTCACTCATATATCCATGCTATGCTAATAAATAGTGGCAGGTTGTTACATCTGCCAATTTATATTATTAATTAAAAGCTGATGACACATTAGCTTGTGACATGATTATGGTTGTAAGTGTTACAGCATCTCCATCCTGCTACAGGCTGTGTGATGATTTGGTATTCCCACCTCTTTTCTCTACTGTGAAAAACTTTGTTTGTTCAGTCACTGATACCTTGGACTTTCACTTGGCACAAATGTGAGCTCAAACAAAAGCTCAAATATGAGTCCTGACATCATGTGGCTGGACTCAAGGGTAAGGTGTTCATTCTGGTGATACAGAAGAGGCTATGATGACAGAGTATAACCAAAATGAAAACACCAATTTATAATAATCTCATAGAAAGCATGTGGAACCCAGAAAACACAGATCTGGGCTCCCTGCCTTACCCAGCACATGTGAGAAATAGTGTATTATGCCATGGTTTACAAAATCATGGAGGATCCCTGCAAGGAGCAATATCTTCATTTTCAGGTGAATAGTCTGGTCCACACCTAGTTTTTACACATTGCTATAGCAAATACTTCTGCATTTGAGAAGCACAAGCTCTAGGCTAATACTCATTGAATAATTTGTTTTCTTTGGACCTTTAGCAATTGGTGTTATAGAAGGTCTGATGCACTAGGAGAAGGGGGATTCTGGGGGCGGGGGCGGAATTAGTAGTCTTATAACCATGCCACCAGAGATTCACAATTGTAGATAAAACAGGTGAGCGGGTTGTTTCTCTGTCAAGTCGCTTTGGGGCTGATATCCTCTCACCTCAGGACTGCTGAAGGGTAATGGCTGTTTCCTGAATCTGGACAGGAAGACTTTGTCTCATAATTCATTAACAACTGGGCATGGGGACTGAAGATGCTGCCCACAGAGTGCTGAAAACAATGGTCATAATTAATAATACATGTCAATAAAATATTGTTTTGTTTCTTAGACTGTTGCTGTGAGAAATCAGCAACAATTACCTTGAGCAAGATGGCAGAGCAAAGTCTGAGACATGTCATCATTAGGGCTGTCCCTATCTAGCAGGGTGTCAGCAAATGACCTACCCAGGGTAGAGTCACCCAAGGTGGAGCACCTGTGCAAATGTCATTACGTAGTGGCACAAGTACAGTAATGTTCAGCACACCTGTATTTCCCAAACTTGAAACTACATTAGAATCATCTGGATATTCACTGAAAACCTAGGGCACTTGTGCTCGCTCCATGCCTAGTAGATTAAAATCCCCTCCTCCAGAAATTGCAACTTACTAAGTTTATGGTGGGACCTAAGAATTAATATTTTACCAAAGACCCTAGGGAGTGCTAATTTCTAAGTAAACATGGGAAATACTCTTCTGGACCATCCAGTGGAGTTTTGTGTGTAAAAAGACACAAATTAATCATGCTTGGAATGATCTATATGCTTCTATAGAAATAAAGAGATATGTAACAATACATACCTCCTGCTTTTTTTGACATTTACTTTTGTAAAGTTGTTCTCTCTTGAGTGATTTAAAAGCAAATTGAAGGAAAATGACTTGTATAAAAAGTTCACATCCTCAAATAAAATTTTTCATATCCCCAAATTGGAAAGAACCGAAATTTCCATCAAGCAGTGAATAGATAAACAAGTTGTGGTGTATTCAATGCTACTTAGCAATAAAAAGAAATCAAGGATGTGGGTGGTGGCACGCGGCACGGCAATGGCAGCAGGCGGCAGCGATCCACGGGCTGACGATGTAGAGGAGGACACTTCACAGCTCCTTTTTCCTAAAGAGTTTGAAACAGCGGAGACCCTTCTAAATTCAGAAGTTCATATGCTTCTGGAACATCGAAAGCAATAGAACGAGAGTGCAGAGGATGAACAGGAACTCTCAGAAGTCTTCATGAAAACAATGAAACTACACAGGCCGTTTCAGTGGTTTCGAAAACAGAGAGACCATTGCCAGTGTTCGTAGCTCTAGAAAAACCTTCATAAATTTGAGTTGGTCTGTTTGGCCAACCTTTGCCCAGAGACTGCTGAGGAGTCCAAGGCTCTAATCCCAAACTTGGAGGGGTGGTTTGAAGATGAGGAGCTGCAGCAGGTTCTTGATGATATCCAGACAAAGCACAGCTTTCAGTATTAATCCCTAAACATCACTGCTGCTTGGAGAAACTATGGCCCCACAGGGTCTGGGGCTGATTTGCATAGACATTTCATTGTAGAAGACAGTTGGGAATTCCTTTGGAGAAAACAGCCCAACTTGCTGTTGGGTTAGGTTGCTGTTTCAAATAATTCGTAGGTCCAGGTGACATGTAATCTTGGAGCAGCCTTGTGCAGTGGCTGCCAGTGGCTTCCTGAGTGTGCCCTGGGAAGTGTGAGGTGGCTCGGGTGGGAGGGGGTGTCATATTAGCCACACTGTTGACTCCCTCATTCATGACTTTTGGCCCCCACGTTATCTTGTATTCTTAATACTTCATGTTTTAATTTCAGTGTGTTTATACGTTTTGAAACTAGACCAGAACATAGTAGACTTTATAGAGAAAGACCAGTTTTATCTAGATGCCAAAGGAAGAATTAAACCACTGTTATTGTTTGAGACTTTTTTTTTTTTTTTTGGAGATAGGGTCTTAACTCTATTGCCCAGGCTGGAGGAGTGCAATGGTGCAATCATGGCTCACTGCAACCTTCTGGGATCAAAAAATCCTCCTGCCTCAGCCTCCCAAATGGCTGGGGCCGCAGTTGTGCACCACCACTCTTGGCTAATTAAAAAAAATTTTATTTTATTTTATTTTAAATAGAGGGTGTGTCTCACTATGTTGCCCAGACTGGTCTTAAACTCCTGGCCTCAAGTGATCCTCCTGTCTTATCCTCCCAAACTGCTGAGATTACAGGTGTGAGCCACTGCACCTGGCCTGAGGAGTATGTAAAGTTCCTGGGCCTCTGTGCATGCCTGAGCAGCTGCTGTTCAGAGACTTCAAGCAGCTCTGTGTCAGACCCCAGGTCCTGGTAATGTGCGCTCACTCCACCTCCTGATCTGAGGGTTGCAAAGATTCATGGGAGAAGTGTGGTTTCCTGCTTCCCTTGGCGGGGTGCTGGGGAGTCCCTTGGCTCTCTGTCGCTAACAGGAGGACTGTCACCTCGCCCTGCTTTCCTTTGTTCTCTGTGGGTCGAGTTGTTTCCCTGATCAGTCCCAATGCGAGTACCTGGATATATCAGTTGAAGGTGCTGTATTTACTCACCCCTTTTTGTTATTTTCCATGAGTGCCACACACTGCAGCTGCTTCTCATTGGTCATCTTGGCCCCCACCAGCAGTTCTTAATTCTAGAGAAAAAATTAAGTTATTCAGGAGACAAAATGTAATCATAATTTACTATATAGCTTAATTGTCAGTAATGTTTATATTGCAATAATAGTGTATATGCTATCCAAAATCATGATGTAAATATTTTGGAAGGATGCATGGATGAATGAGTGTGTGTGTGTGTGTGTGTGTGTGTGTGTGTGTTTATGTAGTAGGGAGTTAGATGAGTTGTGTATGACAATTAAAACTATTTTCCATGGAAGGATGTTAACACATAATGGCTCAAACAGAAAAATCGAGAAATAGCACCACACTCATAGTACTTTGAAAAATGGAGGTAAATATCAAAAACAATTAAAAGAGTAAAAACTGGTTTTCTCTGAGCAGCAGGAAATAATGACTATTCTGTTTTGTAACAAGACTTTGAAGCCTGAGAAAACAGACTATGTTTATGTGAAGCTTTTGTTTCTGGAGATGAAAATAGCAGAGCCAAGAGGAATGATGAAAAAATTCATTGTTGGACTATATGGAAAACTCAGGCTGTGTTCATGGTCTTTGAGTGAACTATTTTCAAGTAAGTGGTCTACCCCTTGATATTTGAATTTAAGATAGTTTACTTTTGTTATTAATACTCTTTCTGTTTTAAGCAAATTGTGATTGTCAATTTTACCAATGGGTTGGAGGCCATAGACTGAGAAAGCAACCCTCCTTTTCTGCACTGGAAGGATGAACCATCATTCTGCCTGTGGGACCTTGCTCTGACATTGCCTTGGATTGGAATCCAAGTCTATGGAGAGGGACTATGTGTTTTCGTTCTTCGTGGGTCCATGTCTTTAAATTTTAATATAGTATTTTTACACTTAAAATGGTCATAAAGGATTTTATTTTACTTTTTCCTTCTGTAAGATTTAGATAAAAGACTTTCTGGCTTTCTCATATAACTGGCTTTATTTTTTCATCTTTATTACTGATGTCTGATTTATTTCTGCCTTTTAAATATTTATTATTTTAGCTTATTTTGTTTTATTTAGATTTACATATGGCTTTTAAAAAAGGTTCTCTAAGAATTTAATGAAGTAATGAGATTAAACACTCAATAAAGAATAGAAATAAACTCAAATAAATATGGAGGTAAATATCAAAAACAGTTAAAAGACAATAAACAAGAATACTTATTGTTGTATTGTCCTGATCATCTCCAGGAAATCCAGGAAGTTGCTTTATAATCCATTTTCTTTCTATGGTGTAAAAGAAATACTGAGTAGGTAAGAAGGAATATTTGTAACAAATATATCTAAGGTCTAAACAAAAGAGACCTATATAAACTCACCCAGATGAATAAACAGAACTAGGAACTTTGGAAGAACTGTATGCCCATCCTCTATTCTATCCTCTTCTCTTCCTCCCCACAGATGTAATTGTCATCCTAAATTTGATGGTAACTATTCTCTTAAATTTTGTTATAGTTTTACCATCTATGTATATGCCCCTAAAATAGATATTGTTTATGCTTTAAACTTTATATAAATGAAATAATACTGTATGTATTCTTTTACATCTTGCTTATTCACATTCTTGGGATTCATGGTGATATGTCATGTCAGTTTGGGTGCTTTGATGAGAAGATGTTAAGAGATTTAATGGGAGACATGCCTGAAGGCCAAAAAAGAGGGATCAGGAGTAGGTAGGGAGAGCATTCAGACTGTGAGGCAGGACTGACACCAATGATAGAAAAGAGAGAAGGAAAGGCCAGGTGCGGTGGCTCACACCTATAATCTCAGCACTTTGGGAGGCCAAGGCAGGCAGATCACTTGAGGTCAGGAGTTCGAGACCAGCCTGGCCAACACAGTGAAACCCCACCTCTACTAAAAATACAAAAATTAGCCAGCCATGGTGGCACGTGCCTATAGTCCCAGCTACTTGGGAGTCTGAGGAAGGAGAATCACTGGAACCCAGGTGGAAGAGGCTGCAGTGAGCCGAGATCATGCTACTGCACTCCAGCCTGGGCAACAGAGCATCTTGAGACTCTGTCAAAAAAAAAAAAAAAAAAGAGAGAGAGAGAGAGAGAAGGAAGGAGGAGTGGGTAGGAAGAGCGTCAGACTGCAGTGCACCTGTGAAGCTCTGAGAAAGTCTCAACCTGGCACATTGGGGAGCCCTAGAGCAAAACTTGGCTGCAGAGGCATTCCACATCAGTAGGAAAGACTGCCATCACTGGCTGGGAGCAGCCCAAGAAAAGAGTGTTCTTGGCAGGAGCACTGCCATGAATCCAAAATTGCAGCAGCTGAGGTTGTCTTCCAACTGTTCTCCTTGTAACAGGTTCTTTTAAAGGGAAGTCTGAGAGTCACACCTCCATGCTCACAATCCACTCTTGTGCTGCATGGACCCCATCCTCTACGTATGTTTGGGAGCAGATCATCCATGCCTCCCATGGGTGTCTACCTGAAGGGAAACTTAGCAGAGGAATGTTAGTGAATGGACTACAGCACCCATTTCTATAGTTGGGCCAACAGTTTGTTCTCATCATCTTTTTTCTCCGCTGTCTATTCTAAATTTCCTTTACCCTCAACTAATAGCTTGGCAGGTCTTAGTGGCTTTCCTGGGGATGTGATCAAATCCCTCACTCTGGCAGTCATGTACTTCTTGAGCTGGGGTTACTGCATGTCTATTCACATTTAGTTATTCAAGGGAATACCAAGAGGTGTCCAAATGGATCACTTGGGTTCCACAAATATTACACACATATACCTCCCTATCTTCATATGTAAAAGCAGCTATACCTCCTCTTACATATACTGCTGGATGGCAGCCCATCCTTCCAAAGTATTACCACTTACATGGTGTTCCAGGTATACCTCCAGGAGGCCATTCAATGCTCCAACAGGTTGCTACTTTTGGGTTGACCAATGAGTCCAGGGAAGTAGTGGAGCAGGCTTATACTGACTTTGCAGGGTCAATTACTACATTTTCAGGATTTTCTGTGTCGGTTGGCAACTTGAAATTGCCCATTATAGTAGTATTTACATCAAGAAAATTGACAAATACTACAAATCAGGGCTTTTCTTTTTTTTCTGGAGAGCCAGTTATTAAAAATGTACTAGTATACCATTAAGTGAACTTAATGATCATGGACCTGTTTCAGCTCTTCCTTCACTATAGGGCCAGTGTTTTGGTTAGCTGCTATGTTGTTTTGGACTCACTGGTTGGATGTTGTATTGCATGGGATTCCATAGGCCCCTGGATAGTGGTTATAGCTGAGGTTCTGAATGTAGGAGAGCAAACCCACACCCAGACTATGTAGTCATCCCTGTGAGGACAAACTGCTTTACTTCCAAGAGGGAGGGGACTGATATACTTAACCTGCCACCACAAGTTTCTGTCTCAGAAAGTTCTTGATTTTCCCTTAATCTGAAAAACTTAAGAAATTTTGCAGAGTATGAAATTCCATTGGAAGGTTTCCTTTCTGCATTTTGAGATATCATTCTATTGTCTTTTGGCTTTCATTGTTGTAATTGAGAAGTCAGTTGTCAGTCTTTTGCACCCCTCGAAGGTAATGAGTTTTTATTATCTGCTACTTTTACATTTAATTTTTGCCTTTGGTTTTATAAAATTTCAATCTGATGTGTTTAGAAGTGAATCTTTAAAACATTTATGTTATTTGAGATTTATTGTGTTTTTTGAAACTGTGAATCAGTGTCTTTATTATTTGAGAATATTCCCAGCCATTCTCTCTTCAAATAATTACTCTGCCTTATTTTATCTTTCCTCCTAGGACTCCAGTCAATATCTTGCAACTTCTCACCTTTTTCTCCACATTTTTTCCACCTTCTTCTGTATTTTCTGGCTTTCCTGTGCCTGTGCTCCAATCTGGATTTCTTCTCATTTGTCTTCAAATTTGCTAATTCTCTTTTCTGCTGTGTGATGCCTACTGCTAAATATAGCTATTGGCTTATTTAATTTAATTTACTTATCATACAGTCATAGAGGTTCTGCTTGACTCCATCAAATCTGTCACTTTCCATAGTTTTCTGTTCTAGAAAAATATTTTCATGTTTTTCATTTGTTTCTTAAACATGGTTAGGATGGTTGCTTTAAGCTGTGTGTAAAAAAATTACAAAATGTGAAGTTTGTGTAGATATGTTTCTGTTATCTTGTTTTGTTTGCTTTGTTTCTTTTTTCTTGTTGTTCTTGTTCTTGTGACCTTGTTTACTCATATGCCTGGTAATCTTCAACTATGTGTGGCTTGTGCCGTTGAAAATGTATCTGAGTGACTCTTCCCTCCTCTAGAGAGACTTTCTTTTTGCTTCTTGTGGAATGAGTTTAGCCTACATAAAATTGAATACAGTTTGATTGTTTTTAGCTCAATGAAGCTATGAGTATTTAGTGTGAAAATCTTTGTGAGAGTCTGTCCCTGGCCACAGCCCTCCAGAAATGTTTCTTTTCTTTTTCTTTCTCTCTTCAGTGAAAGTCAGTGCCAGGACAGTCCTCTCCATGGTTCTTAGAGGTTGGAGAAAGGCAATCTAGATTTCCTGAGCTTGCCACCTCCCCAGCCCCAACCCTGTGCACTGACTTCTTTATTTTTGTGCTGGTGTGACTACAGTACTGAGCATAAGGTGTACTATATCAGCAGAGAGCATATAGTGGTTTTACTGTTCCCTTATTTTAGATCCTGGTTCTGTAGGTCTGGAGTAGGACCTGAGATTCTGCATTTCTGGCAAGCTTCAAAATAATGCCAATGTATCATCCATAAAGTACACCTTAAGTATTAAAGATGTACACAACAAGGAAAATTTTATCTAATGATTTGGCAATACATGAATAATAGTAGCCAAAATAAATGGTGGAAATTGTGCTATAGGATTTGGGAAAGATTTGCAGGGTAGAGGTGACTATATTAAACTTTGAAGTGAGTAATGAAGGATAGATAGGGATGGACAAAGGAATGAAATCCCAAGACAGGTCTAGTTCTGGATAGCTGAAGAGATAGAGAAGGCTGCAACTCTAGGCTTTACTCCTGTGGAATTCTTTTCTTGCAGAGTGAGAAGTTTCCTTCATCATATTTGGCTCAGTGTCCTTTCTCAGGAGCATTCACCCTTTTGGCTATAAAGGATGTTTCCTCCATGCTAGAGAGAAATAAGTACAGGTCTTGAACAATCTGGTATCACCACAGCCCTCACCACCTCCACTGATGGCACTGTGGCCTAAGTACCCAGGCCATATAGAGCTCCAAGTATCTATGGGATGAAATAAGAATTTTAAAGGACCTACATCTTAGCTGTTGTCACAAATGAGTTTGCATTCATATGTGCAGCATCCAAACCAATATGTTTTGTCTGTTTGCATCTTCATACCTATGGAAGGACCTTGGGCCTCTTCCCCCAAGATATTCATGTGGGTTCAGTTCTGTGCAGAGAGAGTGGAGCTGATGTCATAGGCTCTGAACTTTCTTCTTTGAGTATGGAAATCATCTTATGCTAATGGAGACCTGAGGAAGCTCCTCTTTATAAACTCAGCGTGATACCAAATTCTAATTTTGACTCAGGGATACCTGCTACACATTTAAATTTGGGCTATACATGATTTCACACTCTTGAGGAGATGACTGTGGGGCTCCCTGGGACAAAATTTTAATGGCCTTTTATATCATACCATGCAGTAGGAATATCTGGGAAGGAGACAGGGTGTAAACAGAAGGAAATTCTCCTGCTGGCCAGATAGGTCATTGATGAAGTTGCAAAAAAACCGAGATCTGAGATGATCTATTGGTAGTCACAGCAAAAATGCTGACTGAGATAAACAGGTCAATCTGGGGCTTGGTGACAGACATAGGGGACTCATTAGGTCAGTTGCTCCAGGAAGCTGTCACTTATGGAGAGCTTTTCATGCTCTTCTTTAACCCACATAACAGCCCAGCAAGGTGTAATGCATTTCATATGCGTCATCTGAGGATCAGGGATGTGATAGAATTTCTCCAAAGACACAATTCCAAAAGTTGCAAAACCTAATTTTGAATGCACATCTTTTGAATACAAGTATTTTGCTTTCAAACACCAAACTACTGTGTTAGTTTGGGTTCTCCCCAAGGCAGATCCTGGATGCAGGGAGCTCATTCAGGGGATTATTCCAGGAGATCCAATAGAGAAAATGCTAGTGATCTTGTTACTATTATGGGGCAACTCTGAGAAACCTTAGTGTTATCGTATCAGAGGATGGGGTGGCTGAACATTTGTCTACCAGTTTCTTTCACCACTTACTGAAGTTGCCCCTGAGATGGAAGCCCTAGAGGTGTGAAGCTGACAGATGCTAGGATCTCCAACAGCAGTTGTGAACTCAGGTTGTTGAAGGTATGGAGCAGAGCATCAACAGTATTACCTCAGCTTCCTTTTAGTGTAGACCTAATGTCAGGTACTGCGAGCTCAGAGCACTGGGGCCTCTGGCAGCCAGGCTTCCTTTCCTGCTGTATTAGTCAGGAGCCTCCAGAGAGATAGAATCATTAGGATGTGTGTTTATGCACACAAACACAGACACACATACAGAATCGGCACTTTGTATCTGCAGGTTCAACCAACCAGCATTGAGGGATGCTGAGCCTGTGGATGAAGAGGGCTGACTTTTTGTATAAGTGGGTTCTGCAGGGTCAACTGACAAACTTGTGTAGAGACAGGGTTTTGCTGTGTTGGCCAGGCTGGTCTTGAACTCCTGACCTCAGGTGATCTGCCTGCCTCGGCCTCCCAAAGTTCTGGGATTACAGACATGAGCCATTGTGCTTCAACTTTAAGTTTTTTAGTCATAATTGTGTAAGCTGAACCAATTAAGATGTCTATGATATTGGCTATCATTTCTGCTGTTAATATTCAGTCCTCTTCAACTAGGGCACAAAAAGATTAGTTTTTTCCTTGCAAAGTGATGTGGATGGTCTGCTGCTGCAGGTGCTATTTTCAATATTGTCTCACTTCTTAAAATGAGTTATCCATTGTAAACTGCTGATTTCTTTGGGTCATTGTCCCCACAAACTTTTTATAAGCCATCAATGATTTCACCATTCTTCCACCCAAGTTTCACCATAAATTTGATTTTTGTTCTTGCTTCAATTTTAGAAGAATTCATGTTGATCTTATAGGGGCTCTTTTCAAACTGATGTCTTACCTTTCTTAGTGCCTCAAACTAGATCCTGTTCAAACACCTTATAACAAGTTAGTAGGAGTTTATTTTGGTGCAAAATAATTCAAAATCCATGCATAGTTTTTTTCATAATATGCATTTTCCATGAACTTTTTGATGACCTCTTGTATGAAAGGGGATTTATTAGGGGAATGAACTCATGCAATTTTGGAGGCTGAGAAATCCCATGACAGACCACCTGCAAGCTGGAGACCCTGGGATGCAGGTAACATGCTCAGTTCAAGTCCTAAAGCCTCAGAACTAGGAAGCCACTGGTGTAATTCTCACTTTGGGATAGAAAGCCTGAGAACCCAGGGAGATGCTGATATTAAGTCCTGGAGTCCAAAGTCTGGAGTTATAATGTCCAAAGGCAGGAGAGAATGCCCCAGCTCCAGGAGAGACAGAAAATCACCTTTTCTCTGTCTTTTCCATGCCATCCATGCCCCCGGCCAGTTGGATGGATCCCACCTACGTTGAGGGTAGATGTTCCCCACTAGTACACTGACTTACACACCAATCTTCTTTGGAAACACCCTCATAGACTTACCCCAAACTAATGTATTACCAGTTCTTTAAGTATTCCTTAAACCAGTCAAATTGACACTTAAAATTTACTATCACGCTACCTATACTAGAGATAGTGATCTAGAGTCCATTGAGGTGGCTAGAGTGCTCAGGAGCTGGCTTTGCTACAGTAATACTCCCTTCTTCCATGGAGAAGCAGCATGCACAGTGGCTCTGAGAAGCTGGAGGAGGGTCACTGGAGTGAGTGGGCTTCTGGTCTGAAATTGACCAAGAATATAGTTCCTGTGGACCAGGAGTGATTAGAAGCTACAGAGGTCTTAAGAGACCTATCCCTCCTCAGTCTACCTTGCACTTACTGAGGGCTCCCACTCTTAGGAATAATTCCATCGTTTCATTTTGTGGCATCAGAGATGAGTCATTGACCCGGAAGAAGTCCCGTAATGTTTCTCAACTCAGTATCTGTGACTATATTTCCTGCTCTTAAAAGTTTAGCATGCCCTCATGTTTCAGGTTGCTTGGAGAAGTCTTAACCATGCTGTTCACATAAAGAGTCACTAAATCCTCTGGCATCAGGAACTAGAAAATATCCTGAGTGTTGGGCAGTGCCAGACTTAGTGAGGCAGAACTTCCTTCCTTGCCCATGTGGATAAAAGGCCTGGGCCCTGTTACAGCCTGTCAGAAAACCCAAGTGCAGTAGAAGCCATTGTTCATAATGGTAGGGATACAGGGTCCTTCGTAACAGATTATCAGTGTGGCCTATGCTGGAAAGTCTGGTGACCTCTGATTTTTTTTGCTTCCAGGTCTTTGGCCTTGGCACTCTTTGTCATATTAGAGTTCCTGGGTCTAGGCCTGGGCAGGATTCATAGGTGCAGCTGCTTCTGCTGGAGGTAGACTGCATCCAACAAAGTAAGGGTGCTGGGTGAGTTCTGGGAGTATAGATTCTGACTGGGGTCACTGCTGGGCTGGCCGCCAGTCTTTCATCTGACCCAGGGTTAAACTGTGGCTTGGGACTGACTCAGGTCCTCTCTTGGGGTCGGTCTGCACATAAAAGGACTCCTATCCTTGGCAGTTCTGAAACAACACCACCACAATGGAAAAAGGTAAAGATCCTCGTGGAAGGGCGAAAAATTGACAAGGGGGTGATATTCTGTGCTCTCATTCTTACTAATTTACATTTTGACTTTCTCAACAGCATTGAAAATTGACACACCTCAGCAGGGGAGCATTCAGGATATCAATCATCGGGTGTGGGTTCTTCAGGACCAGACGCTCATAGCAGTCCCGAGGAAGGACCGTATGTCTCCAGGTGAGTAGCCACGGTCTGTGAAAGGCAGCTCCTTTGGCCAGTGCTGTTGTGTGTTTGGTGCTCAGATGTTATTCCACAGTGGGCTTGTTAACCGGGCATATCTACAGAGAGGAGCATCTCACAGACAATAATGAATAGAGGGTGAGCATAAGGTTGTTCTGGGACTATGGTCATGAAGTCAGAGAAGAGAGAGAAGGCTTAAGGGAGACTGAAGGGTCAGCCTATGAAAAACAGTGGAAGACGTATTCTGAGAAACTTCAAGGAGTAAGAGTAGGACAAAAGAGGGTAATCTATGGGAGGACCAGTTTTTGAATCCATGAAAGACTGACTTTTCTAATGGAAAGTGTTCCCCAAACATAGGATGGGTGTCCCGGTTAGGTGGTGGGTGGTGAGGTGACCATTCTATGAGTGCACTGTGAGTGTCAGTTAGCAGATTCCCTTAAAACTCTGGCTCAGAGGTACCACCCTGGAAATGGCAGCTGAACACCACTTTTCACATCGTGTTCCCAGTCACTATTGCCTTAATCTCATGCCGACATGTGGAGACCCTTGAGAAAGACAGAGGGAACCCCATCTACCTGGGCCTGAATGGACTCAATCTCTGCCTGATGTGTGCTAAAGTCGGGGACCAGCCCACACTGCAGCTGAAGGTGAGTGTGGAAGACAGGTCCTGCCATTTATTTGATGGAAACTCAGATTTCAGGATCTTTTAAAAGACAATGTACTTATTATGCTCATGCATTTTTATTTTTGGTTTCCTTGGGGTTGGTATATGTTATGAAAGACTAAGAAAAATTGCAGGGACATTTTGAAACAAACCTACTAAAATGACTTATTATTTTAATTTACAAAAATATTAATAATTTGGCAAGGATGATGTCTAACTTCAATAGAACACACACACAGAGTAAAATCAGCAAGGACATTTTAGCAGTTAATTATCACAAAGTAGACGAACTTATTAAAACATCTTTTTGGCAAAAAATACATTGCAACTTTAAATGAACAAACATAATTCTCTGTAATAAACACTTCAATAATCGCAATTTTCCATTATTAAAAAAAGATAATTATAGCAGGCCTCTGTGTACTACAGGAACTCTCTTGACCCTTTTCAGTAAACAAGCATAAGCAGACACTCAACTTGATGACAAGATATAAAACAGTGTTTTTCAGCCAGGGGTGATATTGCTCCAGGGACATTTGTCAATGTCTGGAGATGTTTTGGTTGTGACAACCTGGGATGGGGGTGTGATACTTGCATTTATCGGGTAGATGACAGGGATGCTACTAAACATCCTATATTATTATACAGGACAGACCCTGAAAACAAAGAATCATCTTGCCTAAAATGTCAATAGTGCTGAAGGTGCAGAAACCTGACAGAAAATAACTGTTTTAATTTGAAATTTACAGTAACTGTTACATAAATATTCTTTAAGTTTCTGTTTCTGAACAACAAATAATGGCCCAATCAATGCTTTGTATTCTCAAAAACTTTCATGTCAACACATTTTTCAGAGCCTCACATTAAAAACCATTAAAATTTGTAGCCTGAGTTTCAACCATAATCTTAAAAGAATTTAATTTATATGATTTTCAATCCCATAATATGAAACAGAGGTCTCCAAGCTGCTTCAATGAGTAGGGAATGCTATCCTTGGACGTGGAATATCAGTGTGTAAAGAATGTGAAACATTCAAACAGTTATGTTTCTTGCTGGTGTCTCCTTCGCACCCTTCAGGAAAAGGATATAATGGATTTGTACAACCAACCCGAGCCTGTGAAGTCCTTTCTCTTCTACCACAGCCAGAGTGGCAGGAACTCCACCTTCGAGTCTGTGGCTTTCCCTGGCTGGTTCATCGCTGTCAGCTCTGAAGGAGGCTGTCCTCTCATCCTTACCCAAGAACTGGGGAAAGCCAACACTACTGACTTTGGGTTAACTATGCTGTTTTAAGGTCAGTTGGGTTTGGAGGATAGTCTCCATGCAGGGAAAATCTTAGTATAATCTTAGCCTGGAATGGGCAGGGAGAATTTGTTATTGGACTTTCCACCTAAGAGTATCTTGCTGCCTCCCAATATATTCATGCAGTGACCTAAGTGCTGGACTGGTCCCTCTCCCTGGGGCCATGTGGAAAATAGTCCAGGGAAATTGAGGGCCTTGCCATGAGCATGTGGCTGAAATATGGCACCATTACAAAAATAATAAGGAAAGCTCTACTTAACATAATTGCTAATAATGCTCCAAGTAAAAATGAGGGTGGTGACTCTTTTTTTTTTTTTTTTTTTTTGAGACGGAGTCTCGCTCTGTCGCCCAGGCTGGAGTGCAGTGGCGCGATCTCGGCTCACTGCAAGCTCCGCCTCCCGGGTTCACGCCATTCTCCTGCCTCAGCCTCCCGAGTAGCTGGGACTACAGGCGCCCGCTACCACGCCCGGCTAATTTTTTTGTATTTTTAGTAGAGACGGGGTTTCACCATGTTAGGAGGGTGGTGACTCTTAAATTTTAAGTCCAGGTCTCTGGATTTTCAGATAGATTCCTCTGTGATGGAGTATCAAGACCTTTTGGATTCTGACAAGGAGAAGCAGATATAAATGTTCCATCAGAAAGAGGAGACCAAAAAGAAAACTGCGCCACTCCTGGGCTTGGCTTATGTCTCAGTGAAGTTACATATGCTGGTGCTGGTTTGGGTGAAGAACTGCTGTGGTTTATGAAGCTTTCTTTTTTTTTTTAAAAATTTTATTATTATTATACTTTAAGTTTCAGGGTACATGTGCATGACATGCAGGTTGGTTACATATGCATACATGTGCCATGCTGGTATGCTGCACCCATTAACTCGTCATTTAGCATTAGGTATATCTCCTAATGCTATCCCTCCCCCCTCCCCCCACCCCACAACAGTCCCCGGTGTGTGATGTTCCCCTTCCTGTGTCCATGTGTTCTCATTGTTCAATTTCCACCTATGAGTGAGAAGATGCGGTGTTTGGTTTTTTGTCCTTGCGATAGTGTGCTGAGAATAATGGTTTCCAGCTTCATCCATGTCCCTACAAAGGACATGAACTCATCATTTTTTATGGCTGCTTAGTATTCCATGATGTATATGTGGCACATTTTCTTAATCCAGTCTATCGTTGTTGGACATTTAGGTTGGTCGTCAGTGTGGCGATTTCTCAGGGATCTAGAACTAGAAATACCATTTTACCTAGCCATCCCATTACTGGGTATATACCCAAAAGACTATAAATCATGCTGCTATAAAGACACATGCACACGTATGTTTATAGCAGCACTATTCACAATAGCAAAGACTTGGAACCAACCTAAATGTCCAACAACGATAGACTGGATTAAGAAAATGAAGCTTTCACCTAAAGTGTTATCACTGGACCTCAAAAGCATTAAATTTGTGAAATAAAAATTTTGACATCTCAGTGGCTCTTTTATGAATCAAATGGCTTTAGTGGAATATTGTGGTTATAATATTGATTCCTTGCATTTTTAAGGAGTTTTATAGTTTGTAAAGCAGGCTCACACAAAGGCTCTTGTTTCTAAGAGGAACCAGTAAGATTGTTGGGGAGGGTGGTATCTTCCCAAACTCAGGTTTCTCCAGGCCTCACTACTGGGGTGGGTGGGACAAATAGTGCTTCACTAATAGAAATTTCACTCCCTATTTCAGTGAACAATGCAGGTGCACAGCTATCTGAAAAACCCTCCCTGCCTATTCTGGCAAGGGTTTCTGAGAGTCTACTGTGGGTTTTTCCTGTGAACTCACAAACCATAAACTGACATGGGTCGCATTCATCTAGAGAACACTTATTTTGAAGACTTCTTTTTAATCCTCTCTTATTTTGAAGACTTCTTTTTAATCCTCTCTTATTTTGAAGACTTCTTTTTAATCCTCTCTTATTTTGAAGACTTCTTTTTAATCCTCTCTTATTTTGAAATAAGTTTTCTTCTTACAGAATATTAGCTGAAATTTTATTTCTTGCCGTATTATGATTCCCAAAATAGTTCATCTGTGTAGTCCTGTTGTAATGTTTACTTTCCATTATATTTTTACTTGTCCCTAAGCTTTGGAGGAAGATGTGGAAATGCTGTTTTCCTGAGCACACTGATGAATTCCAGGGCCCTGCAGGCATTGCCCCAACCTCCTCATCCCATCCTGATGTCTTCTTCCATTCAGCATTTGAGTGACCACATTGATGTTAGAGATTACATTTTTTCCTGGTGACAGCATAGCACTCCCCGAGCTTTTCATTTCTCATGGTTCCTACAAAAAAGTAGAACTGTTTCTTCTCTGCCTTTCCCTGTGCTGGTAATTCCTCTAGACCTGTGAGATGACCAAAACACTTAGGAGAGTGAAAGGGGTCTATGAATGCACGAGGTTAATGGACCTAAACTGAGATGTATGGACCAGCTGTTGGACCAACTGGGATATTGGATCTCCTAAACTCAGGGCTGGGGAGAAATCTGGCCATCTTTGACGTTGCCTGGATGTTTTCTGGAAGAAGCAATTCAACTTCTTTAGAAATTTATGTCTACTTGTTTTTATTCTCCTTTATTTTCTTATAAATGCATAAAACATTGCATTTTCTCTTAGTATTCCTTGAGATACATCCTATAATTACTTGTATTATGGCTTAAAATGAGATATACTTGCCTAATAAATTTTTAAATGTACAATATTGTTAATAAAGTATACTGTAGGTATACTCTTGTACAGATCTCTAGAACTTACTTCTCTTGCTTAAATGAATATTATATGCATTGAAGAGCATCCCTTCATTTCTCCTTCCCCCAGTCCCTGGAAACCACCATTCTACTCTCTGTTTCTATGAATTTGACTATTTCAGATATCGTATCTGTAAGTGGAATCATGCAGTATTTGTCGTTTTGTGACTGGCTCATTTCACATAGCATGATATACTCCAGGTTCTTCCATGTTGTCCCAAATGGCTGGATTTTCTTCTTTTTAAAGGCTGAATAATAATCCATTGTGTGCATATGCCACATTTTCTTTGTCCATTTATCCATAAATGGGCATTTATGTTGTTTTTATAACTTGGCTATTGTACATAATGCTGCAATGAACATGAGAGTGCAGAATAAATTAAAGATTTTAATGTAAGACCAGAAATGGCCCAAACTCCTGGAAGAACACATAGGGGAAAAGTTTCATAACATGAATCTAGGCAACATTTCTTGGATATGACACCAAAAGCACAAGGAACAAAAGCGAAAGTAGACAAGTGAGACTATCAAACTGAAGAGCTTATGCACAGCCAAAGAAACAGTCAAAAGAGTGAAAAGGCAATCTATGAAATGAAAGAAAATATTTGCAAACCATGTATCTCATAAGAAGTTAATATCCAAAATATGTAAGGAAGTCACACAACTCAATGGCAAACAAACAAACAAACAAACAAACAAACAAACAAACAAACATCTGATTAAAAATGGGCAGACTTGAATGGACATTTCTCCAAGACGTACAAATGGCCAACAGGTATACGAAAAGATGTTCAGCATTTACTAATAATCAGAGAAATGCAAATCGAAAGCACAGTGAGATATCACCTGTTAGAATGGCTATTACCAGAAAAACCAATGTGTTGTCGAGGATGTCGAGAAATTGGAACCCTTGTACACTTTGGGTAGAAATTTGAAATAGTGCAGTCACTATAGAAAACAGTATAAAGGTTCCTCAAAAAATTAAAAGTAGAACTACCATATGACCCAGAAATCTCACTTCTCATTATACATCCCAAAGAATTAAAATCAGGATCTCAAAGAGATGTCAGGACACATCCTATAATGTTGATACAGTGTTTTCATTGTCTTTATTTCAACTTCAATCTGTTTTGGTTATTATTTTCCTTTAAGATGTGTATTATACATATTATTTCTAAATTCCCAAGTGGTTGGATAATATGGGGGCTACCTTAGAATTGTCTATGTTTATTATTGCCTATGGTTAGATGGAATGGCCTGTATGATATCAACTTTGAGCATTTTTTGGTATTTCCTTTGTGACTTTGTGCACTAAAAATAAGTTTTCCATGCAAACCTAAGAAAAATTAACACTGATTTCCAATAAATTTAGACATATATAAATATACAATTTCATTTATATATAATATATTTCATAATATGAACATATATTACATAGAATTATATATATATTATGTATTTTAATATTTTGACATTAATAGATACATACAATTTAACATATATGTATTTATATATTTATAAGTTGAATTTTGTTAACTATTTACTCTTTATATTTTTAATTCTTACTTTTTTTTGCTTGATCTATCAGTTTCTCTTAGGGAGTATTAAATTACCTTACTATGACTGTATTTTTAATCAAATTATGTTATTATTTTATACCATTTGCTTAGATTACTTTAATTCTAAGTTTTTTGGTACCTAAAGGTTCATGTATGCCATATCTTCTTCTTCTTGTTTCATACCTTTTATCCTAATGAAATATTCATCTTTGAACCATTATTGATGTTTTTCTTAACTTCTTTGTTAGCTGTGCATACCATTACTTCACCACTTGAAAACACTTTTTTTTTCTTTGCATTTTAACTTCTCTGAAACCTAGATACGTGTTACTACAATGGATGGCATCTTACTATATTGTCAGCCAAGTGGCAGTCATGACACAGTGGTCATTGCCTATGCATTTGCAAATACAGTTGGTTTTTCTGATGCCGTGGTTGGACAAATGTTCCCCATCTGATGTTTCATTCAATACATCATCAAGAAAAAACATTCATTGAAGGAATATGATCCTGGTTGTTGGTGATGAACCTTCTATTCACACATCCTATAAATTAAAAAAGCAACAGCATCAAAAGTTGCTGAATGGAGGTCAGCAGCTTGGAATGATGTCTGGAGATAAGGGTGGATAAATTAAGAAATGCTGTATCACCAGTACTCTTGTTGACACAGGAGAGTTTTATCAGAAGCAAACGTTGGTGATTCTGAGTCAGAAGTGATTAAGCAGAATCACATTCAAAATGTAAGAAGTTTTAGGGCTGGGTGCAGTGGCTCATGCCTGTAACTCCAGTACTTTGGGAGGCCAAGGAGGATGGATCACCTGAGATCAGGAGTTCGAAACCAGCCTGGCCAACATGGTGAAACCCCCGCCTCGACTAAAAGTACAAAAATTAGCTGGACGTGATGGTACATGCCTGTAATCCCATCTACTCAGGAGGGTGAGGCAGGAGAATCGATTGAACCCGGGGGGCAGAGGTTGCAGTGAGCCGAGATCACACCACTGCACTCTAGCCTGGGTAACAGAGCAAGACTCTGGCTCCAAAAAAAAAAAAAAAGTAAGAAATTTTAGGAATACTTTAATTGACTAATCTCATTTATATTTACCTTTTTGTGAATGAAAAGAATACTAGATTATAAATACATGTCTTTAAAACAGCTCCATTTACGTGTATGACTCTAAGAAAGTATTGTATTGTAATTGGGCAATTTTTTTTTCTTTTTGATAGTACATAAAATAATTGTACATCTTACAATCCATGGCATT
The DNA here is from genome assembly GCF_000001405.40 of Homo sapiens. Lineage (NCBI taxonomy): Eukaryota > Metazoa > Chordata > Mammalia > Primates > Hominidae > Homo > Homo sapiens. Next base: position 113,013,641 of record NC_000002.12, read on the forward strand.
TTAGAGTCAATGTAACATGATATTGTCAACTGCTTTTTTTGTGTTAACATTTGCTTGACATATATCTTCATCAATTCCTACATTTTCAACCTTTTTGAATTATTTTCCTTTACACGTATCTCTTATCAACAGCATATAGCTAGACGTGTGTGTGTATTTGGTTTAACAAGTCATCTGATAGTTTTTGTCTTTTTATTGAATTTGGCCCATTCACCTTTATTTTGATCACTGGTATGCAGAATTAAATATGACATCTTTTCTGTCTTTTTCAATTTGTCTTGTTTTATTTTGCTTTTCATCTTTTTCTGATAGTTGAATCTGATATACTTTGGAGTATTGTTGTAATCTACACAAACCTACTAGTGAGTTCTTACTTGTTAAGTAATTAGTTTAGTTTTTTAGTGCAGAAATTGTGATATGTTACATAATATGTCATTACAGTACAGGAGTGTTTTGGTGATATATGGGGTATTAATTTGGATTTTTAGGTGAACTAGTTTCTTTTTTTTCAATTTGATGTAGTGAAACATATGCCACAGTATCTGAAAACTTGCTATCCAACATGGCTTTAGGATCAGATTAACCACTTGAGTTTCTGCTTTGTGAATTACTTGTTCATTGCATTTTCCCATTTTCTTCTCTTGATGCTATCGTATCTTTCCTTTTTCTTGTTGGTTTGCAGAAATTTATTATATATTTTTAAGTCTTAATTCACTATTTGTTTTAGTTGTTGCAACTATCTTATTTCAACTTGTCATCGGCTAACTTTTTCCTATGGTGTCTTTAATAAAGAGAGAAATTCTTATTGTTTGCTGTCATCAAATCTATCTTTTTTTTTTTTTTTTGATGGAGTCTTGGTCTGTCGCCCAGGCTGGAGTGCAGTGGCGTGATCTCGGCTCACTGCAACCTCTGCCTCCTGAGTTCATGCCATTCTCCTGCCTCAGCCTCCCAAGTAGCTGGGACTACAGGCGCCCGCCACCACGCCCAGCTAATATTTTGTATTTTTAGTAGAGACGGGGTTTCACTGCGTTAGCCAGGATGGTCTCCATCTCCTGACCTCATGATCTGCCCGCCTCTGCCTCCCAAAGGGTTGGGATTACAGGCGTGAGCCACCCCGCCTGGCCAAATCTATCTTTTTTAAAACATAGGGTTTGAGCAATTGGATCTTTTTAGTTATTTTAAAAACAACGTTAAACTTTACCAAATTATTAATATGTCTTCAACCTTACCTACTGAATATTGTGAATAATCATCCTGGATGTATTCCTCTGCATTTGGAGTGCTTCTTTCAAGAGGGGTTTCAGAAGCAGGCTGTGTGGGGCAAAGCTTCTTAGCCTAGGAGGCTCCCTGAGAACAGCTTTTATGTTTTTCTGTATGATGATAATTCCAGGAAAGGTGATTTTTAGGGGACTGGTATGCTGGAGAGAGAACAAGGTCATCAAGAATTAAGGTAGCCTATAATAAAATTGAAGTTTGGAAAGAAAAAACAAATGTTAGGGAAAGGCCAGAGTGATCTAGGTCCCCAGGGGGTGACTAACTCAGTATCCAAGAGAAAAAGCAAAAAAGTAGAGAGATGCAAATGAATTTCGAGACAGAGGTAGGGTGACACTAATGTAGTTGGTCTATGTGCATTTTTTCTGCTGAATGAATAGTGTGCTGAGCATATTATCCTTCTTAACCACAATATCCACCATGAAAATTATTTCTATTTTGTGGAAGGGAAATTGGGGACTCAGAGCTGTGAAGAGACTTGACTGAATCCATGTAGCTAGAAGCAGGCATCTCCAAAGTTTGGACTCACAGGTGCTGAATATAAAAACCTTATACATTGTATGCAGTAGTAATCACAAGTATCTTCCATTGAACCCCTCTTCATTTCCAGGCACTGGGAATTGGGAAAAGGGCACTGGGAAAACCTGGGAGTCAATGCTTCAGGCTTCAGAAAGATGCCTCCGTCTTCTGGACTTCTGAAAGAGGGAATTTGAGTCTATCGTTAGGGACCAGGATGCCCACAGTGGTGGCCTGCCCTAGGCTCTGAGGTACAGAGGCTTGTTAGGCGGAGCCAACTTTGTTCAGCTCTAGGAGGTGTACTCTTGACCTCAGGGATTGTCCATGTACAGATGGAACAGCATCCAGTAACCTGACTTGGGAGAGTCCCTGAAAATGTTGATGTAATCCCATTTCTTTATTTTTACTGTCTGGGGATTTCCCTCACCTTCTTTCCTTGAGTATCTCTGAGCAGTCTAACCTGTGCTACCATTGATATTTCCCCACCCAAAGCCTCAACAGGAAGCAGCTTTCTAGAGAGAGAAGTCTTCACATGCTCCTTTGGCTAAAGGAGCATAGGGGCTACTAGAGAAACTACATATCCACTGGAACATGGAGACCCCGATCCACACTGGTGTCTGGACTCCTTGGCCCAGCTCATGCTGGAAGCTACTGGCCTCTGATCCCAAGCTCACTGCTGGGCCTTTGGCCTGGCACTGGCCATCGATGAGGGTCTTTGCTTGTGCTGGAATCAAAGGGACAGCTGTTTCTTGTTGGACAGTGAGTTGGTGGGACCGTGCTCTGTGCTCCCCACTGGACACACTGTGTTTAGAAAGTAAAAACATGAGGCTGGAATAACAAGGCACAGATAAAGCCCACTGCAAATTAACAAGCAATAATATTTCTCCCAATAATATGCTGCAGCTGTAGTATCATAACATTCCTCTTCTTTGAGTGGCTACTATTTTTTTAATCACTAAGAGACTTTGTTCTTTACAACCATGGACAATTGGACATTTGACTTTTCAAGTTGTATGAACAAGAATGAAGCATTCCAGTTTTGCCTGAATAATATAAATCATGCTGACACAGAGAAGCAGCCTCAGTCTCCAGCCTGTGAACAAAGCTTCAGATAAAAGGTTTCTGGTCACAACATTCTACATGTATCTTAACTTTGTAGTTTCACAGGACACAGACCCTAGATCCTCTTTACACTACTGACCTAATGTAGACCCCTCTCCATACAGCACTTTTTGCTTTGAGTCCATCTAAACTTTGCTTCATTTAAATTTTGCCTAAATATTACTTTTCCCCCAAATCCTATACATTGTCTTTCTTCCTTGCTATGGCTCAGGTTCCTGATGGACAGTCTCTCTTACTGCAGTAAGTCAATAAATCTGACTTTGTTGGACTACAGAGTTGTTCCTGTTGATTTTAGGCTGATGGGGCGGGGACAATGTGATAGTCAGGCACAGGACCTGCCCAGATGGGTCCTAATGGCAGACCCAGTGCACATAATATTTTAGATGAGTGACTAAAGTATGCATTGCTACCCCTATTAATGAGCCATCTTCCTTCACCAGCACTGCTTAGTGCTTGGGCTTAGCCATCATTTCAGACTGAACTCCACTATTAGTCCTGTCTGGATTAGGAAGCACCCATTGATACCAATGACCTTGGCCATGGATGAAGAATTGGTTTTTGCCACGTTAATTGTTAGTGCTTGAGGGGAGGGGTAATAGAGGTAATCCCTCTTTCCCACTTGAGTTATGAACCAATTGAGAAGTAAGACAAAGACTTTTTTTTGTTTATTGATACATTTATTATTGATAAAGCTGATATTGATTGTGGATTATTTCTGCAAATGAGTAAAGCACAGAATGAGACAATGAGAATTGCAGTCACACATGTCACAGTCAGAACCACAGGGAAGATGGCTCTCATAAAAGTACAAATCATGGCTGGGCACGGTGGGTTGCACCTGGACTCTCAGCACTTGGGAGGCTGAGGTGGGAAGATTGCTTGAGTTCAGGAGTTTGAGACCAGCCTGGGTAACACAGCAGGACTCTGTCTCTTGGAGAAGAAGAAGGAGAAGGAGAAGGAGAAGGGTGAATCATAATCGAACAGAGAAAAATGAAAGCTTTCTTCAATTCTATTTGCTTTCAGTGGAAAGTAGGTAGACAGCAGTTGGACCACACATGAAGAAGAAGAAGGAGAGGAAGAAGAAGAAGAAGAAGAAGAAGAAGAAGAAGAAGAAGAAGAAGAAGAAGAAGAAGAAGGAGAAAAAGAAAGAAAGAAAGAAAGAGAGAAAGAAAGAAAAGAGAAGAAAAGAAGAAGAAGGAGAAGGAGGAGAAGAAGAAGAAAAAGGAGCTGGAGGAGGAGGAGGAGGGAGAAGGAGGGAGAAGGAGGAGAAGAAGAGTGAATCATGATGGAACAGAGCAAAATGAAAGCTTTCTTCAATTCTATTGGTTTTCAATGGAAAGTAGATAGACAGCAGTTAGTCCACACACTCTTAGTTTCTCATATGTAGTATGACCACATAATTTATATATAAGGTGTCATTTTTAAGAGGGGAAGGGGTGGTATCAGTAATGACAGCAGGATAATAGGTGTGCAGCAGGATGTATGGGTTTCTTTTCACTTGGCTGAGGTGAATGAAGGCAGGAAGAAAGCCAAGTGTTTAATAGAAGGAATCATGAGGAGGAAAGAACTGTTCTTCCTTTGGAGAGTTATGTCAAAGGGAAAGGGGAGGCTAAAGCGGGCCGTGACAGCTGCACTCACAAACTGAAGGACTTGGGTGGACCTGGGAGTCCCTTCATTCTCTGCGACATCAAGGCTGAGGAACAGGAAGACAGATTTTATTCTGAGTGAGACTAGTCTTGTTAAAAAAGGTGGACTGCCTGGGAAGGAAGTCAGTTCCTCATTTATCCATTTATTCAGTTATTGATTTATTAATAATTCAACAAAAATTATTAAACACAGACACAGTGTTAGGGGCTGGAAATACAATGGTAAACTAGAAAAATATCACTTCCCTGCAATCAAAGAGTTTATAAGGTAATGGGGGAAGGAAAGAAAGATAGAGGCAAATCAATAAAGTGATTACAAACCCTGTGAAGGAAACAGTCAAAAGCTGACGTAAGAGGTAGAGGAAGGAGATTACTTTAGACATGGTGGCCAAAAAGTCACATATAGGAAGGTGACTTGAAGGAGCTAAAAAAGGAAAATATGAGAATAAACTAATACAGGTAAAAGGCTGTACATGAACTTAGCATATGCAAAGGTCCTGGGGCTGTGAAGAACTTGGCATGTTCAAAGAGCTGAAAGATTGGAATAACTGAAGATACTGATGGAAAGAAAGAGTTATCTGGAAGAGGGGTTGGAGGCAGGCCAGATGATTCAAGCAAGCCTGTAAATGATGGTAAGGACTTTGCATTTTCTTCCAAGTGCAAATGGAAACGTTGAAGGGGTCTAGAGATTGGACTGGCACGGTTAAGATTTCCATTGGTAGAGATAATCCTGGCTGTCTCATGGAGAATGAATTTAATGGGTGCAGGAGTAGACGAAGGGCAATGGGCAGGAGGTGGATCCACATTCAGATGAGCCTTGGTGGTTGTCTGGCATTCAGTGGTGGGTGACAAGGAAGTTGAAGAGAGACGGGTAGATTCAAGACATATTTTGGAGAAAATCTGCTTTAGAGACAGCCTTTTTAATAGGTTGGATGTAGGACTTCAGCGAAAGGAAAAATCAAGGATCACTCCTAGGTTTCTGTTGTAACTGAGACGGAGATAACTGAGTGTTGGAATGTGCAGGTTGTGGAAGGATCAAGCGTTCTACTTAGGACATATTCAATTTCCAAGTTCAGAGACAGTCTACATTGGTAGCTACAAATGCATATCTGGAGTTTAGAGGAGACTTCTGGGCCAGGGATAAAATTGTCAACTGATACGGCTTGGCTGTGTTTCCATCCAAATCTCACCTTGAATTGTAATAATACCCAAATGTCAAGGGCAGGACCTGGTGGAGATAATTGAATCATGGGGACAATTTCCCCCATGTGTTCTTACAGTATGAATAAGTCTCACGAGAGCCGATGGTTTTATAAATGGGAGTTCCCCTGCACAAGCTCTCTTGCCTGTTGCCATGTAAGGTGTGCCTTTGCTCTTCCTTTGCCTTCTGCCATGATTGTGAGGCCTCCCCAGCCATGCTGAACTGTGAGTCCATTAAACCTCTTTCCTTTATAAATTACCCAGCCTTGGGTATGTCTTTATTAGCAGCATGAGAACCAACTAATACGTCCACATACACCCGTTCATGAAACAAATAGTGTCACCCAGTGAAATAGTATAAAGGAGAAGAGGATTCAAGGATGAGTTCTGAGGAATTTCAACTACAAGAAGTCACATGAGGGGGAGCCAGTAAATGAAAGTAAAAAGAAAATTTCAGTGAGTCTGAGGAAAGCCCAGAGAGACTTGTTGCAGAATCCCTAGTATGTGCATGTAAAGATGTGTGGGAGCAGTGGAGTGTGCCTAGCGCTGATTGAGATTAGGACAGCAGAGTGCCCATTGGCATCAGGAAACAGGCAGGGGTGTCATTGATGGTGCTCAGAAGAAAGGTTTTGGTGGAGAAGTCAGATGTCAGAGGTCAGACTGGAGAGTGCAGAGTACTGAAGGACTAATCAGTAATCAGGCATGTGCAAATGAAAATAACAGTGAGAGATTATATCAGTGGTCCCTAAGTTTTGTGGCGCCAGGGACTGGTTTCATGGAGGACATTTTTTCCATGGACTGGGGATGTGGGTGTTCTTAGAAGATCATCATGCATTAGATTCTCATAAGGAGCGCACACATAAATCCCTTGCACACGCACTTCACAATAGGGTTCACGCACCTATGAGCATCTAATACCTCCCACTGATCCGAAAGGAGGCAGAACTCAGGCAGTACTGCTCGCTCGCCTGCCACTCACCTTCTGCTGTGCAGCCCGGTTCCTAACAGGTAAGGACTGGTAACGGTCCATGGACCATGGCCTAGGGGTTGGAAACCCCTGCTTTATGTGCTAGAATAATAAAACTTTTTAAATTTTTAAAAAGTAAAAATGTAGGGCAGGGAAGAATGAAAACACCATTGGAAGTGTAAATTTTAAAAAAATTTCGGACCATGGCCTAGGGGTTGGAAACCCCTGCTTTATATGCTAGGACAACAATACTTTTTAAATTTTTAAAAAGTAAAAATGTAGGGCAGGGAAGAATGAAAACACCATTGGAAGTGTAAATTAGAAAAGCCACATCCAAGGGCAGATATTATCTATTGAAATAAAGAATGGACTTACTCCATGGTCAAGCAATTCATTTATCTATTTTTTTCAGCTATCTTGTCTAAGATCACTTATCTATTCCAAAGAAAGTCTTGCATGTCTGCACAGAAGGCATACACTAGAATGTTCATTGCCACATTGTTTGTAAAAAAAAAAAAAAAAAGTAGCAAAATGTGGAAACAGCCTAACTCTCCATCCATGAAGGAATGGCTAAACAAAGGATGGTAAAACCATTCTGTTGGGTGCTCTGCAGCAGTTGTAAAGGAATGAGACAGCCATCCATGCCAGTGTAGACAGATATTTGAACACATTTTTCAGTGAAAAAATGAGTTGGGCTGGGCATAGTAGCTCACACCTGTAATCCCAGCACTTTGGGAAGCTGAGGCAGGTGGATCACTTGAGGTCAGGAGTTCAAGACCAGCCCGGCCAACATGGTGAAACCCTGTCTCTAGTAGAAATATAAAAATTAGCTGGGCATGGTGGCGCCCTACGCCTGTAATCCCAGCTACTTGGGAGGCTGAGGCAGGAGAATCGCTTGAACCTGGGAGGCGGAGGTTGAAGTAAGCTGAGATTGCACCACTGCGCTCCAGCCTGGGTGACAGAGTGAGACTCTGTCTCGAAAAAAAAAGAAAAGTGAGTTGGAGAAAAATATGTATTTTATTATTCCAGTTAGAGAAACATGCACTCACATGGACACATACATACAGATGCACAGGGGTACACATAAGACAACATTGTATGCTTCCAATAGAGCCTATGAGTACGTAAATGCATAAGAAATAGCCAGAGTGACACCAATTCATAACAGTGGTTACCATTGGGGTGGAGAAAGAGGAACTAGGATCTGGGGGGAAAGAATTTGGATTTATCTGGTATATTTTAACTTTATTTCAAGATGAATGTGTCGATGTATTAATAACTGAAAAATTAACGTTTTTAAAAGTGAAAAGTGTAAACAGCATGTGAAGAAAGTAGCTTTAGCAGAGGCTGTGTTTCTCAAATGCTGTGGTCCCCGTTATGTTCTGTATGCTTGAAAATTTTCTGATACAATAGCTAGGTGTTGTTCTGAGCAAATCAGTGGATGAAAGAGTGGATACCCAGGGTGGCTACTCGGTGCCTACAGTAGGAGGCCTAGACTATTACTATTCCATTGTAAGAAACAACTGACTGTCTTTTCCATGGCTATAATCCCTAACTTTTTGTTGCTGCATCTTTTGGGAGAAAAAGACTCACTGGGATCCTATTACATAGGAATGGAAATATATGGTTCTGCCTATGGTAGATAAAGAGCAGCCCACATGGGAGTTAAAGGCAAATGGATGAAGAAAAATAATATACTATAAAAATAATATCATATAGACTTGATTACATGGGAAAAACTAGTTTATTTTACCAGTGTAAGATTATAGAATTTTTAAGAAGAAATGTCTTTCAATTACTTTTAATTGTATGTGTTCCTTTTAAGTTATACATACTAAACAGAGCGTTTCACTCCTCATGCTCTAGTGAATAATTGCACATTATGTAAATAATTTTGAATAATTCTGCTGTTTCTTCCATAGGACTTAACCCCTGTACATCAGGAAAAGAAATAACAGATTGAGCTCTAGTAGCTTGCTGCTCTGTGGGAATTCAGGAGCAATGTTGTCTGATCTTCCCATTTTTCATGAAAACCTTGACTTTACAATTTTTTAAAAAACACTCTAAGGACTGGACAAAACACATTTACAGGTTATGTAGTCCAAATCTACTCCTAAAAAGACTCCGACCTTCTCTAGCTTTACAGGTAAGATTTACCAACTCTTTAAAAATACATAGTGTCCTTGTTTTACAAACTCTCCAGAACCCAAGAAAAGAGAAAAATTTCTGCAACTTATTCCATTTGTAGCATTTCATTGATAGCAAACCCACTCAAAGATTGTAGAGATGGGAATCTTCCTCCCCTTATTTCTACATCCTTCCTGGCATTCCTATGTTGGTCCGCATGGATGAGAAATCTTTGTCCTTCTTCCTGAGATGGTGATGTTGAAAGGAACTCTTCCACTTCTTTCTACCTGCAGGAAAGGAGAAGTATCTCCTAGGCTTAGCAAGATGTGGACATTTGCTAAACCACCAATTGAATAGGGGCTAAAAGGGCAGATTCTACACGGAGGCTCCTGGAGGAGATTGGAGTTTGCCTTCCTCTCAGCCTTACTCACTTGATTCTGCTGAAGAGTGATGGATTATTACAGTGACTGGAGAAAATGAAATTAGAGTTGGTGGGCATGGTTTTTGCCCCAAAAGTCTAGATTGAGGCCCCAGAAGACTAAGAGGCACCCCTCACTTCCCTAATCCAGCTGTAACAATAATAAAGGCACTGCTATGATTTTGATTTTGGCATCAACATAGTTTCTAAATGTTTGAACGTGGATGGCGATTGGAAGGAGGGACTGTTACCTACCAACCTTCAACATTTAATGTCAGTTCCATAAGGATGGCCATATTTTCCCCTTTTTGTTTACTACTATGTCCCCAGCACTTAGAACAGCATAGGTGCTCAAAACATATTTGTTGAATAATTCAGATTATTGATCCTGACACTTCCTTTGAGATAAAAACAAGCTTTGTTGTTTGGGGTTCAAACTACATGGTGAGTTTGGAGAAGACATTGCTAGTGGCTTTGGCCTTGGTCAGTTAGATGTGGCTTTTATTATGGCCACACTGCTATTATAGGCATAGATAAAACTGATTTTAGTGAACTAGAGCTGTAATCTGCAAAATTTAACCTGCTAAACTGTACGAGCAATAGAGAACATCAGTGTATGGTTTTTGATCTTTTGATGGTTGCTATTAGATATTGGGAGGTGGCACTCTGTCAGCTGCACAGTCTTTGCTAGTCTCTGTCTCATTTTTAATTGCATCCTTAGTTAAGGAGACAACCATTAAGGGAATGACATTATGGGTTTCCATGTAGTTTATTCACTTATTTCTGGTGTTACTTCCCAACCATACGGCCTAGAGTTGACTTTGAAGTATTCTTTTTATAATCAGAAATGTTCTACTTGTAAGTGACTCAAACTAGTAAGGTAGTTAACTGATCAGTTCTTTAACTGCATATTTATCTCCCCTCCTTTCTTGTTGATAACCCGTGTTGTTTTCTTGCCCCTAATTCACATTAGATCATCAACAACGTTAAAATAAACTTATTGACCTAAGTGAGAGACAAAGATTCTCAGTTGCAAGCTTATAGAGCTTTTTACATTTTCTCTTCTGAAGAATAAAGGAAACTGAAGTGGAGGGAAGGACAGGGCAGATATGCATGCTGATGGAAATTGAAGAGAAAGATGGGTGGAAGCATGTAGGGATCTCTGAAATGGACGTGCATTCATTTAGGTTTCTGAATAGAAGAGATTCAGGGGACAAACTATCTTTGAGTGTCACACGGGTAAACTCCCTCTCTACCACCCTGTGAAAAACCCACCATTCAATAGTCCTGGGCCTGAGGACCGTGACTCTTGCTTAAGAAAGCAACAAAAGCATCAACACCTCCGTGAATATTAGAGTATCTCATAGGCTGGAAAAAAAAGGTCATAGGAACTAGTGCTTCAGAGACTGGAACAGGGGGAATAACACTGTGCTCTTTCTCCATTTATCGATATTCTATTTCGTGTGTGTGTGTTTATGTTGGCCTTATTTTTTCCATACTACAGATAGACAAGGAATTAGCCTACCTCCTTGCAAGGCTTAGGAAACCCACATTGTTTGGGAAGTGCCTTCTGATACTGATTGAACAGAAATCTGTCATCCCGTGCCTTCTCCTGTGGTTCTTAGATTTAAGCAAAGAACATCACAGCTCTCGATCCAGGAGAGCAAATAAAATATTTGAGGACACCTCTTGAGTCTTTCTGTGGTTTCTCCTCCTCTTCTTCCTCCTTCACCATCACAATGTCCTCACTCCTCTGGCAGAGGGCACAGGTGGTGTGATGTAAGATGGGCTGGCTGTCTATCTCTTGCTCATGTTCAGTGCCCTTGGAATAGCTGGGAAGCTGATATTTATAAGCACTGTCCAGGATTACATTGCATTTTTCATCACCATCTTCCTATAGATTCTTTCTGCACATTTAGCTATTTACAGAACTCACATTCTTTGCAGCCCTTCTCAGAAAACCTATGTACTACGTATCCAAGTACATTGTTGCAAGTCTCTCATGGCCATCCTTGAGGCCATTTGTGCTTAGTCATGACCTTGTCAGAGAAAATATTTGCAATGGTGAATTTCCCTGGGCTCCTTCTCTTGTGCCCCTATGCTGTTGTGCATATGCATAAATACATGTGGGGAAAGGCTTGGACAAAATGCAAACCCTCAGACTGTGCACCGAGCCCTCCAAGAGGGAGGCAGAGGATACTGGCTAAAAGCTCCTGGGGATACCCTTGGTTATGTTTCATTTCTGCAGCCATCTCCTCCCGAGTGGATGCCCTTGTATCATCACATTCCCCTGGAGCCATATTGGCATAAGGGGAAGAGGAGGAAGAATTGAGACAGGGAAATTTCTGAGCAGCCTTTCTATGTTTTTCCTCTCCATATTCTGTGAGAAGCTTTCCAGTTCCTTGGACCCTTCTTGAAGTTGAGGACTGCCCTGATATAATGCAAGATTCTCCCTGACACACTTTGGTATTAATGGGAAGATGCTAATACATGAAATGAAAATTAATTTGCTTCAACAGTGCATTCTGAGAAACTGCTAAGAGGGAGGGAAGATTTGGTATCTAAAGGGAGTGCATAAATGAAAGAGACAAATTTCTGCCTCTATGTACCTAGAATTTGGTTGACGAGAAGAGAGCAAATGGGCCAAGACAAGGAGAAGAAGCTATAGCACAAAGCCTAAGAAAATAAATGTTCCATGAGAAGGCAAAAATGCTATGGACCTCGCAGAAGATAAGATGTTGCCTTCGGTTGGGAAGATGAGGAGAGTCCCGTAAAACAGCTGGAAGGGATTTAGGATGTTAGTAAGACATAGGCAGCAATGGAAGTGTTTGAGATGTGTGCAAAGGCATGAGCAGGAACATAGAGGGAAGAAATCCAACGTGTTGGAGGTGGCTAGTTGAGAAAAGAAGTTGGTTTTGATAGAATCTGTCTTAGCTAGGTTTATACCAGAAAGCAGAGACTGAGACAAGGGTTTGCATGCAAGATGATGACAAGTGACCCTAGGGAACATGAGAAGGGACTGGGGAAATTGAAACAGGGAAGTGAGAGAAGTCAATTCAGGATGTATTCTTGAACTTAGACCTGCCATGGGTGATTATGTCTCAATACTGCTGGGATCCTCTGAGGAACCATGAAGAATGAACGCATCTCAGAATTGTCCACCTGTGGGATGGATAAGAGAATTTGCTCCTCACCCACTCCTATTCCCCATTGGTCAAGGGTTCCCATGAAGCAGCTCTCTCTCACATCCAGGTTTATGCATGTGTGAATTCCAACTAGTTTCCAGCAAGTGTCCTTCCCTATGTTATCTTGGGAGCCCTGAAGCTGGAAGAGAGAAATGTTCAATGTTGCTGAGATAATACACTGCCAGGTTACACTGTCTCAAAGTTGGTTGCACGGCAATGACTGGAGTAAAAGGCCTGCATACAGCATGTAAGGTGGGGTTCAGGAGTATCCCAAAGAGAATGCGGGGCACTGAAGCAATAAGAGATAATGCCAGAAGCATAGTTTTGGGGACAAATTATGCCTGGCTGAGAAATTGGAACTTAGCAGTGGGTACCCATTGCAAGACCCAATATGCCTGCTTGTCATGTGCAAAGAAGGACAAGTTCTCTTGAGAGAAGACAGCCTGTTATGCTCATGTTCATGCTCAGGATATTATGGTATATTTATTGCAGTATACATGTACTTGGTTAGTGGATTTGCAGATTATATTACAAACTTTAATTAAAATAACTCTCACAAAATGGACAACTGGCTTAAAAGTATCCCTATAGAGGAGTGGTAGATTGAATGTACACTAACAAAATTCCAGAAAATATGAATAATAACAAGGAAGTATCATAGCTGATGCTTCTTCTTCCAGCAACTTTATAAAGTAAAAACAAAAAAACATTCAGTTCTAGAAGTTGTCTGAAAGAAATTAAAGCCAATATAAATGATTTTTTAAAATATGGATTGGTTTACATTCACCATGGTTAGCAATTGATCTTAACCAAAGTACAGTTGACCCTTGAACAGCATGGGGGTAGCAGTACAGTCAAAAATTCATGTATAACTGTTGACTTCAGAAAAACTTAACTAATAACCTGCTGTTGACCAGAAGCCTTGCCAATAACATAAACAGTCATTTAACACATTTTGTATGTTATATGTATTATATAATGTATTCTTACAATGAAGTAGGCTAGAGGAAAGAAAATACTATTAAGAAACTCGTAAGGAAGAGAAAACATATTTATTATTCATTAAGTGGGAGTGGATCATCATAACAATCTATCCTCATTATCTTCACATTGACTGAGGAGAAGAAAGAGGAGGGATTGTTTTTGCTGTCTCAGGGGTGGAGAGGCAGAAGAGGTGGAGGAGTTAGAGGGGGAGGCAGGAGAAGCAGGGACATTTGGTGTAACTTTTATTGAAAAAAATCAGTGTTTAAGTGGACCTGTGCAGTTCAAAATCGTGTTGTTCAAGGGTTAAGTGTATACACTGTGTGTCAAATTATTAACGAATGACATTAAGAATTCATTAGGATTAGAAAGACATGCAAACCTTTAATTTCACATTCATCTCATTCTTCAGCTTTATCTTTGGGGCACATATTATAATGTTTTATTGAAGAAGTTGTATGAACAAAATGTCATGAATCCACATCTCTACATCATGGGTTGGCAAAAGGAATAGGAATGGAAGGTTGCATGAAGCAGCATTTGGGGGGTTGACTAAACTGGGCATGGCAGCTGAGTGGATGGTGGGGTAAGATCAAGAAAGAATGGAAAGTGATTTTTAGGTTTCATCTTGGGATAGTGACATTCGAGTGAGGGTCTTGGTACAGAAATGGATGTTTGGAGGAGGAGGTGGCTTTTGGATAGTAAGAATGAGGTAAGCTATGGATGGGCTGAACTGCTAGTGAACTCAGTCGCATAATGATCTGTTAAGATGACTCTGACAGCTTGATTCTCTATCCTGGAACCAGCCACCCACAGCCTAGGCTGGATTTATTCCACAGAATCTAAGTAGAAGTTAGTGTTATTAGTTATGCCTCTCTCCTTGGTGAGAAAGATGGGCTGTCCTGATGTGGTGGAGGTGGCTATGAACCAGCCAGGGTAAGAGACTGACTGAAAGACAGAAGTGGAGCCTTCTTTATTGTGGAAAAAGAGAAAGGGCTTCTGTGCTTTCTTCTCCACATACAGGTCCATGATATTTTTTTCCTGGGGGTGGAAAAGAGGCTTGTTAGAGAGGAGGATAGGAGGAGGAAGCTAAAGTAACTCAGCTCTGAGTGTGTAACAGGAGAGGGACTGCTGCCCCCAAAGGAAGGGACAGAGGCTAGGGACAAAGGCAGATGAAGCAGGGCATTAGAGTGTTAAAAACGGGAACTCACTGGGTTCCCATAGCCTGGCTCCACCCCAGGATCCTCTGACACAAGGTGCTCTGACTCTTTGAAGCATCACTGTCTTCCCTGGAACAGAGGGAGGTTGAAATCTCTTTCTTGGTGCTTTTGATATGCATTTGTCTGCAGGTTCAGGCCAGTCTTGCTGCATTCTCAACCTCCAAGTGGGCTTATGCATTACAATTTCCAACAATAGCAGAAGAATTAGCTTCATAACTACAATGTTGCCTTGGTAAGAGTTATGTGTTTATGGTACACAGACCATAACCACATTCAAAATCTTTTTGTCTCCTCTGCTGTGCAGTCACCTTTGGTGTAGTGAGAGCATCCCGTTGTCTTAGAGGATTTCCAGAATGCAGTTAAACAGGACCGAGAATGGAGAAAATACTGTTCTTTGGCTTTTCTGAAACATTCCTGTAAGTGTATTTTCTATCTTTCAGAGGATCTATGCTCTGACATTAAAAGAAGTGTTATATCCATTCCAAAGGCAGCATTTATAGATTCAGGGATCAGCCAGGTCAGAATTATTTCCTTACATTGAATAGTCCAGGGTTGCAAGCATATTATTTTTATTCAGTAACATAGTAAATGAAATAGAAAGTCCATATGACAGTACTTCTCTCGTTAGCTGCACAATCACTCACCTTAAGCTGCAAAGTAGGCTTGCCCTGAATTTCTGCACAGAAGAGACAGAGATCTTTTCCCTTGATTCCCAGGTAAACCATATTACCCTTTTCCTTGTCACTGAATTCTGTGTCTCTACAGGCTATTAAATGAAGAGTGACTGGAAACACAAAGGAAAATGGAGAAGATGTTTCAGTCTTTCTGGTCTGACACTCAGTTACTCCCCCCAGGTAGGGAATAGTGACAGGCTCCTCCCATTAGCCATGTGGCAGAGACCCTCCATCACCCTCCTCAAACCTATTTTGTTTTTCGTCCTTAATAACAGAACCCCAGTTGTCACCAGGACATGTTGCTTCCCAAAAAGAAGTAAAATTTCCTACCACACTTGCAGCAAAATGTGGTCATATGCTTAAGATGTGGCCCATGAGATAAAAGTGGGGAGCTTCTATCTCATGGGCCACAATATGAGATGGGATGGGGGCTACCCAAATAAAGTGAGAGGTGGGTAGTGAGAATGTGATGGCAGTGGTCCAGGCAAGAGATGATGTTATCTTAGAAATCAGGCATGTTTTGCACGTAGACCTACCAATCTTTGCTAATAGATTGGATGGAGAGTGAGGGAAAGGAGGAATCAAGGATGTCTCCTGTATTTCCGGCTCGAGGAAATGGAGTGGACAGAAGTGCCACCAACAGAGAATGTTAGCGGTTTTGAGAAGACAGATCAATAGTCCCACTTGGGATACATGAAGTTAGAGGTATCTGAGAGGACCTCAAGAGGACACGGGTAAACTATTGAGAGAGGAGATCTGTGTTGGAAGTGTAAACGGCAGAGTGAATGAGTGTAGGGGTGATTCATCAATGCAAAAGATCAGCTCATTACCCATTCACAGGGCTTGTAAATGATGACTGGCTGAGCCCTGAGGAACGCCATCATTTGGAGATTTCAGAGACAAAGGAGAGTCATAAAAGAAAATGCAAAAGAGGAGCCAGCAAACCTCATGAGAAGTAATATTCTAATAGAAGGAGAAGATGGGCCAGGTGCGGTGGCTCACGCCTGTAATCCCAGCACTTTGGGAGGCTGAGGTGGGCGGATCACGAGGTCAGGGGTTCGAGACCAGCCTGACCAATGTGGTGAAACCCCATCTCTATTAAAAATACAAAAATTAGCTAGGCACAGTGGTGGGCACCTGTAATCCCAGCTACTCAGGAGTCTGAGGCAGGAGAATTGCTTGAAACCTGGGAGGTGGAGGTTACAGAGAGCTGAGATCGTGCCATTGCACTCCAGCCTGGGTGACAGAGTGAGACTCCGTTTAAAAAAAAAAAAGGGAGAAGATGTAGAGTATTCAAGAAGGAAATGGTCCATTACACTAGTGAGCTAAGGGCCAAATAGCATGGGGACCAAGAAGTGTCCTTTGGGTTTGAGTATTTGAAGGTCATGGGTGAAATAGAAGGTTGGGGGGGAGTAGGAAGAGTAATCCAGATGTTAGACTGCAAATTATGCAGCCAGCTCTCGTGAAGTTTTGCTATGATTGGCACAAGAAAATGTGTTAGTAGGAGGAAAATGTGGGAATCAAGAGAAGGTTGCAGCATGTCTGACAATGATAGAAAGGGTCCAGTAAACAAAGGTGGAATTTGCAGGGAAGCGAGGAATTAAACATTGAAGTTCTGGATACAGGGAAAGAAGCTGAGATGGACTGACTTTTGATGGGAGAAAGGAATATTTCCCCATTATTAGAAAAGAGGATGCCAACTTAGAAAGCTGTGTAGGTTTGGTGGTGGAAAGATGACGGAGTTTGAATCTGAGGACACAGGTAGCAATGGTTGGAACCTGAAGGAGAGAAACTCCAAGGAGAAGGTTAGCTGTTGTTTGAATGGATAAGCCCTTCTAATCTGAAGATATTTTCTTTTGGTAAGAGGAGCTGTCAACCCTTCACACCCTCATTTCTAGATATGGGATTTCCTTTGTGGAAGGGAATCATAGTGTCCTTTCTCACTTGACCTTCCTGTGGCTGTTGGGCTGGTGCCTAGAAGTGGGTGAGGTCCAGGGCCAGGCTTATGCAAGCTCAGCCTCATTCCTGGTGAAGATGGCATCACCTCAAGAAGCAACAGTGGGTTTGATTGTCACTCACCAGGCTTAATGCTGCGGCTAAGAGGAGCTGCTATTAAAGAATTTCCACTCAGGACCCACACCATCTGTCGAGAATCACGAATAGCATAGGATTTGGGTGCTGCCTCCCCTGCCAGATGACAAAAATGCACAAAATACACGTGAGGTTATCAACTTCAGGACTCCAGTTGCATCCTGGTATTAATGGCTTTTGAGTTTCTGGAGAGAGTCTCATTGCTCTGAGAAGTAGTGGCTATAACGATAAATGGAGGGGAAATAGGGCAGGGACTAGTTTGTGAATCAAAGCATTTGAAAGGATCTACGTGCAGTCACAGTCCCAAGATTCACCTTTTTCTAGGGCTATTAGTGACTTGTCTTTTTCCGAATGATAAAATGTCTAGGTGGTAAAAAAAACCCCATAATATT
This sequence comes from Homo sapiens, assembly GCF_000001405.40. Classification (NCBI taxonomy): domain Eukaryota; kingdom Metazoa; phylum Chordata; class Mammalia; order Primates; family Hominidae; genus Homo; species Homo sapiens. The sequence goes on from NC_000002.12 coordinate 113,031,452, forward strand.
TAAATTAGTTATCCATATGTTGTTTTTTAAAATCCTCTCATCAAAATAAACAAGCAATTCTAAATACAGATAATAATAAAAGAGCTAGGTGCCCCGAGATTTTCAAAGGCCGTTTTAGGAACTGAGTGTTTTAGCAAGAGCAAATACATTTATAGCTTAGCAAATGATAGGGGTCCTTCCATCCTATTGTCTTTGATGAGGTCAGATGGAGATATTTCCAAGCTGATTTGCAATTCACCACTTACGTTGTGGGTTCATGATGTCTTCAGAGCCTTTTGTGAAGAGAACAAGATAGATCAGATGGTGGTGAGGAGGCTGTTAACAGTTGGCCATGTGAGAGAAGGAGAGAAGAAACATGTTATGCTTTTTTCTCCTCTCCCCCTAAAATTTTACTGTAAAAATTCTTTAGAGAGAGCTGCCCTGAGAGCCTCTCCTAGATGCATATTTGAGAATAAGGATGGGTACAGGACATTTCAAGGCCAGAAAACCCTAAAAGGAAGCTCCCATCTCTGCTGTGGCTGGCACAGTCCTGCTTCTCTAGGCTGTGATGGTCTTGGTATGCTTTCCATTAATCACATCTGGGATTGTTAGGAGGTTCCAACACATCACCACGGGCACCTTCTAGTACTCTGAGTCTCTGGGTTGAGAGGAAGGAGGGAGAGACAGAGTGCGTGTGTGTGTCTGTGTGTGTGTGTGTGTGTGTGTGTGTGTGTGTGTGTATCTCCATTTTAGCCCTCCACACAGCAGGTTAATCACCACTTTTCCTGACTTGAAGCTGAACACTCCTAAGTAATTTGTAGCTAACCTGCCTCACTGAGCCCATCTTCTTCCATTCCTCATCCAAAGAGACATCTGTAAGGATCATGCACATGGCCACTGAGGGCCCCACAAGGTGCTTTGACTATTAGGGATCATCTGCCTCTGGTTTTCTAGTTAGGGCACCAGAACAGTCCCCAAGAATATCACAGACACTCCACAATGAGAACCAGTTGTTCACAACCCTCCTTCTCTCAGGATCCTTGATGTGTGATTCAATAGTTGTCCCTACACAGTGGATAAGCAGATCACCAACCTGCACCCTTGTAAGCAGCCCTGGATCCTTCAGTACTCTGTACCTTTGACAAGACTCCCAGAGGCACTTCGAGGCTAAACACAGAGACATGAAAGAAGTTCCCCATACCTGGGTTCTAAGCAGCAGAAGTTACCTTTAGCAAGAGATGCTTTTGTCCCTCGTTTCAAAGTCAAGGCTCTAGTTGCATGTAAGTGGTCTAGCTGCATGAAAAGCTGGTCCAGGACTCCCAGGCCCCTTAATGACCAAGGAAAGAGCATTCTTTCCTGCCCCTGGGTGTGTTCATTTTGGAAAGAAAGCTGATATGGCCCAAAGATCTCTTGAGGCTCTGGAGGACTGACAGTGGAGCAACACAAGCATGACTGGTCTGTGCTTCCTGATTAACAAGAGCAGAGGCAACATCAGAAAACAGCAATGAGGAAATGCGGATTAGGCCAGATGCTGAGTTGAGGAGAGTGCCTTTACTGGTCTTCCTTGGAGGCAGAGGTGTGTCTCCCTTGGAGGCAGAGGTGTGGCTCTCTTGACCCACTAAACTGCATGAAGCCATTGCTGTGTTTGCATCTGATGTTAGGCCAATCACAGTACTCCTTGCAGGAGTTTTACACACCCACCATGTCACATTTATATGGTACAAATATTGAGAGCTTATTCTGTTTCTGCTAAAGTTGTAAGAGCTTTACCTGAGTAACCTTTTAATCTTCACGCTACATTTACTTTTTTTTTGGAGATGGAGTCTCGCTCTCGCTCTGTCGCCAAGCTGGAGTGCAGTGGCACGATCTCGGCTCATGGAAACTTCCGCCTCTCAGGTTCAAGTGATTCTCCTGCCTCAGCCTCCCGAGTAGCTGGAACTACAGGCACCCACTGCCACACTGGGCTAGTTTTTTGTATTTTATATTTCAGTAGAGAAGGGGTTTCACTGTGTTGCCCAGGCTGGTCTCAAACTCCTGAGCTCAGGCAGTCCACCCGCCTCGGCCTCCCAAAGTACTAGGATTACAGGCGTGAGCCACTGCACCCGTCCCACACACAACTCTTTAGGGGCCATTAATTTTATTTCTCATGTAAGAAAACAGCGGCTCTGAGGGATGACAGAATGTACCCAAAGTCATACAGCTACTAAGAAATCTAGCCAAGTTAGAAGCCAAGTCTCTCTATTCTTAATGATTATGTGACATGCCTCCCCTGGGTCATAGTCTCCTGCATACTGCACTAGCCGGAACACAGTCTTGCATTCAGTTGAGGATACTGAAAAATCTATAATGTGTCCAGGAGAGGAGAGGAGAGAACTTGGAGGTCTTGTGGCTTTCTAACTCTGAATTAGGAGTCAGACGCGGCTTCAATGTTGGCTATGAAAGAAAATCATTACTCTTGAAACCGAATATTATTGGTCAGTCCTACTCCCAATCACTCTTTGTGGTTCTGCTCTTGGAAATCCACCATTGACTCTATCTTCTGGAGCATTGCAATAGTCTCCTTGCTTCTGTTCTTACCTCCCTAGAGTCAGATGTCCACCTAGCAGTGACCAGAATCAAAGATGTAAATAAAGTCGTATGACTCTCTTGCACAGAACCCTCTAATAGCTTTGCTTTATGCCCCAAATAACCAAAGCCCTCACCAAGCCCACATGATCTGGGTCCTCTTTATCTTTCTGCTGCCTTCTATCCCTGCCCATCTGACTTCCCTGCTCTGGATGTACTGGATTCTGCTGATTTTCTTGCCCTGCAAGCTTATCTTCGCCTGCAGGGAGTTTTTCCTGTTCCTCTGAAGGAACAGCCTTCCCCAGGTCAACAAGTGGTCCACTCCCTCGCTTCTTCCATGCATATGCAAAAAAGCCAACTTCTCAATAAGGTATTCCCCAGCCAGCCTATCTCCAAGAGTCCCTCACCCATGTCCTAGCCCCTTATTTTGCTCAACTATTTTCTTCATAAAATGTATGCTTCCATGGTTTTGGAAAATGTATTTATCCATCTATTTATTTATTTATTATCTCCACTACCAAAATGCCAGTTCTGTGGGGCCAGGGAACCTGTTTTGTCTTGAGGCCAGAGAACTATGTGCTCAGTGGCAGGAATGGTGCGGACCTCTTATGGGAACTAACAAATATTTTTTGATAAACAAATAAATGTATGTAGTATCTCATGAATAAGAGGAAGACAGGGAAGAGAAAAGGGGAGTGGGATGCTTTGTAGGAAAGGCATCACTTGTGGTGAGAGGTGAGTTCTTGACCTCCTCATGGAGAAGGGCCAGGGGATGCTCTCCTATCGCCAGGATGGAGCCTCCCAAGAGAATCACTCAAACAGTCAGTGGGACTGGCAGCTTTGCCCCCATCTGGATGACTGGCACACCTAGAGACCCACAGGCTCACCTTGGCTCCTTGGCCAGGGCAGTGTGTGGTGAGGGAGTTCAGGGAGACCCTGATGTGATTTTACTGAAGTGTGGTGTACTCTAGAGATACAGACAAGGCTCTAACCTTCCCAGCACCAGCAGAGCCTAAAGAAACTATGGGGTCACATTCCTTGGAAGAACTTGGCAGAAACTCCCACCCCAACTCAGAACTTTTAGACATTTAAAGTGTGGAAGACTGAAGGCTCTCATGACTCCATGCAAAGAAGCCAGTGGTTGGCAGAAGGGTTGGAACCATGAGATTTTCCCCAAGGGATCAATGGGTCAAGTGATAGGATGTCCAACCATGAAAAGAATTTGAATCTGGGATCTATTCAGGTCCTGAGAGTGCTTAATGATGAAGACAGACAGGGTGACACTGATGGTCAGTCACCCTGTCCAAGAAACTACACACACGGTGTACTGAAATAAAATGAAATCAGACTGTACCAGAAACTGTGGGAACCCCTCCCTCTGCAAACCCAAAGCCAGTGCTGCAAGAACTCTGCCTTTCCTGTGCTTTTTCTTGGCCCCTAACATCTCAGCACTGGTAGGGGTACATGATCCATTCGCCTATGCCCACCATCTTGAGAAGCTCTTCTGAAAAAAAAAATAATAATAGCAACAAGAAAGTTGTGAAGTTTGGCAGGGATGTTGTTAGAGGACCTGATATCCAGTGAGAAAAAAAGCAAGTGAATATAGCAACATCGAAAGTAGAAATTAAAGAAGAAGAAAAGGAAAAAACAAAAATATTTTGATGTTTATACCTAGATGACTTGATGGTAAATAAATGGGTGAGATAAATAAATGAGTTAGAAACAGAAATAGATTAAGAAGAAGGCAATCCCAAGAGTCATGGAATAATGGCTTCACCCAGGGAGGAGGTGTGAAGATTCCCAGGATGAAGCTGTGTCTCTGACATAGACAATGCCTTTCCTGACTGATCAGAGGATTGAGATAAAAGAAGGGAAGTGGTTGCCTCAGGAGAGTAGGATTTGGTGGGGAAGAAATGGTCAGGGCTCTGTTGTTGGTAATTTTGCACTTTTCGATTCTTTTGTTTTTTTCTTTTCTTTTGCTCTGTCGCCCAGGCTGGAATGCAGTGGCGCGATCTTGGCTCACTGAAACCTCCGCCCCACCCGGGTTCAAGAAATTCTCCTGCCTCAGCCTCCCAAGTAGCTGGAGTTACAGGCATGCACCACCACACCTGGCTAATTTTTGTATTTTTTTTGTAGAGATGAGTTTTGCCATGTTGGCCAGCCTGGTCTTGAATTCCTGACCTCAAATGATCTGCCTGCCTCTGCCTCCCAAAGTGCTGGAATTCAGGCGTGAGCCAGCGTACCAGGCCTGATTCTATATTATTTTTAAAGCAATATACATGTGTTGTTATAAAAAAAAAGATTAAAACTAATTAGTCACGTTCCATGCCCTCATTTTATTTATCTGAAAACACCTTGCTTTTTTTTTTTTTTTCATGAAGTGGGTGCTGAGTCTCCTTTAAGGAGATAAATATAGGAAACTTAGGAGGGCTTATTCAGACACACCCCATGGCATCTTTTCTCTTTTTGCTCAGAGAGAAAAACCAAATATCTGATGAATGCAGCTGAGGGCATCCAACCCTTGATATGAAGCTCAGTTTTCATTCCCAGGTTGGAGATTCTGCCTCAGTCTCTGTCCTTCTGGTGACAAAGTCAGTAATGAGCAGGAATTTCCTCTTCCTGCCCCCAGGAAGAACACATTTCTGTGGGTGCTAAAATAGCTTAATTCCTGGATAGGCCAAACTCAGGCCTTCAGAAGCCTGTGAGGCATAGAATAAATAAGCATTTGATCCTGCCCAGAGCGCCTTATCCTGATTCTTTAAGCTGAGAGCCCAGATATTCCTTTCCTGGTGTGAAGGTAGGTGGATGATGTCGGAGGCCCAGCCTTGGTGATTCAGCCAGTCAGAAGGGACTGCATCTGAGCCAGACAAAATCTAGGACGGCACTGCCCTGTGTAGCCTGCCTATCTTGCCTGCATCCTGCCTGCAGGGAATTTGCGCTGCTCCGATTCTCCAGTCTGGGGAATGTAATAGAGTCACAGTAACTGTGGTAGCACAAGTGCTAAGATCCAGTCGAAACTATGGAGTTGAGGGAACCTTGGCTCTGAATTTCTCCTTTGACTCTTAGGTGCGCTCAGAAGTGCTTAAGAACCAGGTGGCCGCTCCCTCTGTACCTTCCCATGATGAGCGTGAGCATCTGTGTGGATCAGCGACCACAGTTGGAGGTACCTATGGCTCTCAACGTCCACGAGGCTGTGTGTCCACCTATCCATGTCCTTCCGTGTCACAGGCCCCAGGGATGTTCCCAGCATAAAGTCACTTTCCTGTTACTTGGAGTTCAATGATACTCCTTTGTGGATTCTCTGGAACAGAATAGAGAGTACAACTTTGTGGCTTTTTTAGAAGAGCCAGCTCATTTAGAAAATCCAATTGAGGCTGGGTGTGGTGGCTCACACCTGTAATCCCAGAACTTTGGGAGGCCAAGACAGGCGGATCACCTGAGGTTGGGAGTTTGAGACCAGCCTGACCAACATGGAGAAACCCCATCTCTATTAAAAATACAAAATTAGCCAGGCGTGGTGGCACATGCTTGTAGTCCCAGCTACTCGGGAGGCTGAAGCAGGAGTATTGCTTGAACCCAGGAGGCGGAGGTTGCGGTGAGCTGAAATCACGCCACTGCACTCCAACCTGGGCAACAAGAGCAAAACTCTATCTCAAAAAAAAAAAAAAATCCAAATGGTCTATACTTTCTGATTTTGTACAGTCTTTATACCATAATATGAATGATAGAGGAGTTTTCTATATCCTTATGATTGTCCTTTAATATTTTCTGTCATTTTGTACACATGTAAGTACTTTTTAGGCAATTGGCCTTAATAACCATCAGATTCTATGCTGTAGAGGTAAATTCTCATCAAATTATATACTACATTTTACGTGTTGATTTGAAATTAGGTCAGATTAATTAAAGAAGTGGGTGGCTGATACTACTAAATTTGCATAGATAATTTGTGTGTCTTTCTTTAGTTTAATTTATGCTTCACAATTAGGGCAGATCTGAATAACAGGAGTTTTTGACGAGCATTTGACGCTGACATTTGAAGTCTGGTAGTACTGCTCCTCCTTAGGTTAAATTATAGCTTCAAGGTCCTTCCCTGGAATTTACAAAACCTTAAGTGGGACTGAGATATTTCCAGAGAACAGATTGTACTGATAATTTGGGCCAGGAGGTAGTTTGGGATCTGGGCTTTTCACTTTCCAGACAGGGATGATGCTTTTCTTCTTGCTACAAGTTGTTGAAAGAGAGGCCTTCTGAGAACAGGACCCCTGGACCAGATCCTCACTCCCAGTTCCAGAGTGCTCCTCACTGCTGACTGGGCTCAGACATCTGCCCAGTGTCTAGTATGGTCATTCTGGACCAGACTTCATCCTGTGCCACTTCTATTTCTGTGAAGATAGATGAGCCTTCATACTAGGAAGTCTGAAATGGTTCTAGGTTTTTCCCATTTGCTTTCAGCAAATCTCTCCTTCATGCTTCCTCTTTAGAAGGTCCAGTTTCGAAAAGTAAGTATTTCCTGGTGGGAGATCTCAAGCGCAGCTGTGACTGCTGGTTGCTCCACTGTGGTAGTTTGTGCAGAGTGAGATGTGCGGTTCTGGGTGACATCCCCAAGTCTCAGTCCAATTTGGCCACACACTGAGGAGGTTGGTTAATGTAGGGGCAGATACAGAATAGTAATGACTTCAAGCCTGAAGCTCAGATGGCAGGCTGTGGGGTTAGTTACTTTTGGAAGGTATAATCCCAGAGAGCTGAGAGAAGATGTAAACTTCATGGCTTCAAGGACTAGTGGTAGGAGAGGGAGACAAAGAGACAGAGATGAGGATAAAAGATTGAGCTGCAGAGCCAATCATTAATTCAGAGACATCCTGGAGAGAGGCTGTCCTCTCAATGCCTGATCTCCATCTATGCTTGTTTTAGGTGATGGGTTCTACAGTGAGTGACTCAGTGGGAGACTGTCAGTTTCAGACTGGATTAACCATGTTTTCCCATGTCCCTTTCTCACCAGAGTGAAGGCAAGTCGTCGTGGGTTCTGTCCTTTAAGTTTAAGGGATGAGAAGGAAGGAAAAGTAGGTTGGCCTTGGATTTCTGCATCCAGCCTCCTCTCTCTAGATTGGGATATCAGCATAGTCCAGGTTGGCCCCTGGATATGAGACTCACTCTGGTCATCTTGGGAGTTCAAGGATATAGTCGGTGTCTGCTGTGAGGGATGAGACAGGCACAGAGCACTGGAACCTGCTCTTGCTTGACCCCTCACTAAGACAATTATAAGACAAAAAGATCCCCAGGGTGTCCCAGTCACAAAACTCAGGGAACACCCAAAGAGGGAAAAACCAAATACTCCAGGAAGTGGCCACTATCCCACCCCTGCAACCACCCTCACCGTGGCACAGTTCCCTGGCTTAAAGTACTGATTAACTTTGTGTTTAGTTAAGTCAAGGAGAACTGATAAAATAGAGTTTACAATATTACAGTCTTAGGCTCACACTGATTTCTCATCTGAAGAGGCCTAGAAATAAATATACTAGCCATTATGTATTAAATTAATGGAGAGTATATAACTTCCAAACTAGAGGGGAGGATGAACAAAGGAAAAACAAACAAAACCACCTTACTCAATCCAGTTGAAGCCATAAAGGGAAGGAGAAACAGGAACAGAAAAAGAGGTATCAGGAAAAAAAGCAAAGAAAAAATTAAAGCATGGTAGGAATAAATCCACATATTTCAGAAACCACAGTCCATTTAAATGAATTTAATTCTCCATTAAAAGAGACCTTCTTAAAACAGAAAGGCACGAGTTTATTTTTGTGTCACTGAGTTGGCTTGTATTGGATCAGGACTTTTACAAAAACAGCTATAAGACCTGGGTCAGATAGCGAAGGGAAACTGCTGACATCGGTGAATAAGCATAAGACAAGGCATGCAGGCAGATCCTGGAGGGAGTAGTCACTCGGGGAAAATCATCTGCATGGGTCAATTTCCCATTTTTGAAAGTTTCGTAAGGTGGGCAGGCTGAAGTTGCACAGTGTAGAAAATCCAATAGTCTTTCTTGAAGAATAAGGGAACAGATGTGACTCCACATCAAGAATAAAGATCATCAATGAAGACCAATGCTGAAATTGTCCAGACAAGAATTGTAAAGCAGAACTACATTAATGGAATAAAGGAGAAATGCCACCTAAATCTTTTAATAGACAAAGTATTAGGCCAAAGGTAACATCTACTTAGGATATAAACTCCCAGCAAACTAGGAATAGAAGAAAACTTCAACATGTTAAAATAGTGCCCAAGAAAAAAAAGTCTACAGCTCATACTTAATGGTGAAAGAATTGATTTTTTTCCCTAAGATTCATAACAGGTCAAGAATGTTTGCTTTTTCCACTTTTGTTCAACATCGTATTTGAAGTCCTAGTCATTTTGAGAAGTCTGCTAAAAATACACAAGAAATAGAAATCAGAAAATAAGTAAAACTCTCCTCAAATAATATGATTGTTTATATAGAAAATCCTAAGAAATCCACATAACAACTACTAGAACTAATAAGTGCAAGGCTGGAGGATACACTATTTTTTATAGAAAAGTTAACTGTATTTTTATATACTGGCAGCAGGCTATCAGAAAATGAAAGCAAAAATCAAATCCATTTACATAGCATCAAAAACTTCAAATACTTAGGAATAAATTTAACAAAGTATATAAAAGACCTGTGCACCAAAAACTACAAAGTGTTACTGAGAGAGATTAAAGAATACCTAAATAATTGAAGGTATATACCATGTTTATGAATTAAAAGACTGAATATTTTTAAGATGTCAGTCTATGGATTCCATGACATCTCTACCATAATAGCACTAGGCTTTTTTTTTGGTTGAAATTGCCAAGCTGGCCAGTCATAGTGGCTCACGCCTGTAATTCCAGCACTTTGGAAGGCCAAGGTGGGAGGATGGCTTGAGCTCAGGAGTTTGTGACCAGCTTGGGCAACTTAGCAACACCCTGTCTCTAAAAAAACACAAAGATTAGTGGGGCATGGTGGCTTGCGCCTGTGGTCCCAGCTACTTGGGAGGCTGAGGCAGAAGGATGACTTCAGTCTGCGGAGGTTGAGACTGCAGTCAGCCGAGATTGAGCCACTGCACTCCAGCCCTGGGTGACAGAGCAAGACTTTGCCACACACAAAAAAAAAGGAAGAAGAAAGGAAAGAAAATGCCAAACAAGCTTGGAGAAAGATGATCCAAGAAATCACTATCTGTACCACAAAATGACAAAAATCAAGACAATGTCTTACTAGCAGCATGAGGAGTGATAAATAAAACAATCAAATCGAATAGAAAGCCTATATGCCAAAGTGATCCAGTGGGAGAAAGAGATACCTTTTAAACAAACAGTGCCAGAACAATTAGATATCCATGAGAAAATATGAATCTCAAACCCTACCTCACACATAATACTGAAAATTTAATCGAGGTGAATTACAGACCTAAACATGAAAGCTAAAACCTTAGCGCTTTTAGAGAAAAAAGGCTAATATTTCTTAAACTTGAGGGTGAGCAAAGGTTTCTTAGGCAGATCTCAGAAAGAAATAACCATGAAAGAAATAAAGATTAAACTAGACATTGTTAAAATAAAAACTTACTTATTAGGCTCATCAAATGACACTGTTAAGGAAACAAGTAGCAAGTCACAGACATATATCTGATCAACAACTGATATTCAACATATATAAAGAACTGGTATAATTGACAAATAAAAAGTTAAGCAATCTAATTTTTTTAGAGACAGGGTCTCACCTATGTTGCCTAGGCTGGAGTGCAGTGGCTATTCACAGGTGCAATCACAGTGCAAGGCAGCCTTGAACTCCTGGGCTCAAGAGATCCTCCTGCCTCAGCCTCCCGAGTTAACAATCTAATTTTTAAAATGGGCTGGCTTTCTGGGATGATGGTGACGAGGTCTCAGTGCCTGGAAAGGGGGTGGCATTACCCTCAAGGATGCTGGGAGGCTTTTTCCAGGGAGCTGACAGTAGTGACAAAGGACATCTGATATGGAACATCAGGGGAAAGAGAGCAGGACTTCACCTCATAAGGACAACCACTAGGAGGTGCCTCTGACACCAGCCATGGGTTTCAGCACCTGAAGTGTTTTAAGGGCTGTATCTGAGGCACCTGTTCATTCACCTGTCACCCTATGTTGTCGTATCCAGAATGGAACCTCTATTAGGGCAGGAGTCGTCTTGCCTTTCCGAGCTTCTCACTATTCAGGGACACATAATAGGTCATTCCTAGAATGCCTAAGCTAGCTATATCCCTTAATCCTGCACTCAGGGTTTGAAAAAAATTTAACTTTATTGAGGAATAATTAGCACACAATAAACGGCGCAAAATATACAATTTGATAAGTTTTGACATATGTCTATGTTTGTGAAACCATCATCAAAATTAAAATCATGAACATATTCACCATCCCCCAAAGAGTCTTCATGTCTCCTGGAATCTGTCCTTCCCTCCCATCCCCCGTCCTATTCACCAGGAATCTACAGATCTGCTTTCTGTCACTATAGGTTTGTTTTCATTTGTTTTGTAATTTTATATAAAGGGGATCCCCCAGTATATAATTGATTTTGTCTGGCTTCCTTCACTCAGTGTACTTTCCTTGAGATCCATTCAAGTTGTTCCAATAGTCATTCCTTTTAATTGTCCTCCATTCAGTTTTTAATAGAAATTTGGTTTCTTCCACTTTTTGGCTATTACAAATAGAGCTACTATGAACATTGATGTACAAGTCTTAGTATGGACATATGCTTTCTTTTCTCTTAAATTAATACCTAGAAGTGGAATGGCTGGATCATAGGGTTGGTATATGTTAACTTTAACAGAAACTACCTTTTTTTTTCATTTTACATTTTCATCACTATTATGTGAGAGATCTGGTTCTCTAATATTCTCACCAAGACTTGGTATAGCTAGTCTTTTTAATTTTAGCAATAGTAATAGGTAAGCAATACTAATAGCTCATTGCTATTTTATTTGCAGTTTCCCAATGACTAATTATATTGAACATCTTTTTGTAGGCTTTTTGTTTTGGTCATCTGTATATATTATTTGATACAAATATCTGTTCTAAGTTTTTGCCCATTTTAAAAATTGTCTTTTTTGTTTCCTTTTTATTAAGTTTTGAGAGTTCTTTATATACTGTGGATACAAGTCCTTTCTCAGATATATACATTACAAGTATTTTTCCCAGTCAGTGACTTCTCTTTTCATTCTCTGAATAGAATCTTTCAAAAAGAAATTTTTGTTTTTAATAAAGTCAAATTTAGCAATTTAAAAAATCATACGTACCATAATTTCTCACTGTATCTAAGAAATCTTTGCTTAATAGAATGAAAAAGGTTTCTTCTATGTTTAATTATGAAGCATTGTAGATTATGTTTTCCATTTTGATTTATGATCAATTTTGAATTATTTTTCCATATGCTGCAAGAAATGGATCATAATTCACCTTTTTGTTGTCATTATATGAATATCTCATTGATTTGTCACCATTTGTTGAACATGGTATTTTTTTCTCCACTGATTGTATTTGTTGTTGTTGTTTTTAAGACAGAGTCTTGCTCTGTCGCCCAGGCTGGAGTGCATGGCACGATCTCAGCTCTCTGCAACCTCCGCTCCCCAGGTTCAAGCAATTCTCTATCTTCCAAGTAGCTGGGATTACAGGCATGCACCACCACACCCAGCTAACTTTTGTATTTTTAGTAGAGAAGGGGTTTCACCATGTTGGCCAGGCTTGTCTTGGACTCCTGACCTCAGGTGATCCGCCCACCTAGGTCTCCCAAAGTGCTGGAATTACAGGTGTGAGCCACTGCACCCAGCCACACTGGTTGTATTTGTATGTTTGTTGAAAATCAGTTGTTCATATATGTGTAAGTCTATTTCTGGACTCTATCCTTTTTCATTGACCTATTTGTCTATCTTTTTGCCAATGCCACATGTAATAATCAGCATGTCAATTTCTTTAATAAAAGCCTGCTAGGATTTTGACTGGGATTGTATTGGATCTACAGGTCAAGTTGGGGAAAATTCACTTTTTAATAATATTGAATCCTCTGACCCTTGAGGAAGGCATATCGTTCTGGCTTTTTGGGCCTTTCAAAAACTTTCTTTTAGCAATATTTTAAAATTTTCAGTGTGTCAGTGTACTGTTAATCATTGTGAAATAAACTTCTTATCCTTGGCAATATTCTTTATTCTGCAATTTACTTTGATATATCTATATCTATATGTGTGTGTGTGTGTGTGTGTGTGTGTGTGTGTGTGTGTGTGTGTGTGAATTTAGAAACATTGCTCTGTTGCCCAGGCTGGAGTACAGTGGCATGATCATTAGTTCACTGTAGCTGTGAACTCCTGAGCTCAAGTGATCCTACCACCTCAGCTTCTGGAGTAGCTGGGACTACAGGCATGTGCCACCATGTTCAGCTATTTTTTTTATTTTTTGTAAAGACAAGGTCTCACTATGTTGCCCAGGCTCACTTTGTCTAATATTAATATAGCCACTCCAACTTGCTTTTTATTGGTGTTAACATGGTATATCATTTTCCATCATGTTCCTTTTAGCATAATTGTGTCTTTACCTTTAAAGTGCACTTCTTGTTGGTAGCATCTAGTAAAGTTTTGCTTTTTAATTCAATCTGACAATCTTTTAATTGGAGTGTTTAGGCTATTTATATTTAATGTTGCTATTGCTGTGGTTAGGTTCAAGTCTACCATCGTGTTATTTGTTTTCTATATTTGTCATCAGTTCTTTGTTCCATTTTTTCCTGAGTCCTTTTGGATTACTTGAACATTTTCTGATTCAATTTTATCTCCTCTGTTAACTTACTAGTGATTACTAATTATTTTGTTGTTTGAGTAGTTGATTTAGAATTACAGTATCCATCTTTAATTTGTCACAGTCTCCCATAGTAAAATAATATACTTTCATTTCTCCCCTCCTAAACCATATCCTATTTTTGTCATTCGTTTTACTTATATATATGTTATAATCCTAATGATACCTTGTTATTGTTTTTTAAATAATTATCTTTTAAAGGGATTTAAATATTAAGTTAAAAATCTCACATATGTATAAATATAGTTATCATTTCTGGAGCTTATTTTCTGTATTAAAATTCTTATTTCCATACAGTATTATTTTCTTTCTGTGTGTGTCTGAAAAGACATTTATTTCATCTTAATTTTGAAAGATTTTTTGCTGGTTATAACCGCAAAAGCATAATTGACAATGTTTTTTTCAGTAGTTCAAATATGTTGCTCTACTGCTTTCTCACTTGTATTGATTCTGACAAAAAATCTGCCGTCATCCTTCTTTTTATGTATTTGTATGCATTGTGTCCTTTTTCCTCCAGCTACTTTTAAGATTTTCTCAGTATCACTGGTTTTGAGCAATTTGTTTATGATTTTGCTGCTGTAGTTTTCTTCATATTTCATGTGCACGGGGTCATCAATCTTCTTGAACCTGTGTTTATGGTTTTCATGAAATTTAGAAAATATTTGGCTAACATTTGAAAAAAATCTTTGTTCCCACCATCCTCTTTTCCTTTAAAAATTCCATATATTAGGCCCCTTGAATTAGTCCCATATATCACTGATTCTCTGTTCTTGTATGTGTCGTATGTCCTTTTATTTTTATTTTTCACTTCATAATTTATTTTGGAACATTTCTATTTCGATGTCCTCAAATTCACTAATAATTTCTTCTGTATGCTAATTTCATGTAGTGTATATTTCATTCCAGACATGGCAGTTTTTACATCTTGGAGTTTGACTTGAGTCTGTTTTAAGCTCTTTCATGTCTCTACTTAAATTATTAAATATACAGAATTTAGACATAACATTTTAATGTGTATTTGTTCATTTTAACATCTGTATCAGTTCTGGGTTGGCTTTGATTAATTTTTCTCCTCATACTGTGTCTGAATTTCCTGTTTCTTTGCCTTTCTTGTAAGCGTTGGATGTCAGACACTGTAATTTTACTGTGTTAGCTGCTAAGTACTTTTTTAATACATAATAATGCATTCTTACTTTGGAAAGCTTTCAAATTTACAGAAAAAGTGCAAAGATTGTGTATTAACATTTTACATTTGTTTTGCATACATGTTACAATGAATACACCAATATTGATACATTATTATTATATAAAGTTTATATTCTGGTTTCTTCAGGTTTTTTCTTTTTTTTTTTTTTTTTTTGAGACGGAGTCTGGCTCTGTCACCCAGGCTGGAGTGCAGTGGCACCATCTCGGCTTACTGCAAGCTCCACCTCCCGGGTTCATGCCATTCTCCTGCTTCAACCTCCTGAGTAGCTGGGACTACAGACTCCCGCCACCACGCTCAGCTAATTTTTTGTATTTTTAGTAGAGACGGTGTTTCACCATGTTAGCCAGTATGGTCTCGATCTCCTGACCTCGTGATCCGCCCACCTCGGCCCCCAAAGTGTTGGGATTACAGGCGTGAGCCACCGCGCCTGCCCTCTTCAGTTTTTATCTAATATCCTTTTTTTGTTCCACCATTCCATCAAAGATAAGACTTTTAGTCACCATGTCTCCTTAGACTCCTCTTTGCTATAAAAATTTCATAGGCTTTGTTTGTTGTTAATGACGGTTTTGAGGAGTACAGTAAATAGATTCGGATTTGTCTGATGTTTTTCTTATGATTAGACTAGGGTTATGGGTTTGGGGGAGGGAGATCACAGAGATAAAATGCTATTTTTATTATATATCATATCTAAGGTACATACTGTCAACATAACTTATTACTGCTGATGTTAATCTTACCTGGCTGAGATAGTGTTCATTAGGTTTCTCCACTGTAAAGTTACTCTTTCACCCCCATTTCCATACTATATTCATTACAGAGAAGTTACTATGTGTAGCCCACACTTAGAGCCTGAAGGTTATGTTGTAATTTCTTGAGAGTTGGATAGCTAAATAAATAATTTGGAATTATTTTGCATGGGAGATTAGTCTGTCTTATTTATTTATTTAGTCAGCTGGTGCTCACTGATATTTGTTTTATGTTTTAAATTATAATCCAGTGCTACTTTATTTATTTTGCTACTTAAGTTGTTCCAGCTTTGGCCATTGGAAGCACTTTTATTTAGCTCCTGTGTTCCTTTGACATACCAATCACTGTGGATTTTTTTAAGTATTTCCTTACTTTTTGTTACAACAACATGCTTAGGCTGCTCTTGTGTATTTTCTGTGCCCGTCCCAAATTCAGCCATTTTGCCAAGGGTGTTGGGTACTTTTGTATTACAGGTTGAGTATCCCTGATCCAAAAATTCAAAATTAGAAATGCTTCAATTAGCATTTCTTACGAGCATGACTTTTGAGTGTCATGTTGGTGCTCAAAAAGTTTTGGATTTTGAAAGATTTCAGATTTTGAATTTTGAGACTAGGGAGGCTCAACTTGTACTATGAATATTCTTGAGCTTAATTCCGTAGTGTAATTAAGGCTCTTGGCAAGAATTTGATCCATTTGGGACTTGATTTTAGGATTTGATAGGTTGAACCTGAGAAGCATTTAGTTTAGGTCTAGTTATTTTCCATTACTTAAGCAAGATCCTTCTGAATACTGTAACCAATGCCTTGGGAATGATAAGGTTTTCCAGGCCAGACAGTGGGAACAGGTATTGTGACCTTTGAAATGTTTTTATCCCCAGCCTTGTGGATAATGACAATGATAATGCAAAGTGTAGAAAGAAAGAATTGGAAATATATTGTTGTAAGGTCCTTGTGGTAGACTTAAAGTGGTATAAAAAAATTAAAGGTAGACTTTAATTAAGAATATGTATTGGAAGCCCTGGACTAACCAATATAAATATATAATGGTATAATTAATAAGTCAATAAAAGAGATAAAATGGAATAATAAAAAATGTTAACTCAGGAGAAGACAGAAGAAGAAAAATAAATATAAAACAGATGGAACACATAGAAAACAGCAAGATGGTAGATATTAATCCAACCATATTAATACTCAAATTAAATGTAAGTGATAAAAACACGCCAGGTAAAAGACTGAGATCGTCAGATTGGATAAAAATGCAAGATCTAAATATATAGCGTCTGTAAGAAACCCTCTTGAAATATAAAACTGTAGACAGTTTAAAGGTAAGAAGGTGGAGAAAGATGTATCATGCAAATACTAATCACTTGAATCACTTGAGATCAAGAGTTCAGCCTGGCCAACATGGTGAAACCCTGTCTCTACTAAAATACAATTGTAATTGTATTAAATTGTAAAAAATACAACAGTTAGCCAGGCATGGTGGCATGCACCTGTAATCCCAGCTACTCAGGTGGCTGAGGCAGGAGAATTGCTTGAACCCGGGAGGCGAAGATTGCAGTGGACTGAGATCTCGCCACTGCTCTCCAGCCTGAGTGACAGAGTGAGACTCTGCCTCAAACAAAAAACAAAAAACACCCCCAAAATTATAGCTAAATTTGTGGGATACAACTAAATCATGCTTGGAAAAATAGCATAAATGTTTAGAAAAGAAGAAAGACGTCAAATTAATAATTTGAGATTCCACCTGAAGGTACTAGAAAAAGGAGTAAAACAAGCTCAAAGCAAGGAGTGGGAAAGAAATTTATAAGATCGGAGCAAAAATCAATAGAATTGATTGCAGAAAGCAGTAGAGAATATTAATGAAGCTAAAATCTGATTATTAAAAAATCAAGAAAAATGAGAGGAGACTAATTACCAGTTTCATGAATAGAAGAGGGACATCACTACTGATTACACATACTTTAGAAGGGTAATAAGAGGATACTACAAACAAATTTATGCCCATAAATTTAACATCTTAGATAAAATGGACCAACATTTGGAAAGCCAAACTACTAAAACCCACAGAAGAAGTAAGTAACCTGAGTAATCCCATTTCTATGAAAGCAATTGAATTTATTTTAAAAATGTTTAATAATTTAAAATATGCTAGCTATTGTTCTTCTTAATGATGATGAAGAGGAAGCATCACACAATAATGATACTGATGATGGCAGTTGTGTTGGTGGGTGATGATGGTGATGGTGGAGCAAGTGGTGATGGTGCACATGCAAAAGAATGAAATTAGACCCTTATCTTATACCACATAAAAACATCAACTCAAAATGAATCAAAGACCTAAATGAAAGTTAAAGCCCTTAGAAGAAAACATAGGGGAAAGCTTTATCACATTGGATTTGGCAATGATTTCTTGCATATAGCACCAAAAAATAGGCAACAAAAGCAACAAAAGAAAAAATGGATACATTGGACTACATCAAAATTTAAAACTTCTGTACCTCAAATGACACTATTAATAGTATGTTAAGGTAACTCAGGGAATGGGAGGAAATAGGTGAAAGTCATATAAGGGGTTGACATCTAGAATATATATAGAACTCCTGTAACTCAACAACAAAAAAGCAAATAGCCCAGTTAAAAAATGGTCAAATGACTTGAGTAGACATTTCTCCAAATAATATATACTAATAGCCAATAAGCACATGAAAGGGTGCTCAACATCCCTAATAATTAGGAAAGCGTAAATCAAAACCACAATGATATACTGCTATTTCACACCCATTAAGATGGTTGCTATTAGAAAAAAATAGAAAATAACAAGTGTTGATGAGAATGTGGAGGAATTGGGTGGGGCGTGATGGCTTATGCCTGTAATCCCAGCACTTTCGGAGGCCGAGGTGGGCGGACCACCTGAGGTCAGGAGTTTGAGACCAGCTTGGTCACCATGGTGAAACCCTGTCTCTACTAAAAATACAAAAGTTAGCCAGGCATGGTGGCGTGCACCTGTAATCCCAGCTACTCAGGAAGCTGAGGCAGGAGAATCACTTGAACCTGAGAGGCAGAGGTTGAAGTGAGCTGAGATCACGCCACTTCACTCCAGCCTGGGCGACAAGAGTGAAACTCCGTCTAAAAAAAAAAAAAAGAATGTGGAGAAACTGGAACCCTTGTGCACTGTTGGTGGGAATGTAAAATGGTGCAACCACTGTGGAAAACGGTATGGTTGTTCCTCAAAAACTTAAACATAGAATTATCCATATGATCCAGGAGTTCCACCTCTGGGTATATTCACAAAGAATTGAAAGCAGAGACTTGAAAAGCTATTTGAACACCCATGTTCATAGCAGCATTATTCACAATACCCAAAAGGTGATGGCAACCCAAGTGTCCATCGACAGATGAACGAATAAAGAAAATGTGGTACACACACCACACAGCCTTAAAAGGAATGAAGTTCTGATACATGCTACAACATGGATGAATCTTGAAAGTAAACTCAGTTAAGTGAAATAAACTAATAACAAAAAAAAAAAAATACCGTGTAATTCCACGTATATGAGGCGCCTAAAGCAGTCAAATTCATAGAGATGGAAAGTAAAATGGTGGTTGCCAGGGGCCGCTGGGGAGAGGGGAGTGAGGAGTTATTGTTTTGTAGGTACAAAATTTCTGTTCTGCAAAACGAGAAGAGTTCTGGAGATGGATGGTGGTGATGGTTGCCCAACAATGTGAATGTCCTTAATGCCACTGAACTGTACACTTAAAAATGGTTAAAATGGTAATTTTTATATTATGTATATCTTACCACATTTAATAATAACAATTTAAAGATATATCAAAAGAGGCAAATGTGCAGACATCTATCGAATAAATAAGTTATCAAAAACAGCAAAAAGGGACAGATAATAATAATAAAAAAAGATAGTTTCTGTTTTTGAGGAGCCCACGAAAGCCACACATCACTGAGAAAGCCGAGGAGAGCTGGGGCTTTCTCAGGGGTAGCCCTGGTGCAGCTCCCTTGCCTCGTCTAGTCCTGCTTTAGATGCTCGCTACTCGGGTGAGGGCTGCAGATCCTTGTGGAAAGAGACAGAAAAAGAGGAAGAGAGCTTGAATTGGAGGCCGTGCCTCTCAGCGTGGCCTCCCGATCCTTGAATCGGAGGCCGTGCCTCTCAGCCTGGCCTCCTGATCCTTGAATCGGAGGCCGTGCCTCTCAGCGTGGCCTCCCGATCCTTGAATCGGAGGCCGTGCCTCTCATCGTGGCCTCCCGACCTAGCCTGGTGGAGAGCGCCCCCTGCCGGTAGATCCTGGCCCGGCACACTGAGAGCGGCAGGCCCCGCCGGAGGGGCCAGCGCAGGACCGGGGAGAATGGAGCTCAGCCAGTGCCTAGCCCTGGGTTTATTTCCAGTTTCCTGCTGGAGAGCAATGGTCAAACTACACAGTCCGGCGGAGGCGAGTCCGCAGGCTCTGGAAGCCTCTGAGGCACAGACGAGGAAAGCGCCTGAATGTGGATCTGGGGTACAGAAGTTGCCGGTGGCTCTGGCCCTGTTCATGGGACTCAGTCAGCAGAAACTGTGGGTGTGACACACACCGGAGCCTCACCTGCCCTGTGGACTGCCCACACTCTCTCTCAGAGCCTCACCTGCCCTGTGGACTGCCCACGCGCTCTCTCAGATCCCGGCCTGTGCACCTGGCCCTTCCCCAGCCTCCCAGGCAGAGGGTGCCACGGGGCTGAGGGCAGGCAACAAAGCCACTGGCCTCTGGCTCAGCACCCAGCTGCAGCCCTGTGGATCCTGGCCCACAGCCTCCCCATGACTTCACTGGCATCCAGGGTTTCTCGAAAGCGCTATGAGCCAAGTGGTACCCTTCCCCTCTGATGTGGCTGGGTTGGAGAGGGAGTCCTGGATGCAGCTGGAGGTCCCCTTCTGCTCACGGCTCCCTGGAGGCTGTGTCTGTGCATGCACACCATCACTCCTACTCCAGGAAGGACTTTCACGGATGTCCTCAGCTACCAAAAGTCACTCCAGGGAGTGATAAATTCCGTCCAACCCAAAGTGTGCCACACTCTGCTATGGGGCACTCCTTTGTCTCTGCACCAACTCTGTTGGTTTCTATTATCTTCTCTCCCTCTCTCCTTTTTTTTTTTTTTGAGACAGAGTCTTGCTCTGTTGCCCAGGATGAAGTGCAGTGACATGATCTCAGGTCACTGCAACTTTCACCTCCTGGGATTCAAGTGATTCTCGTGCCTCAGCCTCCCAAGTAGCTGGGATTACAGGTGTGCACCACTATGCCCAACTAGTTTTTGTATTTTTAGTAGAGACGGGGTTTCTTCATGTTTGCCAGGCTGGTCTTGAACTCCTGGCCTCAAGTGTTCTGCCCGCCTCTACCTCCCAAGGTACTGGGATTACAGGTGCGAGCCACTGCACCTGGCTGGTTTCTATTATCTTCTTAGAAAGCCTGTTGGTCCTTTGTGCAGACTCCTTCATTCCCCCAGCCTCGAGCTCTGCCTTCTATTCCAAATGTGTGAATTTATAAGCATTACACAGCTTATTTTTCATATTGGGGAATGGGTGTGAATTAGTATGAAGTCAAGCTGCAAGAGTACCAATACCAGGTCCATCTCTTACTAGTTTTGTGACCTTAGGTGACTTAGCCTCTCTAATTTTCGTTTTGTCTTATCAGTTAAATGGGAATAAGCATAGCACTTACCTTAGAGGACTGATGTGGGAATGAGGCAACATAATAGCTATATTGCTTTTATCACTGTACCTGACAGAGTGAATGTGTAACAAACGTTAACCTTTCTTGTCAGCAAATTTAAAACCTCACAGCATATTCTGCACTCATTACGCCAGTCTGTTGGAGCTGAGTCCATGCCTTTTTCTCTCTGCGTTGGGAAAGCCATGCTAGCTACATGCATTTTTGGTCATGAACCAGTCTTAGATTTAAGTCAATGTAAATTTGGCCTTTGCCGTGTTCTTAATGTCTTCTTTACATACCTAGGAAAAGTGAAGGAGAGGTGAGAAAGACAGAGTGGGGAGGAACCCGTGTCTGTGGGTTTGTGCTAGATGCCAACCTGGCTCTTCACATCCTCTGTCTCATCCAGTCAAGCAGCCACACTGAGTCCCCCAGCATGAGAACAGCTTCCACAGAGCAGGAGATTCTGGGTCTGAAATGAGGAGAGAGCTCCAGTCCCACCAGTGCCCTAGAGCATACCTCAGAATGCTCCTTTCTCCTGGTGGGATCCGTGGAGTCTGCCTGCTCTTCCAAGGATGCCTCAGCCTTTTAAGTAAGGCCTAGGGAGGGGCCCTGAAACTACCAGGACCTGAGGAGAAGCAGGATTCTCAGCGTGATTTCACACCACCCTAAGCCGCCGGGAATACTTGCTGCTCATTATCTCTCTATTGGAGTCTCATGGAACACATTGTGGGAAGTGCTATAGAATTCTAGGGACATAGTGGGCACCAAGTGAATATCAGTTACTTTAATTATTACTAAATTTATCTCCCTAACAGGAATTTACTATCTTACCATAATAAACTCTGCTTACATTCTCATATAGGTGAATACACCTGCCCTAAGTCATCTCTACAGCAAGAGCAGAGGCCACATCTACCTCCAGGGTTATTGCCATTCTCACAAAGGTGAGGATAAGTCACCACAGGGAACATTGCTTCTCTGCAGGCTGTGACACTTTCCAGGGCATATAAAGCCCATGAAGAACTGAGATGTTTGCTGAGAAGAGAGCATACCCACCGAAGACAGTGGAAAATGAAAAAACAACAGGAGTAGAAACTTCCCAATAGTGATGTCAAACTGTATTAGTTACTAATTGCTGTGTAACAGCAAACCTAGCGACCTAAAACAAACAAAAAAATTATTTAACAAAGACAGAGTCGGGAATAAGAAAACTGGCTTGGCTGGAGGGTTCGGCTCAGGGTGTCTGATTAGGTTGTAGGAAAGATGTCAGCCAAGGTTTCAGTCATCTGAAGGCTTGACTGGGACTGAAGGATCTGTTTGTAAGATTGCTCACTCAGACCATTGGCAGGAAACCACAGTTTCTCACCATGTGGGCTTCTATATAGGGGTGCTTGAATATCCTTATTAGATGGCAGCTGGCTTCATCCAGGTGAGTGTTCTAAGAGCAAGGAGGAAACTGCAATGCCTTTTATGACCTGGTCTCAGAAGTGACATGCTGCCATGTTCACCATGTAACATACTCATTAGAAAAAAGTCACTAAGTCCAGTCCATACTCAAGAGAAGGGCAGTTAAACTTCCTCTCTGTATCAGTCTGTTCTCACACTGCTAATAAAGACATACCTGAGACTGAGTAATTTGTAAAGGAAAGAGATTGAATTGACTCACAGTTCCACATGGCTGAGGTGGCATCACAATCATGATGGAAGATGAAGGAAGAGCAAAGTCACATCTTACATGGCAGGAGGGAAGAGAGCTTGTGTAGGGGAATGCCCCTTTATAAAACCATCAGGTCTCATGAGACTTATTCACTAGAATGAGAATAGCACAGGAAAGACCTGCCCTGATGATTCAGTTACCTCCCACTGGGTCCCTTCCATGACATATGGGAATTATGGGAGCAACAACTCAAGATGAGCTTTGGGTGGGGACACAGCCAAACTATATCATTCCACCCCTGGCTCCTCGCAAATCACATGTCCTCACATTTCAAAACCAATCATGCCTTCCCAACAGTCCCCCAGGGTCTTAACGCATTTCAGCATTAACTCAAAATTCCACAGTCCAAAGTCTCATCTGAGACAAGGCAAGTCTCTTCTGCCTATGAGCTGTAAAATCAAAAGCAAGTTAGTTACTTCCTAAATACAATAGGAGTACAGGCATTTGGTAAGTACAGCTATTCCAAATGGGAGAAATTGGCCAAAACAAAGGGGCTACAGGCCCCATGCAAGTTCAAAATCCAGCGGGGCAGTCAAATCTTAACGCTTCAAAATTACCTCCTTTGAGTCTCTGTCTCACATCCAGGTCATGCTTATGCAAGAGGTGGGTTCCCATAGTCTTTGGAAGCTCCACTCCTGTGACTTTGCAGGGTACAACCCTCCTCCTGGCTGCTTTCATGGGCTGACACTGTCTGTGGCTTTTCCAGGCACACAGCATAAGCTGTTGGTGGATCTACCATTCTGGGATCTGGAGGACAGTGGCCCTCTTCTCACAGTTCCACTAGACAATGCCCCAGTGGGGACATTGTGTGGGGGCTCCCACCCCACATTTCCCTTCTGCACTGCCCTAGCAGAGGTTCTCCATGAGGGCTATGCCCATGCAGCACACCTCTGCTTGGACATTTAGACATTTCCAAACATCCTATGAAATCTAGGCGGAGGCTCCCAAACCTCAGTTCTTCACTTTTGTGCACCCACAGGCTCAACACCACATGGAAGCTGCCAAGGGTTGGGATTTACACCCTCTAAAGCCATGACCCAAGCTGTACCTTTGCCCTCTTTAGCCAAAGCTGGAGTGGCTGGGATGCAAGTCATCCCAAGTCCTGAGACTACACAAAGCTGCCAGGCCCTGGGTCTGGCCCATGAAACCATTTTTTCCTCCTGGACCTCCAGGTCTGTGATGGGAGGGGCTTCTGTGAAGACCTCTGATATGCCCTGGAGACACTTTCCCCATTTTCTTGGTGAAAAACATTTGGCTCCTCTTTCCTTATGCAAATTTCTGCAGCCAGCTCGAATTTCTCTTCAGAAAATAGGTTTTTCTTATCTCATCTTCATGCTGCATGTTTTCCAAACTTTTATGCTCTGCTTCCCTTTTAAATGTAGGTTCCAATTCCAAACCATATATTTGTGAATACATAAAACTGAATGTTATCAGCACCCAAATCACCTCTTGAATACTTTGCTGCTTAGAAATTTCTTTTGCCAGATGCCCTAAATCATCTCTTTCAAGTTCAAAGTTCCACAGATTTCTAGGTCAGGGGCAAAATGCTGCCAGTCTCTTTGCTAAAGCATAACAAGAGTCACCTTTGCTTCAGTTCCCAACAAGTTCCTCATCTCCATCTGAGACCACCTCAGCCTGGACCTTATTGTCCATATCACTATCAGCATTTTGGTCAAAGCTATTCAGTGAGTCTCCAGGAAGTTGCAAACTTTCCCACATCCTCCTATCTTCTTCTGAGCCCTCCAAACTGTTCCAACCTCTGCCTTTTACCCAGTTCCAAATTGCTGGGTAACAGGCAAAGTGTTAAAGTGCTGAAATGCCAATAGTGATGTCAAGGTGTGTTAGTTACCAATTGTTGTGTAACAAAGTATCAGCAAAGTTAGCAGCTTAAAACAAGAAAAAATTATTATTTAACAAAGGCTGAGAGTCAGGAATGAGAAAACTGGCTTGGCTGGAGGGTTTGGCTCAGGGTGTCTCATTAGGTTACAGGAAAGATGTCAGCCAGGGTTGCAGTCATCTGAAGGCTTGACTGGGGCTAGAGGATCTGCTTCTAAGATTGTGCATTCACAGACTGTTGGCAGGAAAAAATAGTTTCTCACCACGTGGGCCTCTCCATAGGGCTGCTTGAGTGTCCTTATCACATAGTGGCTGGCTTTGTCCAGGTGAGTGATCTAAGAGCTAGGAGGAAATTGCAATGCCTTTTATGATGCTGCCATGTTCATCATGTAACATAGCGCCCCACTCCCAGTATCAATTTACTATATCAGTCTGTTCTCATGCTGCTAATAACAACATAACCAAGACTGTGTAATTTATAAAGGAAAGAGGTTGAATTGACTTAGAGTTCCACATGGCTGGGGAGGCCTCACAATCATGGTGGAAGATGATGAAAGAAGAGCAAAGTCATGTCTTACATAGTGGCAGGCAGGAGAGCTTGTGTGGGGAAATTCCCCTGTATAAAACCATCAGATCTTGTGAGACTTATTCACTATCATGAGACCAGCACAAGAAAGACCTGCCCCCATGATTCAATTACCTCCCACTGGGTTCCTTCCATGACACGTGGGAATTATAGAAGCTACAATTCAAGATGAAATTTGGGTGGGAACAGAGCCAAACCATATCACCTTCTTAAAGATGAAGTTTCCAAGAATTTATGGACATATTTTAAAACAGCCACACATGGTTTGCGAATTGGCAGCATTGTCTTTAGGTAGTGCCAAAGTTTATTTTTCAGAAGTTCAAAACTTGACTCTCATACACACATATAGTGAGCATGTGTCAAAGATTTACTATTTTTCATAAGTGAGGGAATCAGCAAGATTATAAAGCTGATTATCAAAAGATAATTCAGGGAATGGAGGCTTATACCGTCAGTCAAGAAATAAAGGCTGAAATAGGTTGGCTAAGTTACGTTTTAAAGACAGCTTTATGACTTGTGAGGCAATAAAACTGCACCCTTTGGAGTTATCTTTTCTATCAGACAGGAATAATGTGTAATTTATCAATGTTCTCTTAGTTCATGGCTAATTTCACAGAGTCTGAGACCTAATTAGTAAGTCAAGCAAAGGGATAGGTCCAGAGAGAACTTATTGTTGGTGAGGCCTGTTTGATAATGTTTTCATATAATATTGACAGTATACACAGTCATAGTTTCATTTTACTTATTATTTATTTATTTATTGAGGCAGAGTCTAGCTCTCTCTGTCATCCAGGCTGGAGTACAGTGGCTCAATCTTGGCTCACTGCAACCTCCACCTCCCAGGTTCAAGCAATTCTCACACCTCAGCCTCCTGAGTAGCTTGGATTACAAATGTGCACCACCAACCCGGCTAATTTTTGTGTTTTCAGTAGAGATGGGGTTTTGCCACGTTGGCCAGGCTTGTCTCATTTCATCTTATTTCTACTGTCATTCCATTTGGTCAATTTGTAATTTAATAATTTTGTACAAGGCAGTTTCTACATTAATTTTATTTTTCTGAAAAGTGTCTATCATATTAGTGGCATTATGAAAATCGTAGATTATTTTCTGTGTTTTGAACAACTTGATATTTTATTTATTCTTGAACACTTGTAGGACCTCTTGGCTCATATGTCTGAATACCATTTCTTTAAAATGTACGCTTTAACATGTACACATATGTAACAAACCTGCACATTGTACACATGTATCCTAAAACTTAAAGTATAATAATAATAATAAAAGAAAAAAGAAAAATAAAACTTAAAAAAAAAGTGTATGCTTTAACAATAAATTATTAATAAATAGTTATCTGTGTTATTCAAGATATAATTAAATTGTTTTTTGTGCACTGACCCTTACCTTTATTTCAGATCCATCACAGAGAGTGCATGGAGGTATTTAAACTGCATTAACTGTTTCACAATTAAGTATTATCTTATCAATTAGGTATTCAAGAAAGATCACTTACAGAATTATAGATGGCATGAGCTAGATTTTACTTTCTAAAGAAATAACCAGATACATGAGCAAAGATGTTAATACAAAGATGTTTGTCACAACATGGTTTTCAATAGCAAAAAAAGAGAGAAAAATATATAAAAGACAAATAACAGTGGATAGGTTTCAATAAATAATGTTACAGTGATACAGTTAAATACTATACAGCTATTGAAGCATGTCATTATTCATATTTAGTATGGAAAGATATTTTGCTATTTTGCCACATGAAAAAATGAGGTTGGAAAAAGTATAGGTTTTGTGAATCTGTTGTATGAAAGCTGTCTATAGTTACATGTGTATGTGTGTGGAGGAAATAGTGTTGTCATTGGTTTTCTGATGATGCACTCAGAAAAGACAAGTATTCACATTTTTTCTTGTGGCTGATCTGGATTTTCAGGTTTTTCTACAATGAACATGTAGGCTGAACATTCCCTAAGCAGGAGAGTCCCACCTCTAACATCTCCTGTAGGCCTGGCAATGGCAGGCAGGAAAGACAGAGGAAGGAAGGAGGGAGAAGGGAAGGAGTGAAGGAAGGAGTGAAAAAGGTAAGGAAGAAAGGGAATAGGGGAGGAAGGGAGGAAATGGGAAGGGAAAGAAGGAAAGGAAGGAAAGAGGGAGGGAAGAAAGGAAGGGAAAAGGGAGGGAGTGAGTGAATGAAAGATGGAAAGAAGGAAGAAAGGGAGGGAGGCAGGGAGGAAAGAAAGTCGCGCTTCCCTTGAGCTGCCATGGGCACTGACTCTTAGGGTCTGAAAGCCCCTGAGATGCAAAAGCCTAGTGCTCACAAAGAGCTGGAAAGCCTCAAGGAAGTTCTTCAATATTTCTGGAAGGAAACTGTCTCCAGAAGCTTCCCTCCCCACGACAGATAATGAGCAGCAAGTGCTTCTGGCGACTTAGGGTGATGTGAAATCACGCTGGGAATCCTGCTCCTCCTCAGGTCCTGGCAGTTTCAGGGCCCCTCCCTAGGCCTTACTTAAAAGGCTGAGGCATCCTTGGAGGAACAGGCAGACTCCACAGCTCCCGCCAGGAGAAAGGAACATTCTGAGGTATGCTCTGGGGCGCTGGTGGTACCGGAGCTCTCTCCTGACCCCAGACCCAGAATCTGCTCCGTGGAGGCTGTTCACATGCTGGGGAGCTCGGTGCAGCTGCTTGCTCCCCAGACCCCAGCCAACTCAGCCTCTCTCTCCATGATTTTCTGTTGTTTATTCCAAAATAGGGGAGTCTACACCCTGTGGAGCTCAAGATGGTCCTGAGTGGGGCGCTGTGCTTCCGGTGAGTGTATGAGGCCCTGGTTTGGTGGTGTCCTCCGGAGGAAGTGAGTTCTGGATAGACCCGTTGTCCAGCTCTGAGCAGGAGGGAGGAAGGGAGGGGCTGCCATTGCAGCTGGGAAATTGTGACCAGCACCTCACTGCTCTTAGAGTTTTCCCAGCCTTTTTCAAATAGGGGCAGGACTGGGGCAGGCCATCTCACAAGGGGTCCCTGATGCTGAGGGGGATAAGTGAACCTCCCAGTCTAGAGCTCCAGCCAAGTCTATCCAAGGTGGGAACGGGGGCCAGGATCCCTGCTCAGAGCTCCGCCATTGTCCCCCATCACAGTGAATGGATGTAAGCTCACCCACTCTGTGCCCCTGCCTCCCTGCTACTCTTTGGGGATAATAATAAAACAAAAACCATTACCATCAGTCAGTCTGTCCACCCACTGGCATGTACCAAGCCAGACACTCTGCCGTGTTCTGGGCTTTACAACAGAGGATGAGAGTGGTCCTTTCTCTCAGTCTAATAAAGCACTTCCCATGATGTGTTCTATGGGACTCGATTAGAGGAGTCCCACAGAGGCATCCAGGAGATGCTTTACACAGTGGAGCTCTCTGATCAAGTAAATGCAGGGAATTCTGCTTTCTACATCCTCTCATAAGAGAACCACAGCCCAGCTCAGCATATGAGTGACTCTGAGGTTTTCTGAAGTAAGGCAACTTGTTGAATTGTATTTAGCCATGCATCGACCCAATTTTTACACTGCATCCTTTTCCCCCATATAACTTTTGGAGAAACCCACTTTAGGATACATCTTCCACCTCATAGGATGCCAGGAAATCAACTGAGTTCAAAGATGAGAAACAACTTTGAAAAGTTAAATAAAAGAAATTTAAATTTAAAGAAACTCCTCACTTAGTAAGGAATATATGACCAAATAGAAATACATGTATCTTGAAGAATTGAAGAATCAGGCTTTAACGTGGAAGAGGCCTGGATGTTATCCAACCCATCATCTTAGTGTAGCAATGGGGAGGCTCAGGCCCAGAGTGGGCGAGAGAGTTGTCTCCTGCGACTCAGCAGCATTGGAGGCAGAGATGGGGCAAGAACCTAGGGCTCTGACTCACCGTGCAGCTTCTCTTCCAGCAGGAGATGGGTTGGGGCAGAAAAGGTTGAATAGGGTGAAGGAGCAAACCACAGACTCCAGTGGGAGACTGTGGGGTCATCCTCCTTGTAGGGCATGAGCCCAGCAGGGCTGGGAGACAAGGCTGTGCTGTTACTTCTGGCACAGTAGGAAGAAAGAGAGACAAAATGCCTGAGATCAGGGGGTTCTCTGGATCCAGGGCATGCTGGAGTGTCCACCCTCCTCCTAATGTAGTCCTCACCCCTTCCTGATGTTTCAGAATGAAGGACTCGGCATTGAAGGTGCTTTATCTGCATAATAACCAGCTTCTAGCTGGAGGGCTGCATGCAGGGAAGGTCATTAAAGGTTGGTGATGAAACATGACCCACTTTCCTTGGTCTCTATACACTCTCAGGGGAGGGGGCCTGAAGAGGGCTTAGAATAGTCATACAGATTAGCATAGGCCTACAGAGCCCAGGCATTGGGGCAGCACAAACCAGGCTCTAAGCAAAGGCAAATAAAATACTACACCTCTCAGCAAAGTGAAGACACAGGCTCTGGGGCCACCTGAAGCTTCTATGCAGAAGTGGGAATGTTTTCCAAGAGGCTTGTCTTGTCATTCCCTTACAGGTAGATTTAGGTCAAGCATTGCATTCCCTGGGAGCCAGTAAGTACCAAGGAGAGAACTAACGTAGATTCTCTATACCTTTTTTCCCATATGGGAGTGGGTTTCTGCCTCTCCACCCTGGGTCCCCTCTGCTCTCTGAAGATCCTCAGTCACTTAGAGTGGAGGGACCCAGAGAACAGGTGGCATTGTTGGACCTCCTGCTTGCTCACTCTGCCCCATGCACTGCAACACGTCCCTCTCTAAAATAGTTTGCACCTGCCCACCTGGGGCACCCTTGCTGAGCACAGATGCCAGGTAGATCCTTCAGCTAGGCCATATGTGTATGTGTGTGCTTACTGGTGTATGTATGTGTGCATGCAGGCATATATGTGTGAGCATGTGTGCATGCATGTATCTGTGTGTAACCATGTATGTGTGAGTGCAGGTATGTAGGTATGAGCATGTGTGTGTATATGTATATGTGTGCATGCATGTATCTGTGTATGTATGTATCTGATGTATGTGGGTGGTGAGGGGATGTACAGAGAGGAATGAGACCCTCTTTTGCTCTCAGCAACATCACAGGGTGTAGAAAGTTGTCCAAACAATTCCAAAGGGGGGCTTATCAAGACAGGGTTCAGAAAAAGGCCTGAGACCCAAGGGACATTAAAGGAGGGGGTTGAATCTATTTTGGGGTGTAGAGGCTTGAAGATTTGACCCTGAACTAGAGGGTGGAGTGGAGGTGGTACAATGTGCTTCCATGCCTTGATGTCCACTCTGAGCCAGTGGACAGGAGAAGCCATGTCATGACAGCTGCTGAGAAGCCTCCCTTCTGCCCAGCCTGGGGGCAGGCCGTCTTACAGCAGTCCTGTGCCCTAGAGCCCAGGACAGGGGAAGAAGGAGGGAAAGGCATCCAGGGCCCTGCATCTGGCCTCTTTCCCACAGGTGAAGAGATCAGCGTGGTCCCCAATCGGTGGCTGGATGCCAGCCTGTCCCCCGTCATCCTGGGTGTCCAGGGTGGAAGCCAGTGCCTGTCATGTGGGGTGGGGCAGGAGCCGACTCTAACACTAGAGGTGAGACTTGGGGCATCCTCACTGGGGACTCAGCCACAGATGCTGAGCCTACTGAAGCCGGGCAGCCCACAGCCCTGGTGCTGTGGGACACCCTAGCAGGATTCTGTTGATGGCAGCTTTGCCTCCTCCCTAAGGATCCTGCCCAGCCCTCCCTCTGCCCCTGCTTCTGCCCTCACCTGACCTCCCCTCCTCTGCCGGCAGCCAGTGAACATCATGGAGCTCTATCTTGGTGCCAAGGAATCCAAGAGCTTCACCTTCTACCGGCGGGACATGGGGCTCACCTCCAGCTTCGAGTCGGCTGCCTACCCGGGCTGGTTCCTGTGCACGGTGCCTGAAGCCGATCAGCCTGTCAGACTCACCCAGCTTCCCGAGAATGGTGGCTGGAATGCCCCCATCACAGACTTCTACTTCCAGCAGTGTGACTAGGGCAACGTGCCCCCCAGAACTCCCTGGGCAGAGCCAGCTCGGGTGAGGGGTGAGTGGAGGAGACCCATGGCGGACAATCACTCTCTCTGCTCTCAGGACCCCCACGTCTGACTTAGTGGGCACCTGACCACTTTGTCTTCTGGTTCCCAGTTTGGATAAATTCTGAGATTTGGAGCTCAGTCCACGGTCCTCCCCCACTGGATGGTGCTACTGCTGTGGAATCTTGTAAAAACCATGTGGGGTAAACTGGGAATAACATGAAAAGATTTCTGTGGAGGTGGGGTGGGGGAGTGGTGGGAATCATTCCTGCTTAATGGTAACTGACCAGTGTTACCCTGAGCCCCGCAGGCCAACCCATCCCCAGTTGAGCCTTATAGGGTCAGTAGCTCTCCACATGAAGACCTGTCACTCACCACTATGCAGGAGAGGGAGGTGGTCATAGAGTCAGGGATCTATGGCCCTTGGCCCAGCCCCACCTCCTTCCCTTTAATCCTGCCACTGTCATATGCTACCTTTCCTATCTCTTCCCTCATCATCTTGTTGTGGGCATGAGGAGGTGCTGATGTCAGAAGAAATGGCTCGAGCTCAGAAGATAAAAGATAAGTAGGGTATGCTGATCCTCTTTTAAAAACCCAAGATACAATCAAAATCCCAGATGCTGGTCTCTATTCCCATGAAAAAGTGCTCATGACATATTGAGAAGACCTACTTACAAAGTGGCATATATTGCAATTTATTTTAATTAAAAGATACCTATTTATATATTTCTTTATAGAAAAAAGTCTGGAAGAGTTTACTTCAATTGTAGCAATGTCAGGGTGGTGGCAGTATAGGTGATTTTTCTTTTAATTCTGTTAATTTACCTGTATTTCCTAATTTTTCTACAATGAAGATGAATTCCTTGTATAAAAATAAGAAAAGAAATTAATCTTGAGGTAAGCAGAGTAGACATCATCTCTGATTGTCCTCAGCCTCCACTTCCCCAGAGTAAATTCAAATTGAATCGAGCTCTGCTGCTCTGGTTGGTTGTAGTAGTGATCAGGAAACAGATCTCAGCAAAGCCACTGAGGAGGAGGCTGTGCTGAGTTTGTGTGGCTGGAATCTCTGGGTAAGGAACTTAAAGAACAAAAATCATCTGGTAATTCTTTCCTAGAAGGATCACAGCCCCTGGGATTCCAAGGCATTGGATCCAGTCTCTAAGAAGGCTGCTGTACTGGTTGAATTGTGTCCCCCTCAAATTCACATCCTTCTTGGAATCTCAGTCTGTGAGTTTATTTGGAGATAAGGTCTCTGCAGATGTAGTTAGTTAAGACAAGGTCATGCTGGATGAAGGTAGACCTAAATTCAATATGACTGGTTTCCTTGTATGAAAAGGAGAGGACACAGAGACAGAGGAGATGCGGGGAAGACTATGTAAAGATGAAGGCAGAGATCGGAGTTTTGCAGCCACAAGCTAAGAAACACCAAGGATTGTGGCAACCATCAGAAGCTTGGAAGAGGCAAAGAAGAATTCTTCCCTAGAGGCTTTAGAGGGATAACGGCTCTGCTGAAACCTTAATCTCAGACTTCCAGCCTCCTGAACGAAGAAAGAATAAATTTCGGCTGTTTTAAGCCACCAAGGATAATTGGTTACAGCAGCTCTAGGAAACTAATACAGCTGCTAAAATGATCCCTGTCTCCTCGTGTTTACATTCTGTGTGTGTCCCCTCCCACAATGTACCAAAGTTGTCTTTGTGACCAATAGAATATGGCAGAAGTGATGGCATGCCACTTCCAAGATTAGGTTATAAAAGACACTGCAGCTTCTACTTGAGCCCTCTCTCTCTGCCACCCACCGCCCCCAATCTATCTTGGCTCACTCGCTCTGGGGGAAGCTAGCTGCCATGCTATGAGCAGGCCTATAAAGAGACTTACGTGGTAAAAAATGAAGTCTCCTGCCCACAGCCACATTAGTGAACCTAGAAGCAGAGACTCTGTGAGATAATCGATGTTTGTTGTTTTAAGTTGCTCAGTTTTGGTCTAACTTGTTATGCAGCAATAGATAAATAATATGCAGAGAAAGAGAAACAAATGCATTTGTTTTATTATTGCAATTTTCTCCAATATTTTTTATTTTCTTTCTCACAATGAACAACTATCCTTCATTTACCCAAATATTCTATTTAAAAGCTAATAATACAGCATTTGTTGAGTCATCTGGTTCTGCAAGATTGAGATCCTCTTGTCCTATGTGCCAGGAATGAACTCCAGTGTCCCCACCCAAACCCTGGGGAATGGGAGCAGAAGCCAGAGGAGGAGCCCATATCTGAGCCCCAGGTATTCCACCTGCACTTCACCTGTTGGACCAGCTTGGTGGTTGAGAGTCCACTGAGGCACTGGCAAGGAGGTGGCCAGGACAGACAAGGCTGCCTCTATGGACCTCACAGCTCCAGCCCAGATTCAGCTGAAGTCCTCAGGCAACAGGCAGCACAGCTCCTACCCCAGGCCTCTCAGGGCTGCCAAGAACATGAGCTCCGGATGCTAGGCTGTGTTTCAGACCCTGTTCACACTCTCTTTGTCCATGGGCCCAGACACAGTCTTGTGCTGCTCCCTCTGCTTTTGGGTCCTCCATCCATCCTCTCTGCCTAGATAAATCTCTCATCTTTCAATACCCTGCTAAGATGTCACCTCCTCCAAGAAGCTTTTACTGAGTTGAGACACCCCCAGCTATCTGATCTGGCAATGTTTGTATGCACCTCCCTGCACTGTAGTACCTTAACTTGGAGTCTGTGGCCCCTGGGATGACCTTAAGGTTAGGGACATATAAGTTTGTCTCTTAGCACCTTGCATAATGCTTGGCACATAATGGAAACCCAATGAGTATATAATGTAGAAACTATTTCTCCACCCTGGAATATTCTCTCCTTCTCCTCCACCCATCTAAACAGGCCCACCTCTAAGGGAGCAGCTTAAATTCCACCTCATTCTTGAAGGTTTCTCCAGCCTGAATTTGTTGCTTCCTCATTTGTAGGATGACAGAACTCAGAAGAGCTTTAGCCATGATGAGCCGACACAAGTCAGTAGTAAAAGAAGGAATATAAAATGCCTCCTTCAGGAATGTACAGGCTGGACATCATGACTCTACAAGTGAAAAAGAGTTAGTGGCTTTAGATTTCTGCAATTTTGGTATAAATCACTGGCCTGGACCTGTATTTACAGAGATGCAATACTCACATCATGTGGGGTTTGTACAAATTGCAGACATCGAGGAACAGAGAATGTTCCAAGGGCAGGCTGTAGGGAAGAGGCTACGATGTGGGAGGTATTATCCTGAAAAAAGCAATGCACAGGGAGCCCTCTTCAAGCACTTAAAGGCTTGCCAAGTAGAAGAATGTGCTTGTTCTGTGTAATTCCAGAACACACAAGCAGAACCAATGGGTGCAAATTATGTGGAGGCTGTTTTTCCTATATGACCCCCATATTTTAACCACAAGGACCACAAACATTGATAGGGTTTCTTCAAGAGGTTGTGTGGTCCCTGACCCTGGAGATGTTAAGGCAGAGCCTAATTAACCAATTTCTCAGGGATGCCATAGCACAGATTTCTCCAATTGGAGGGAAACTATGATTCCATGTCTATGAGATGGAGTTTCACTCTGTCGCCCAGGCTGGAGTACAGTGGTGCCATCTTGGCCCACTGCAACCTCTGCCTCCCAGGTTCCAGTGATTCCCCTGCCTCAGCCTCCTAAGTAGCTGGGCCTACAGGTGCATGCCACCATGCCTGGCTAATTTTTCTATTTTTAGTAGACACGAGGTTTCACCATGTTGGCCAGGCTGGTTTGAACTCCTGACCTCAAGGGATCTGCCTGCCTTAGCCTCCCAAAGTGTTGGGATACAGGCATGAGCCACCATGCCTGGCCTAAAGTCCTTTCAATTCTAAGATTTTTTTTTTGCCCAAGGAGCTTATCTGCCACTATTGTTTCCAACATGTCCTTGGCCCACAGCTTAGAGAGTCTGGTCTTCTTAATTATCTTTTCAAGTGTTTATGACTTAGTTCCTCAGCTAGACTGTGAAACTACTTAACAACAAGGACTGTGTATTGAATGTCTGTGTCACACAGCAGTGTAAATGCTGGGTAAACACTCATTGGTTGCCTGACATAGTAACTCATGCTTTAAGCCTTCCCATAGAAGGGTGAGAGATTGGGAGAGTGGAAGAAGAATGATCACTGGCCTTAGAAAGCAGAAATCTGGTCCCATTTCTGCCCATCTTTTCTCATTTCTCATCCTGCAGGCATCTGAGTCTTAGACCCACCTATCCCACTTCCTCAAGAAGCCCTTGGTGGAACTTTGCAAATGACCAAAGAGGGAGAATTATAATAAGGTTGTTAGTTTCCAGAGAACATTACACCTAAGCTTCTCCACGCTTGTAATGGAGGGATGGATGGATGGATGGATGGATGGATGGATGAATGGATGGATGAAAGGGTGGACAGAAGGGTGGATGGATG
Organism: Homo sapiens; assembly: GCF_000001405.40. Taxonomy (NCBI): domain Eukaryota; kingdom Metazoa; phylum Chordata; class Mammalia; order Primates; family Hominidae; genus Homo; species Homo sapiens. Next base: position 113,067,167 of record NC_000002.12, read on the forward strand.
GGCACATGGGTGGATGGATGGTTGGATGGATGATGGATGGATGGAAGAATGGACAGATGGGTAGATAGATGGACAGATGGGTGGCCGGGTGGATGGATGGATGGATGGACTGAGTCAAGTAATGTCAATTAGAGACCTGAGTGTTCTTTCCTCTGTGCTCTACTCACACTATCATATTTCCTAGCAGTCCATGGCACATGATGTCTGCTCAGTCTCAGGGTGAATCTGAGGTCAATATCTTTGCAGTTGGGTTTCCCTAGATGTTCTGTCCCATCAAGCTGGTACCAACTAATTAAACCCACTGAAAAGCAGAGACTCCCTTCTCGTCTTTCCAAACAGAGTCACACTCACAGTGCTATCAGCCCCTTCTCTTATTCTGGCTGTCTGGCCACAGCCTGGATTCCGGCATCAGAATTTGTTCTGTCCTTGGGCTTGCCAGACATACTTTCTCTTGTATTCACCACCTCTTCAAGCCTAGGATGGAGCCCCACGGGGCACCAAAGATGTCTGACCCCAGCACTGTTTATCTGGCTGCAAACCCACTAATAACATAGTCAACGACAGTCAGTACAGAGCAGGGGCCCCATACCTTATTTCTGCCAAGGCTTTATGGATGACTCTCTCCCCCTTCAACAAATGCTCCTTAATGTTCCCACCATCTTATTATTCATGCTGTACCAAAGACATTGTGAAATGCCCAGGCTCTTCTTCCTTCATGTCCTGCAGCCAATTATAGAGATTGGTGCAGGCCTGACCCACCTGTACCAGACGGTATAAACACAGCGCAATGCCCTGGAGAAATCAGTTGGAGTCTCCAGGGATCAGGGTTCCAGGAACTCAGGATCTGCAGGTCAGTGATGGACAGGCAATATTCTCTCTCTCTTTTCTTTCTTTTCTACTCTCTCCTGTCAATATCTCTGGTATGCCCTCTATCCCTTCACTCCTCCTGGCAAGCTGTCTAGGTAACAAGGTAGTCCCCTCATATGACATGATGGGACATCAAAAACATTTAGGAGCACATAAAGAGATTTGAGGAGAAGGAATAGGTTAAGCCAAATCAAGATTTCTGAACTACTTAGAACAACTGACTTTAGAAAGTAATCTCAAAAGAAACCATCTGGGCCAATGGTATTCAAACCGTGTTTGGTGGAAGCTTAAGAGATTTTTTGTTTTCGTTTTTTTTTTTTTTGTGCTCCTTGGTAGCTCCTCAGTGTCTTCTTTGTAGGCAAGAGAAATACTAGCAGGGTTCCAAAGTCTCCATTGCTTCCTGTGTCAGCAAAGCAGCTGCCCTTTATCCTTTTTACAATCATTAGAATTCTGCATAAAATTTTATTGTGAAACTTAAAACAGTTTTGAAAGATACCTTACTCAATCTTTCCATCCAATGTTGATAAGTTGAAGGCCCAGGGATAAAAGGTGGCAAAATAAATTGGTAGCAGAGCTAGGTCTAGGACTCAGCCTTTCTATTCAAAGTCTGCTCTGTGTGTTTCTATGTCCTGGCCACAAGGACCAGGGTAGTTCAATTAGGGTGGTTGGAGAGAGCTTCAAGTGAGCTGTAAGCCATGCTTCATGACTTCAAGATCTTATAAACTTTTATAAGGGAAACAAATATCTTTATGTACAACAATAAATAATACAGTAAAATTTAATAGGAGTTCAGAGTAGAGTTACAATAGTAAGGGAAAGATTCATTAAACTCTGAGTCATGGAATTATAAATAGTTTGGCCTAGAAAGAACCTTCATAACCACATAATCTAATCCCATGAATGTATAGTGCTGAAACTGAGGGTTGGAGGTTAAAAGACATAACCCTGTATGTCTAAGCTGTAACTCTACACTGGTAATTAATTTGATAGAACTAGATACTGAACCCATCTATACTGATACTATCTCCAGTGATCTTAATATCAAAAGATCTGAATGGATGACAATGAGAAGGGATGACTTTTGAGGCAGGGAGAACAATGGGACACCTGTGAGTACGTCCACTGAGAAGATAAGAAAGGAATTATGTCGCCAGGAGGTGTGGTTTAGTGTCCATGGAGAAGTGAGATGCTATCACACAAGAAAATCAGTGCCAGACGGTGACAAAACAGTCAGTCACTGTAGATTCTAGAGCTGGGCAGGGATGTGGTGAAAAAAATCTTTAGAACGTGGGTCCACATTCCTCACATAGGTTGGAATGAATGAAAGGCAGAAAAACCGGGAATACAAGTACAGTAGTAATGGCAATTAAAAACACAAAGTTATATTTTAAAGAAATAACCTGTAGGGACTTGATAAGTTAGACACTGAGTCAGGAGAAGTAGGAGATATTGTCAATGAGTCTCAGGTTTTGAATATCACTGGTGAGAGGAATATTATGACAGTGAGAGAAATGAAATTGGGAGGAATGTGTGGGCTGGGAGGAGAAGATAATTAACTTAACCTTAAATATATTTGGTTGGATATCAGCAGGATGTCCAAAGTGGGCTGTCCTGTAGGCTGCAGGAGGTAAAGTGGGATGTGCAGTCTACATTTGGGAGCCATTAGCCCAAGATAATCATTGCAGCTGTAGAAGTCAATGAATTGCAGCTTAATATGATGTGAAATAGAAGTGCTTAGGACCTTGTTAGCCTTAGGGGTGGCCCCAGAAGGAGGTGAAATCTACAGTGGGAGAAAGAGGTGTGAAGGGAGTCATTCAATGTCAAGGGTTCCAAGGAGGCAATGACTAAATATCAAAGGAATCAAAAGAATCTCTGGATCTTGCTCCACAGAAGTTAATATTGGTCTTGGACAGAACATCCCACATAGATACTGTGCAGGAGAATGATGAAGGATAGGACAGGGTGCTGTGCAAAAGAACATGGGGAAAGCCCAAGTTTAGCTGATGGCAGTGTTTGAGCCAGGACAGGTGAATTGCGGAGGTCTGAGAGCCAGATGCCATGTCCAGGGAGAAATGAGAGGAAGAAAAGAGGGATATAGACTGAAGTTCAGTGAAAAGTCATTTGAGGAAAATAGGGAGGGGAAGCTTTGGGGGTGAGGCATGTGGCACACTGGGAGGGGCTTGGCACACAGCAGAGGTTCAGCACCAAGACCCAGGCTCTCTGATGGACCAGACGCTAGCTTCCTACCCTTACTCACTTCATCACAATCTATCAGAACCCAGGCGGAGGGAGCCGAATAGGGGAGCCTTTGGGAAAGACACTGTACATTTTGGCTGTGCCAGAATGGGAGGTTTCTAGGGCCCATGGGATCCAGCTGGACTGGACCAGCATTGAATTTCTTCCAGCTCTTTGAGCTGACACTGACCCAGAGTGGGAGTCATCAGCTTGCTATCCACCTTCACCCAGGGCCCTCCACTTTGTTGCCCCACCTAGATCTGGGCACAGCTACCACACTGCCCACTGTCCTGCTGCTACAACCAAAGAAGCCCCAGTGGTTTGGCCAAGGGGAGCCCATCATCAAGTGGGCTTGCATTGAGGCCATGATGCTGTTGAGTTATCTGTACTGGGGGATTGTCTAGTCCTTTAGGACTCAAAGTGCTGGCCAGGAGGAACCAGCAGCATTGACATCACCTGGTTGCATATTTGAAATGTACAGTCTCAGGCCCCACCCCAGGCCTGAAAAACCAGAATCTGTTATTTTAACAAGAACTGCAGGTGGTTTATATATTTATTAATAAGTGTGAAGAATGGAATGAAAGTACACCAGTTCCCAAGCAGCATGGCTGATTGCTGGAATCACTCCAAGTCCTACTGAATTAGAACCTTCGGCCCAGGAAATAGTAATTATACAGAGTCCCCCAGGTGATGCAGATGGGCAGGCACATTTAGGAGCCAATGACTTTAACTGAACACTTCATTTAAAAAATGTTGAAACTTACTTGATACTACAAAGGAAATTCATGTTCATTATAGGAAAATGTTGATATGTTTAAAAAATTACTCATAAAGCCATAGGTAAGTGGTGCAACAACACGAGTAACATTTCTATGTATGTGTCTCTATGTGTGGATTTAAATAGAATTACAGTGTACACTTGATTTATAATCTGCATTTTTCACCTAATATATTTTGAAAATTTTTATGTCCTAAAACAAGCTTCTATAATATCATCTTTAACAAACACATACATCCTTATTTATTGAATTTTGCTATAATTTCTTAGCCAATTACCTATTACTGAAAATTCAGATTTTTTTCAACTTCTTGCTATTGTAAAAAATTATGCAGTGAACATTTTTGTAAGTAAACATTTGGGCAATCCGTTATTTTTCCTAAGAGTAAGGGAAACACATGCAATCACAAAGTATACAGAATGCTTTAAGACTTTCATTCACAGCACCAACATCCCTCCAGAATTTGCACTTGTTAGTCCCTATTATCCTTCACTCTAAGTCTCAAAGTCATACCCCAAGGCCTGGGGACAGAAAATGACTTGTCCAAAGTGACAGTGACAGACCCAGTACTAAAAGCCACCTTGGCTACAGCCCTGTTTCTGGAACTTGAGAGCTGAGGTGGTTGGAAGCCGTATCCTCAGCACCCACCTGTTCCTTCTCACCTGCCTCCCCAGGGTCCCTCAGCATCTCTCTATTCCTCCCTGAGCCCTATTACTTTCTTCCACCTGCCTTCTTCCTTTCTCTTCTCTCATTTTCTGCTTTCTTATATTTTTTCTTCTCTATTCCCTTCTTATTTGGTGAGAATCAGATCTACTCGGTAAACCTCAGCCCTAGTCATACTTGCGTTACTTTCCTGAGCTAATTTCCAACTCCTGATTAGCTCTGGGTTTATTTCCATGCTAAATTCTGGACTGGCCTTTCCAATGGGTGTTCATTTTAGGGAAGAGCTCTAGGACAGGATAACCCATCGGGAAGGAGCAGAGTCATGTGAGGCTGTGTGGCCTGGCATTTATACAGGGCCACTATCTTCACTGTGCCATTTTCCATCTGGAACAGAATGGGGGAGTTTGGATGGGCTGTTTTCGGCAGTCTTGGCCAAGCACTTCTAGTCACTAGGAATGATGTTTTCCAACTCTCTGGGGAGACCCCACCAGCCTCACTGCTGCTGGAGACCCCTTCTAGTTGTGCTCTCTTCTTTCACTCTGGGCTCTAGTTATCTAACCCTTGGCTAGTTATGGGGGCGGGGGTGTGGTGCCCTGTTGGCCAACAGGGCAGTGGGACTGGGTTTGAGCTGGGCTTATCCTCCAACTGTGAGGGAGGCTACAGCACACTCCACCCCACTCTCAGGGCTGGGAATTGTTGTGGCTCAGCTATTTGGGGGAATCTGTTTTCCAGTTTCTCAGAACCAGCGCAAGCACACACATCCCAGGCTCACACCCCTGGTGGCTGGACTTGCTCCCGGATAGCCTCAGTCAGGGAGAGGCAGAGCTGCCTGGAGCCTGCTGGGCTGGTGGAAGCCTTGGTGGATTCTGGCAGGCCAATTATAGACGAATGGCCTGGGGAACCCGTGCAGCCCTTGGCTGAGTGGTTCTAAGCCCCAGCACGTCTGCCTCTGGCTTCACCCAGCCTCCTTTTCTAACTGCCCTTCTCTCCTCCCCATCAGTGAGGACCAGACACCACTGATTGCAGGAATGTGTTCCCTCCCCATGGCAAGATACTACATGTAAGTTGTCCTGGCATGTCCCTGCTTTCCAAGCCAGGGGGTCAGGGTGGGAAGAGGAAAGGAATGCTGAGTCAGAGGATGAGGCTCCTTCTCACCTTAGAAATTGCAAGTGCCCCATAATTAAGCTTCATCATCACCACAGTAGCAACAGCTCTTTCCTGAACGTCTGCAAGATGCCAGCCAATCTACTGCCTCATCTCTGTTCCAAAAAGTCTGTAAGTGGAGTGTTATTAAACCCATTTTACAGATCTGGAAGCTGAGGCTCAAAGAGGGTAAATAACTTCCCCCATGTCACACAGCTACCAAAAGGCAGAGCCAGGAATCAGACTTCATGTCCTCTGTGCTGCTCCATCCGCCTCTCTGAAATGTCAGAAAGTTTTGAATCTCAATGACAGCATCTTGATGGTGGTCCCTGTGGCCTTTACTCCCAGTGTGGGCTTCTAACACTTACTTACATTTCATCTCATTTGAGATTTGCATCCTTCCTTATCTTTTACTACTTTGTTGTCTGTGATTTTGTCATAAGCTCCTTTCAGGAAGGAGGTGAGGCATAAGAAAAATCAAAGAGGACTCTGGGATGCATTTCCTCTGCCCCTCCCATGGACCCTGTAATGTCCAGGGCTGTGTCCTGGACAAGGTGGGTGGGGAGCAGTCCTGGTCTCAAGGAGGTGACAGCCTGGCTGGGAAGCAAGACACATACATAGGAAGCACATAAATGACAAAGCAGATGTCAGCACTTCAGGGCATCTAATCTGGGTTCTGGTCTCCAAATAGAATGCTGCTGGCATGTGAGTTGTCACATCTGGGTTGTCAAGGTGGCAAGGGGAATGCCAGATAACACGCCCAGGATCTTTCCGGAAGTTTATTTTTATTGTACAAGTGAACCTGCTTTAAATATGTACAGTCATTAGCTAAGGGTATTATCGTTAGCTGTTATTGAGATAGAAAAATCCCCTGGAGGTGGTGGAATTTGTCCAGAGGTTCTGCCCTAAAAGGTTAATGAGAGCTCTCCAGCCCTGACAGCAGCTGACAGGCATCTTTGAAACCAACTAGGTGACTGAGCTAATACCCTGCATGACTTTGAAGCCTTTAAAATATCTGAAAAGCAAATCACACTTCAGTATACACTCAATCTCTGTACTAAAGAGAATAAACATTTATAAACAATTAGGGCAGGCCCAAAAAATTTAAGATAAGGTCCACTGTATCCCAAAGTCATCTGAGCCTCACTAAGAAATTTCTCAGGAAGCCAGGAACATTTTCTTTACCCCTCTGTCAGAGGGCATTGGCTCTCCGTTCTCCTCTGAAGGCCTCCCCAAGCCATGAGAAGGCAGGAAGCACAGCCTCTGAAAAGCAAGAACACAGGAGACCTTCCTTGCTTTAAGGCTGGCCTGGTCTTTACCTGCTCTTGGGAGTGACCATTCCCCTCTTACCACCTGTGAAGGAGAGAAAATCGCCCAAATGCTCAAGGTGGTGATTCAGAGCATGGAAGTGGAAGGGCTTGGGGGCCAGTGGTGCATAAAGGGAATGGGCCATCAGCACTGTCATACTGTTTCAGAATTAAATATGCAGACCAGAAGGCTCTATACACAAGAGATGGCCAGCTGCTGGTGGGAGATCCTGTTGCAGACAACTGCTGTGCAGGTGAGCTTCTGGGGCCTCCACCCCATGCTCCATCTGCCATAGGCCCTCCCTTCTCTTCTTCCCTTTCCTCCCCAGCAGAGGGTCAGCAGCTGCCCCCAGTGACAGTGAGAAGGGCCAGAGAGCAGCTGTGGCCTCTCCTAGCGAGGGGACATGACTCCTGCAGAAGTCCTGGCTCACCGTCCAGTCTGCATGCAGGGCCAGGCCAGGTGTGCCCATGTCCAGTTCCTTCCTGCCTGAGCCTTTACCTGCCAAGAGCCTGCAACATGGGGTTCCCTTGTCCCTTGACTCTTCTCTCTCTTCCCTCCTAGAGAAGATCTGCATACTTCCTAACAGAGGCTTGGCCCGCACCAAGGTCCCCATTTTCCTGGGGATCCAGGGAGGGAGCCGCTGCCTGGCATGTGTGGAGACAGAAGAGGGGCCTTCCCTACAGCTGGAGGTGAGAGGCCTCTCCCCATTCTAGGGGACACTGCAGACCTGGCCTGACCCCTGGGATGCTCTGGCATCTTTGTGCCTATCTGTGGATTCCCAGCCAGGTCCACATGTCCTACTTCCTCAGGTTTCCACCATCTCCCTCTGCACCTAGCACCAAGACCCTTGCCCTCTAGAATCTGCAGAAGGCAGTCCCTTGGGTAAAAACCAGCCCTGTCAGGTCCTTTTTTGGCCAAGCCCCAGAGGCCTCCAGGGCTAACACCTCCATCAGCACTCTCATTCTGCAGCCATCCACCTTGCCCCCACAGGATGTGAACATTGAGGAACTGTACAAAGGTGGTGAAGAGGCCACACGCTTCACCTTCTTCCAGAGCAGCTCAGGCTCCGCCTTCAGGCTTGAGGCTGCTGCCTGGCCTGGCTGGTTCCTGTGTGGCCCGGCAGAGCCCCAGCAGCCAGTACAGCTCACCAAGGAGAGTGAGCCCTCAGCCCGTACCAAGTTTTACTTTGAACAGAGCTGGTAGGGAGACAGGAAACTGCGTTTTAGCCTTGTGCCCCCAAACCAAGCTCATCCTGCTCAGGGTCTATGGTAGGCAGAATAATGTCCCCCGAAATATGTCCACATCCTAATCCCAAGATCTGTGCATATGTTACCATACATGTCCAAAGAGGTTTTGCAAATGTGATTATGTTAAGGATCTTGAAATGAGGAGACAATCCTGGGTTATCCTTGTGGGCTCAGTTTAATCACAAGAAGGAGGCAGGAAGGGAGAGTCAGAGAGAGAATGGAAGATACCATGCTTCTAATTTTGAAGATGGAGTGAGGGGCCTTGAGCCAACAAATGCAGGTGTTTTTAGAAGGTGGAAAAGCCAAGGGAACGGATTCTCCTCTAGAGTCTCCGGAAGGAACACAGCTCTTGACACATGGATTTCAGCTCAGTGACACCCATTTCAGACTTCTGACCTCCACAACTATAAAATAATAAACTTGTGTTATTGTAAACCTCTAAGTTTGTGGTAACTTGCTATAGCAGCCATAGAAAACTACTACAGAGCCTTATTCGACCCTGTGTCCAGTGTTTGATGCAAGAGACTTGGTGAGTTCTTAGAAGGCTACCTGCAGCTTCTCCTCCAGTCCATCTGCTATGGAGCCTCTAGAAACAACCAAGAAGCCCCAGGCAGAACTCAGTGTCCTCTGCACAGGGACAAAGCCCTGGGCTGCTTACAACTTAAATTCTAGCTCAAGTCTTGTGATTTTCTACCAGATACTTCACAGTGAATCCACAATTCCGTGGTTGACTGTTGGTACAGTCCGCTATCTGCCAGGTGCTTAAGTAGTAGCAAGGGCCAGACAATATGTGTGTCCTGGATGTGTTGAGTTTAAGGTTACAGTGGAGTCTCTAAGTTGAGGTGATTTGATATAGCTGGGAGTACAGGGCTGGAATTCAGCTGAGAGTTTGCAATTGGAATTCATACTCATCCTCAGAGCTCAAACGCTTCTCTGTTTCATGGAAAATATTTGACTGGGATCAAGCTAGAGCAGAAAGCCCATGGTATCAGGACTCAGAGAAGGCACAGGCTGCTGGCGCTGTCCCTCTGTTGTATAACTACTTAACATTCACCTAGCGTGTTCTGAGTTCCAACCATGGGGCAGCAATTTTAAGAACATTCTGTTGTCATCCTCAGAATGACTCTTCAAGGCAAGCATTTTCACCTCCATTTGACAGATGAGGAAACTGGACTAAGAGAAGTGAAATAACTTGCTGAAGGTCATATGGGCTATCAGTGTTGGAGCTCAAGATAAAACTTGGTGCAGCTGACCTCAATGCCATTTTGCAAATTTTTATTCCACTTAAGGAGCTGAGGATAGAATGGTGAATAAAACCAAACTTCCTTGTAGCTGATAATTGAAAGGGAGAAACACTAAACAAGCAAATAAACAAACAAGAAAACAGAAAGGGCACTTTTCATGATTAGAAGGTGAGGGCAGCAGGTATTCAATGGAAATATTAGATGGGGGGGTCAGGGGAGGTTTTTTTTTTTTGTTGTTGTTGTTGTTTTTTTACTTTTTTGAAGAGGTAACATCTGCACTGAGGTTATGGACAGGAAGGAACTGTGACTAGAAATAATCAAGGCAAAAGAGTAGCAAATGTGTTGGCCCTGAGACAGAAAGGAGCTGGTATGTTCAAGTAACAGTAGAAGGCTGGGGTGGGGGCTGGAGCCTGGAGAGCAAGGGAGGAGTAGGCAGTGAGCAAGACCAGCAGGGTTGGGTCATGTGTGGCCTTGAAGGCAAAGTACAGGCTTCCAAGTATTAAGTGTGACGGGAGCTACACGATAGGCTCTGATAATGTTTAGGTTCTTTCTCTGAGCTGCCTCTCCACAGCCTGTATGTGCCCCGGGAAATTGATCACCTGGCTGGCCCATTATAACTATGTGTTTACATGGTGGGACTCAATTTTATGTCAGCTGTGGCCAGAACAGCTGCTGGTAAATGCAGAAGAGGCTGAGTAAATGCAAAATCTTAAACAAGTTAATGGATAATCACACTTGATTCCTATTCCTCCTCCTCCTCCTCCCCTTCTTCTTCTTCTTCTTCCTCTTCTTCTTCTTCCTCTTCTTCCTCCTCTCCTCCTCCTCTTCCTCCTCTTCTTCTTCCTCCTCCTCCTCCTTCTTCTCCTTCTCCTCCTCCTCCTCCTTCTCCTCCTCCTCCTCCTCCTCCTCAGGACAGGGTCTTGCTCTATCACCCAGGCTGGAGTACAGTGGTGCAATCATGGCTCACTGCAGCCTTGACCTCCTGGATCAAGCCATTCTCTGCCTCAGCCTCTTGAGTAGCTGGGACCACAGGCATGCATCACCATGCCCAGCTAGGTTTTTTTTAATTTTTTGTAGAGACTGGCTCTCGTCATGTTGCCCAGGCTGGTCTTGAACTCCTGGGCTCAGGTGATCTTCCCACCTCAGCCACCCAAAGTGTTGGGATTACAGGTGTGAGCTGCTACATCTGGCCAATCACTTGGTTCTTATGGGACATTCATCATACTGTGTGAGAAGAGCTATGGTACCAGGTAGAGACACCATTGTAGCCTAGAGGTGGAGCTGGCAGGGAGGGCTGGGCAGGGCTTCACAGAAGAAAGAGCATATAATCTGGGCCTCAGAGAAAAAGCAGGTGTTTTCCAGGCAGAGAACGCAGGGATGGGCATCCCAGGCAGAAAAACTGCTCAGGAAGGTGTGATGATGGAGAAGAGCTCCCAGCACATCTGAGGTGAGTCATCAATGTGGCTGGGACCCAGGGCTTGGACTGAGGAGTGGCTGCAAATTCACATGAGAAGATGGGTGGCTCCTGATTGCTAATGCCTTGTGAAGGAGTTTTTATCTGGGAGGCCCCAAGGAATCATCCAGGTATTTCAGGCAGGACCCAGATTTTAATCCTGGGCCCCTCAGATCAGCACTGGGCCAACACAGATGCTACTGGGTCCTCAGCTCTTCTCAGCCACCCCCTCCCTCCCCTTCTCCCTCCCTGACTTCTGTTTAGCACTGCCCCGGGGTCAGCTTCCATGCTGTGATTTCACAGTCAGCCTGACCCCTGCTTCATCTTCCCTGACCAGTTCATCACCTTCATGCATGTGTTGAAAGACAAACTTTGGCATATTAAAATTTTAAGGAGTTTATTTGAGCAGAGAATGATTCATGAATCACAAGGTGCCAAATTGCAAGTGATTCAGGGCTCCACCCAGGGGCTACCGGAAAACCATTTATAAGTTGTTCAGGAAGCAAAAGGAAGAAAAAAATTCATTGGTTAAGTGGAAAATCCTTAGTTGCAGGTTAGTCGGCGGTTCCTGATTGGCTAAGCTTAAGTTTCGTTTTCTTAGTCAATGACCATTCACTCTGGGTTGGGTTTTAGTTTACTTAGGCAGGAACCCAACACGCTGGAGTCATCTCAGCCTAATACCTTCCCAATTAATTATTTTAACACATGGTAACTCATTTCTGCTGGCCCTTCCCTTGTGAACTGTGCCCATGGACCACCCAGGCAAATGCAGGCCTCCTCCTACTTACTAGTGGTGCTGTTCCAAGTTGAATCATGTTCTCTATATAACTAAAAAAAATTTTCACATGTAAAATATGCCAATTCTCTAACAGTGCACAGAAGAGGAAGAGGACATAAAGACTTAGAAGACATGTCTCTATGACTGAAGGACACATAGTGCAGATGGGAAAACCAGACCTTGTGAATAAAAGCTCATATTTATTGACTGCAAGACACTCCAAATAGCACTTAGAATCAAATTCTGCAGGACTGTGGTAGAAATAGTGATGGGACTTTCTGGCACTAGGGTTTAAAAGTAAGGAATGGAGGCAATTTCTGACAGGTGCAGTTCAGCGATGCCAAGAGTATTCTTCTCCCACGCCCCAAGGCTCATTCCTTAAATTCCTTCTCCTCCCTAGAAACCACACCAAAGTCTTCACTCCAAAACCTAACCAGGCTAGAGGGTTATTATTATGTGAATTCTAGGGAGAGGTACACTTTAGGTCTTATCCACTATTTACATCTCAGAATGAACTGGTAGGTCCAGAGAGAGAGCAAACAGGCAATTAAACACAGTGTGGCCAGCTTTCGGTCAGGTAGCACCAGGAGCAGGGTGGGTGGGGAGGGTGAATGTGTGTGTCTGTATGTGCATGACGTGTCCATGTATGTGTATGTGTGTGCTGTGTGTGCATACGTGCTTACAAGAGACTCCAGATGTAGGCAGCAGTTGATTCACAGGGGGCCTAGTCTTTGTTCCAAGAAGCTATGGAACAACTTCACACAAGAGGGCGATGAACCCAGGGTCTCCTATAACCTGTGTTTCCTAAGTCATTCCACCAGGATTCAGAATCTAGTCACTCTTCCCTTTGACCCAAATTTTCATCTCGCGATCCTAGGCCCACCTCTCGCATCACAATAGCCCCTAGGAATACCGGCTCAAAACATTGTACAGAAAACTCCGCAGGACACACAACTCATGTCAGTTCTAGGGAAATCTAAACTCAGATTTAAGGAGGAAACAGTAAAAGTGAAGGAAAATGCAGACAACTTTAATGGATACTAACTTTTCCTTGATATAATTCTCTAAAATATACAGCTACTTCATAAATGAACTTGACAGAAACAAGTGTAATGAATATAAACAGTAAAGTTAACATCTTGGACTGAAGCACTGGCATTCGGTTTACCTGACCTTATTTCTGGTTGGATTTTACATTTGCATAACTAAAAGGGTTCACCAGAATTCTACCAAAACACAGTCTATCCCCAGAGCAGATTCCAATCTCCGCCCTCAAAGGCACAGACTCCACGCTATCTAGAGGCTTGATCCCCCTGCCCATTTCTGAGGCTGGGAGCCTGCAGTGTGGCCTTTGGGCTAAAGATGGCGACAGAGATCAATGTTGGCGCTGCCTTTTTGGGGCTAGGTTCTGAATGAGCTCTAACATTTAATTCTTCAAATACTTAGCAGCTACTGTGTGTCAGCCCTTGTGCCTCAAATCCCCGCCTCACTTACAGTAGATGCATCCTTCCACGCAATGCGTGAGAGTAGAACTGGATCCTGTGATGACTTCAGGAAGTCCGGGTGTCCATTCTGTTGGGTAACAATTTTTGTTAGCTCCCCCTTGTCACGAGGGACACAGCCCCTGCTCTCTAGGAGTTTGGAGCTTAGGAGGGAAGGTAGATATTAGACACATACTCATTTCGACATTTTTCCCACCTATGTGAAGGAGCATCACACGAATGCTTGATCCCTTCTCCCCATGACAGAGACGTTGCTGTGAATCTGTCTCCTGTACACTCATTCCCTCCAATTCCCTTGGATGTTCTTGCCCAGGCTCTGGTCACAGAATTGGGTGACAAAGGATGCTGGGAGCCTTGAGTTCTAGCAGAGGCTCTTCCATACTGGAATATTTCTCACAGACATTTTCTGAAGGTCCATAGTCACAGGACCCATGATACAAAAAATAGCACTGGTTATGTAAGTTTGTCTGCATAAAGGACAGCAGACGTAGGTATCAGCTAGTTATGCATTTTGTAGACTGGTTCCAGTGCACACATTCCAATGAGTGCTCATAGGTTTATGTGAGAAAATGTGTTATTTTTGATACCTTCTTCCACATGCCTCTCCCTGTTCACACCCTCTGCTTCAGACACTGGTCTCCTCACAATTCTCCAAAGACACACTCTAGGCACGATGCTACTCCAGAGCTCCAGCAGTAGCCTTGTGTTTTGAACACTTGTTCCCCAATTACCTGCCTGGCTTGTTTCCTCAGTGAGGCCTACGCTGGTTACCCCCGTGAAAACTGCAATATGCACCCCCTCAAATCTCAGCACCCTTAGATTACCTATGGTACTATCACATTCTAATACACTCTATAATTTATTTTTTATTTACTGTACTTTTTTTCCTTTATCCTCCACTAGAATGCAAGATCCACGGGCAGAGGATTTTCTTTTTGCCTTGTTTATGTATTACCAGCATGTACAAGCATTTATGACGTGTCAAGCACTCAGCAACATTTGCTGAATGAAGAAAAGAACTCAAATAGGATTCCCAAAAGGGTCCTACTTAGAGGTCATGCTCTGCAGAGACTAGCACCAGGGCCCCTGTCCAGATTTATTAGGAAAGACTGTGGCATCAGGTGGGAGTAGTGGGAAGAGGGTCTAGTCTCCAGAAGGAGGGCTGGTGAGGGGTGGACAGGATATCAGGGTTTCCAGTCAATATCTGAATCACTTTGCATGGTGTCTCAGTTATCTATTGCTGAGTAACGAACCAACCCACAATGCAGTGATTTAAAACATCAGTGATTCATTATTCCTTCTGATTCTGTGAGTTGACTAGGTGGTTCCTCTGCTGATCTTGCCAGGGCTCTGTTGCACTCAGCTGGAGGCTCAACTCAGCTGGAAAGTCCAAGATAGTCTCTCCCATGTCTGGCTGTTGGTGCTGGCTGTTGGTTGGGGGCCTTGGCTATTCATGTGTCCTCCCATCCTCCAGTAAACTGGAATGACTTTCTTACATGGCTATCTTAGTGTTGCTTCTCAAAAAGGGAAAGGTAGAAGCTGCAAATGCTCTTGAGGCCTAGGGTCCAAAACTCACATTTGTCAGGAAGGACTGTGGCAGTGGGTGGGAGTAGTGGAGAAAGGGTCTAGTCCCCAGAAGTGGAGCTGGTGAGGGTGGATGGGATACTGGGGCTCCCAGCCAATGTCAGAAGCACTTTGTCATAACCTGCCTCATGTTATTCACTCCTAGCATAGCCTGTTGGTCTAAGCAAGTCCCAAGGCCAGCCCTGATTTATGGAGACGTGGGTAGAGAAATGGATTCTTCCTCTGAAGGGGAAGATCTGCAAAGAATCTGTGCCCAAAGTCACTGTAAACAAATGGAAGAGGAGGGGGTAAAGCACAGGCTGACTGATTCGTGAATGTGCACTCCTGACCATCATGCTATGCTGCCTCCATGAGAAACTCTGACATGGCTGTGTAGCCAGCAATTCATTCATTCATTCTTTCATCAAATGTTACTGACCACCTGCAATGTTCAAGTGCAGAACTGGGCAGGGGGCATACAGAATTGAATGGGGTCCAAGATTTGGTGCTCCTAAGGAAGATGAGAAAGCCAGCCTTAGCCAAGCTCTCTCAAATCTTCTTCATCTTGCTCTGTGGTTTTAATGCTAACTAGGAACCCAAGGGAGAGGGTCAGCCCTTGGAATGTCTTCCAGAGGAAGGTGAAGCCCAGCTGGAGTCCCAGTCTGTGGCAAGTAAACTGGGAGAAGCAAGGACAGGCTTAAGGCTTAGCTTCTGTGCCAGGGGCTATGTGTAAGGTTTGACTTCCTAGCCTTCTCAGGTTCACACACTACTCCTCATTCCTTCATGCCCTCCCAAGCCCTGAATTCAATGTTGGGCAACAGTGAGAGCTTAATCAATGGCTTTGAATGATTCTTAGGCAAGCTGAGAGGAATATCAACAAATGTTTTATCCGATATTCCCAAGAGTAGCCTGACCCAAATCCAAGATTATCTCCATGGCCTGCCCCTTTACATCAACTCAGAGGATGCTGCTGACATTATATATTTGCATGCTTACTATGTTAAAAATGTACTGTCAGGAAACCAGAGGCTCTCAAATTATCTTAACCACTTATATCAGGATCAGCTGAAATGCTAGTTAAAAATGAAGATTTCTGGGACTCTACCCCTTACTGGCTAATACAAAATTGCAAAATTGTGGAGCTGAGCCTAGAAAGCTGAATTTCTAGGCAGCCTGTGGGTTATTCTTATGAAGAGTCTGAGGATCTCCAGCCTCTACAGAACGTCACTTCTTCCACGTCCATTTCTGCCACTGATGCTGAATAGGCAGAATCCCTCCTTACTACCACCACCTGTAACATGTGCTTGTCACATGAGTTAAAAATAAAGCCCCCTGTTGTAAGTCGCAAGTCAGACCCACAGAATTTAGATCCCAATCAGGGAACGTGACGCTTGGTACGTTTATGTTCTTATGACAAAAAAGGGAATAACTAAAACAGGAAGTTGAAAATCAAACTTTGACTTTCCTATATGGAACCATGCGCCAAATTCTGACCCTCTCTGTCACTCTCTGCTCGTGTGCGTTAGTCATAGGAGGTCATGGAAAATCATCCTCATTCCTCATTATGAGAGGCTGCTCATCAGTCATTACCCCTACACCCTGGCGGGGAGGCAAAGTAGGTGACCACGCATGCAAATTCAGGGAAGTTTGGCTCAGAGAGTTCACATCCCCTCCTAACACAAGAGACAGAGACACCAAAGGTTTGGAATCCAGTAGGGGTGGGAGATGCTTTGCCCAGGGCTGTCTAGTATGGAGTTAAGAATATGTTTTTTGGGGGTGAGTGTTCAAGGTAGATGATGCTTCCTTCCCTGTTCTGGAGGTTGGGTCCTCTTCCATAAGGTGTTGTCCTTTGGTACAGCTTTGTTGTACCATATAGATGGTACCTTCTGGGCCTGGACAATCACTTGACCAAAGGGATGGGAGCTCTTGCTCTGAAGAGATCCTGACAAGAGAATATAGGTGTGGCAGAGCCCATTCCTACTCCCTGCACACCCTGCTGGCAGTAGGTAGACATTTACCCCTTTATCGGTGTTCTTATATGGCACCAGACTGTGAGCTCCTAAGGGGATGGGGCCTTGGCATTTTTATTTCTAGATAGAGTCTTGCCTCACAAAAGGACAGAGATACAGTCTAAGAAATGTGTCATTAGGCGATTTTGTTGTGTGAATATCACAGAGTGTACTTACACAAACCTAGATGGTACAGCCTACTACACACCTAGACTATATGGTATAACCTCTTGCCCCTAGGCTATAATCCCGTACAACATGTGACTGTACTGAATACTGCAGGCAACTGTAACATGATGGTAATGATGTGTATATTTAAACATATGCAAGCATAGAAAAATATAGTAAAAATATGATATTATAATCTTACAGGGCCACCGTTGTGTAGACAGTTCATCGTTGAGTGAAACTTCATTATGTAGCACGTGATTGTTCTCATAAATGAACATGAAATGATTGGGCCACCTTATATAGAAATGCAGGGTTTCCACTGTGTAACTCTAGAGGGCACCACTCACATGTTGATATCATAGAATTGAATATTTACTATAACAATATTATGACAGTTGGCTATAAAGTGCCTTGTACTAAAAAAAAAAAAAGGCCAGCATTTCTAATAACTTTCTAACTGATGGGAATAAAATCAGAACAGGCAGCCTGTTGCTAATCCACTCCAAGGAGCCACAAGTTGTTAAAGCAAAGAGCACAGCCAGATCAGGAAATCCATTAAGGCAAGCTACAAGCCGGGTCTTTATCAGGAGGGCAATATGGAGTCACCATGGATGATTTCAAGCAGGGGAGTGACACGATCAGATTGACCTCCTAAAATAGTTGCTTCTGGCTGCCAACTGGAGCATGGATTATTGGCACAGCCACTCAAGTGGTTTCCTTCAAGAATTGTTAGACACTCATCATCTCTCAACTGCAGGAGATTTGAGAGAAGTTAATAGATTTAAGGCATCTTTGGGAGGTAGAGTTAATAGATTTTGGTGGTTTATTGTAGGCAGAGTGAGAGAGTCATTGTGAAGGTTTCTTGTTTTGGTGTCTATTGGTAGGTGTCTCTACTAATGAGTGGTGGTTCTATTGATGGGTGGTGATTCTATTCACTGACATAAGCAATGCTGGAAAAGAAAGTGGTAGTTTGGGAGCAGAGAGTGTGGAAATCATAAGCTCTGCTTTTGCCTATGTTGAATTTTGAGGTGTATGTGAGCATCCAGGTAAAGGATTTCAGTGGGCAGTTACATATGCAGATATGGAGTGCAGGAGAGAAATTTGGAATGGAGATATAAATTTCAGAGTTTTCAGCACAAAGAAGATGAACTTATGAGGTGAATGAAATGAAGAGAGAGGTTAGTTTAAGAGAGGAGATGGCCCAGGAGAGAGAGATATTTGAGAGGCAGGCAGAAGATGAAAAGCCTTCTATGGAGGTTTAGAAGGAGAGGCCTGGAGAGGCAGAAGGAAAATCAGGAGAAGTGGAATCATGGAAGTCTATATAAGAGGGCTTTAGGGCGAGAGCCAGCAGTGTCGGATGCTAACAGTAGATCAAGTCCAGAAAAGTTTGAAAAGTGTCCACTGGATCTAGGAGCTAAAAACTCCAGAGTGCCTTCAGAAGAGTGATTGTGCAAAAGTGAAGATGAAGGGTCTTCAGGAGTGAGTGGAAAGTGAGAACACAGAGACAGTGAGTAGGGAGAATTATTTTAATAACTTTGGCTGTGAAGGGGAGGAGAAAGAGAAGGGTGTAGCTAGAGGGAGTCATGGGGCTAAGGAAAGAAACTGTCAAGATGTGGCAGGTTTAAACAAGTGTGAAAGCTGATAGGAAGGAAGGAGCCAGTGAAGGACAGGTTGGAAAAAACAGGGCGAGGTTACAGTATGAGTACATGCATGAGCTCTCGAGCAAACCTGCCTGGATTCAAATTTCCACTCTGTTATTTCTCATCAGAGAAAATAGAATGAAATTGATGTACTCAAATTACTGAAAAAATTATAAGTGTAGGAGAGTCATGCTTTTCTTATTTTCTAATGAATCCGGGAGCAAAGAAAAATGTCAGTGTCTGGCTGGGCGCAGTGGATCACACCTGTAATCCCAGCACTTTGGGAGGCTGAGGCGGTCTGGTCACCTGAGGTCAGGAGTTCGAGACCAGCCTGGCCATGTTGGTGAAACCCCGTCTCTATTAAAAATAAAAAGTTAGCTGTGTATGGTGGCATGCACCTGTAGTCCCAGCTACTAGGGAGGCAGATGCAGGAGAATCACTTGAACCCAGGAGGCAGAGGTTGTAGTGAGCTGAGATCATGCCACTGCACCCCAGCCTGGGTGACAGAGCAAGACACCATCTCAAAAAAAAAAAAAAAAAAAAAAAAGGCTGGGCACGGTGGCTCACACCTGTAATCCCAGCACTGTGGGAGGCCGAGGTGGGCAGATCATCTGAGGTGGGGATTTCGAGACCAGCCTGACCAACATGGAGAAACCCTGTCTCTACTAAAAATACAAAATTAGGTGGGCACGTTGGCACATGCCTGTAATCACAGCTACTCAGGAGGCTGAGGCAGGAGAATTACTTGAGCTGGGCAGGTGGAGATTGCAGTGAGCCGAGATCATGCCATTGCACTCCAACCTGGACAACAAGAGCAAAACTCTGTCTCAAAAAAAAAAAGTGTCAGTTACCTTCTTTAGAATTAGCAATAAATCTTTTCAGTATTTATACCATTAAAAATTTATATCATTCAAAATATGAAAATACTTTTTCAGTATTATTTCCATTTATCTATTTATCTATGTTTCATGTATCTATTGCTGTGGAATAAACCACCCTTAAACTTAATGGCTTAAAAATAGAAATCATTTAATCTGCGCTCGCTTCGGCAGCACATATACTAAAATTGGAACAATACAGAGAGGTTTAGCATGGCCCCTGCACAAGGATGGCATGCAAATTCATAAACCGCTCCATAAGAAATAACTTTTTTTTTTTTACAAAAGAAAATACCTATTCTCCTTTGTGACTCTGTAATTGGGCAGGATTCAGTGGGGACATAGGGACATCTTGTCTTCACTCCACTCAACATCAACTGAGAGGAGTCTAAGGGTGGGAACTGGACTGGTCAGATGACTGCCTTACTCACAGGTCTGGAGATTGATGCTGGATCTCTGCTGGGACCTCAGCGGGACTGTTGGCCAAACCACCTTTGCTTGGCCTCTTCATGACACCTGGGCTTCCCCACAATATGGCAACTGGGTTTCAAGAGTAAGGGCTAGGAGAGAGAGAGAGTCAGGCAGAAACTATATAACTTTTGATGACTTCGCTTCAGAAGTCATTCAGCATAACTTTTGCCTCGTTCTATTCACTAATGTCAGTCTGCATTCAAAGGGAGGAAAATCATACTCCACTTCTTAATGAGAAAAGTCTCAAAGAATTCATGGGCATGTTTTAAAATCAGAACAGCAACAAGTTGCCAATTAAGATAACAAATTACAGGTTTCATTTTCAGGGTTGTTTCTACAGTACTTTGAAACATTTTCTGAAATCTTCAGTGTCTTACACTGATTAATAAACATAAGGAATGTACGTTCATAATATATCCCTCTTTTGTTCAAATCTTTGCAATGACATATTTATTTTAACTAGGAACAGAAAAGTTGGAGATGGCAGCCAGGTGCAGTGGCTCATGCCTGTAACCCCAGCACTTCGGGAGGCCAAGGCGGGTGGATCACGAGGTCAGGAGCTCGAGACTAGCCTGGCCAACATGGCAAAACACTGTGTCTACTAAATATACAAAAATTAACAGGGCTTGGTGTCATGTTCCTGTAATCCCAACTACTCGGGAGGCTGAGGCTTAAGAATCACTTGAACCTGGGAGGCGAAGTTTGAGCCGAGATCGTGCCACTGCACTCCAGCTGGGCAATAGGATGAAACTCCGTCTCAAAAAAAAAAAAAAAAAAAAAAGAAAAACAGAAAAGTTGGTGACAGCAGTGGGTATTTGTACAGGTCTTTATAATGCACAGAAAAAAAGTGCTAGTCTTGCGGCTGTTCTCAGTTTAATGCCTCCCAGATGAATTCTTTGAAAAAGTTTATGTTGCAAAACCACTGAAGCTGTGAGGGAGTGGGGGCACCTGTATCAGAGAACTTTTTGTTTGTTTGTTAATTCTGAAGACTAGAAGCACTATAAGCGATATTATTTGTATGATAAGCAACAGCTCAGGCCTTTGGGCTCTTAAGATTTTCTCAGCCGAAATGAAATAAGAACGAAAAGCAGTTTCATTTAATAATAGTGGGATAAAGAATATAGAGCATTTTTCTTCCCCTTTGTGTAAACATGGTTAAGTAAAGTGGGTGTAACAGTAATAAGAACCACCACTTCACAGGCTTCTATGGGGAAGACTGGGTTCACTCATGCACTCCAAGCCCTTAGCACAGAGCCAGGCACACTGAGGTATGACTAAGTGACTGAGGATGACTGATGATGTGAGAGCCTTGAGGAGCCTGAATGGGACACAAAGCAAATGCAGAGGGACTGGCCTTGGGTAAGAGTGGGCTCCTGCTTCTATTGAATGAGAGAGAAGAGAGAAAGCATAAAGAAAGTTTCAATAGGTTTTAATGTGGGCTAATGGGGAACTGAGAAAGTGTCCTTCTCCTAGCTTCTATTACTTTGCTATAAGTGAGGAAAAAGGAGATGGGCTAGGAGATTGAAGTCAGTGGAGTAGGCTGGAAATATTTTCTGTGGAGATGGGTCAGCCAGCTCATTATAGAAACATGAAAGGTTTGCTAAGCAAACATGGGGCCAGTTAGTTTTGGATATCATCAGTGTGGGGCAGTGGCTTTGGGTTAGTCTGGGAGGGTGGACCTTGGACAGATCCAGAGCTTTCCACACAGTGCAATGGGAGGGCAAAGGAGCCAAACAGTGGAGAATATTGATGAAAGAATGGTCCAAGTGAGCAACTGAAGGAAGTGAAGACCTCCAAGGAGGAGGTGGTAGAGCAAATTTGAGCAGGTTAAAGGATGGAAGGTTTCTGTGTGGTTGAAATGCCTGAGCAATGGGAATAATGAAGAATGAGAAAGAGAGAGAGAGAGAACAAGACTGCTATCGGTTGTGGTCAGAGGGTAGTATAGTAATTTTTACAGAAAGGTCATGGTGTTAGTCATCCAAATGGACATTAAGACCCCTTGGGGATTAGGACAAAGAAGAGAGCTAGGTTCCAGTGACAAATATTTAATAAATAGGGGAGAATGACTAGGCAGTCAGTAGCTGAAAGCTACAAAGAGAGATATAGGATGGTAAAAACGTTAAAGGACTGATGCTTTTGTTTGTTTTTGTTTTTGTTTTGTTTTACAAAGGCTGGAGAAGTCACAATCTGAAAATGTCAGTAGAGAGATGACCCCATGCTGGCCCTGTGATATCCAGATGGTAGGGGCATGAGCTTCTTCTCCTTGAGAAAGATGCAGGGCAAACATGGTCCCAGAGGATAGCCAGGTCTCCGCCAAGGCACAAATTGAGAAAACAGTTAGAAAAGAGAATGGAAAAAAATAGATAGGTTTATTCATTTAAAAAGTAACTATCAAGCACCTGCTCTGTGCATGATACTGTTTTGGGCGTTGAGATGCATCTGTGAATAACACATAGTAAGGAATTTACATTCTAGCGGTAGGAGACAGAGAATAAATGCCTGAGCAAATACATACTCAATATAAATTTGGATAGTGATACAGGCTGTGCAGAAAAAATATCTGCTATTAGATGAACAGTGAAGGTGAGCAGAGAAAGTGGAGGTTTGCTACAAATTGTGTTCTCCAAAGGAAATGGAGAGTGCTGTGGGAGTTGTGTTGACAGTAACCCTAGATAGATTTTATTGTATTAATGCTTGCTAGAATAAATAGCTCTACTGAATAGCAGATGGAGGAAAGCACACTGGGCTTTGCAAATCATCACTGTGATGCATGTAATTTTGCAGCACTGCCAGGGTTTCTCACAGCAACTCATTCCCATTGTGGCCCCTTAGGGAAAGCTGTGACCAGTGCAAGATCTCTCCTACCTGCATGACCTCAGGGCCAGCAACAGACAATTGCAACTCCTGCCCACAGACTCCATGGGTCAGGGAACCACTGGAAAGCAAAGCAGACACTTGCTGTATCAGGGTTGGAGGAAGCCTTTGAGGCCCTTTGCATGCAGCTCAGAGAGGAATGGCATTCTCAGGTTGAGCAAAGGGAAGTGGCTAGCACTTCAGACATGACACTCATTGAAGCTTGGAGGAGACTTTTTTAGGGCAAAGAAAGGGAAGTTTTATTTCACTCATGGTTAGTAAACATAAGACATGTACATTCTTAATACATCTCCAAATAACATTAGAGGAAGACCAGGAACAATGCTGAGGGGATAGAGCTATAACCGACTGGGGTGAGAAGTGGGGGCATTTGGGAAGGGTGAGAAGTGGGGGCATTTGGGAAAGAGTCCTCATTCCAAGTGGCCTCAAGGTCAGTATCTGGGCTCCTGTGATTCTCTCTGATGCTCTGATTGGCCACTGCATTGGAAATGCCACTCAGGCTCAGATTGGTGCCCTCCTTGTGTGTTTTTTCTTTATCACATATCCTACAGTCCACTTTCCTGATTCTCTCCTAACATGTGCCTCTTCTTGAGATCAAGAGGAAGATATTATTTTCTAGTTACAGTTAAAGTTTTTCCTTTTTAAAATGACCAAATTAATTCATTGATACCTCATTTATTCCCACCTTTTGAGCTCTCATTATATTCAAGACACTATTGTAAAAAATGGAGACTTAAAGATAAAAATAATGTTATAATTCACCCAGCAGGAAGAAGAGATAATTTTTTTGAATGACGCTACAAAATAATGTAAATGTTGGGTTTCCCTTTACTCCACATTCTCTCCTTCAGGCATCTCCAAGCTTCAACCATAACTGACAGATCTTTATCTTTAGTGCATTTTTCTCTTCTAGCTTCCAGGTTTGTACATCCAGTTTCCAACTGGACACTCCATTTAGCATCCCATCTGCATCTCAAACACAACACAACTCAAATGGAATTAACCGTCTCCCTGACTACCCTTAGAATCAATCTGTTCCTCCACCTCTTGTATCATCTTTCTCAATGAATGATGCTATTGCTGCCCGCCAGTTATCTAAGCCTTTAAATAATAATACCCTTGATCCCTTCTACATTCAATAGTCACTTCCCATATTTAGTAGTTACTAGGTCCTATTGAGTCTACCTCCTAAACATTTCTAGGGTTTTCTCTCCATCCTCACGGTCAGCACTGTGGGTTAGACTCTTGTCTCCTTATCTGTAGGTCACTGAACAACCTCCCAGCTAGTCTCCTTACCACAAAGTCTTGCCTCCATTTTTTTTTTGTTTTGTTTTGTTTAGGAGCAGAGGTTTAATAGGA
The DNA here is from genome assembly GCF_000001405.40 of Homo sapiens. Taxonomy (NCBI): domain Eukaryota; kingdom Metazoa; phylum Chordata; class Mammalia; order Primates; family Hominidae; genus Homo; species Homo sapiens. Next base: position 113,091,351 of record NC_000002.12, read on the forward strand.
AAAAGGAAGAGAAAGGAGAATGGCTCTCTCTTGCGAGACAGAGGGGCTCCCAAATGGGAATTCCCAGTCTTGCTTTGTTCTAAAGCAGGTCCACATTGCTACATAGGGATGGCACCCTGCCTTTTCTTCAATGGCTCCCCACATGTTTGTAGCACAGAAAAGGCTCCTCAGATTCTGGGCCTTGCCAATCTTCAGGTCATTTCTCCATTGCCCTTCCGGATTCTTGTACATGCAGCAAATTTAATAACAGCCATTATGATTATGAGGTTCTTAAAGATTCTCCAGGATGCTGTCATCTCTCACAAGTTCTGTCTTTGCACAGAACTTGTATCTCAACTTCTGTTTGGAAAATCCTTCCTCTTCTACTTCCCTGGTTAATTTTCTCACATTTCAGAGATCAGCTGAAAACTCAACCCCTCTTGGAAACCATGTGTAGCTCTGCAGCTTTTTCTCAGCAGCCACGAGACACTGGATCGCCCCCAGCATAACACTTGCCAAATGGCATGTTAATTGTGAGCCTCTTCCATGAATCTGTAGGTAGTTCAAGGGCAGAACTGTGCCCTGTGTGTTTGTATCTCCAGTGACTGACTTGTACTGGATACTCAATAAATGTGTGTTAAATGAATACATGAAAAAAGGGAGAAAGAATGAAAGGAAGAAAGGGAAGAAAGAAGAAAGGAAAAGAAAAGGAAGGGAAGAAGGAAGGGAGGAAGAGGGGGAGGAAGAGGGAAAGGGAGAAAAATGTAGACTATGGGAATGAAGAGGAGCAATAACTAACTTTAAATCCTATACTAAATAGGCAGTACAGTCTTCAAAGAAGAGGAGATGTTTGGGCCAACTGTTGAGGTAAAGGGAAGAGTTATCCAGGCAGAGTAAGGGCAAGGGGATTTTTAGACACAGCCAAGAACGCGCACAAGCAGAGAGGTATGCAAAAGGGTGAAATGTTGGTTAATTTGTTGGGATTCAGTGAAAGACTATAGGAAGTACCCTAGCTAGTTTAATGGGAAAATGTTTCCATATAAAGAATTTGGTTCTTACAGAGTCAGCTGGAGGACCACAGGAATGGGCTTTTGACTGGACATCCAGGAATAATTCCCAGAGGGACACTGTAAAACTGGCTTGCTGGAGAGCCATCATCTCTGTCACAATCAGGAAAATGCTGCTACACTGCTGGCTCCAGCAACACGGCACTGGGGCCCAGTGCAGGGATCACACAGCTGTTGGCTCCAGAAAAATACGGCTTTACCTATAATCCGGAGATCAGAAAGTTACCTCCTGAAGCATGCTGTGCTTGCTAAAATATGCAGTAAGGAAATAGATGGCTCTAGGTCAGGCGTGGTGGCTCACGCCTGTAATCCCAGCACTTTGGGAGGCCGAGGTGGGTGGATCACCTGAGGTCGGGAGTTCTAGACCAGCCTGGCCAACATGGTGAAACCCTGTCTCTACTAAAAATACAAAAATGAGCCGGGCATGGTGGCAGATGCCTATAATCCCAGCTACTCGGAGGGGCTGAGGCAGGAGAAGCCCTTGAACCTGGGAGGCAAAGGTTGCAGTGAGCCAAGATTGCGCTATTGCATGCCAGCATGGAGGACAAGAGTGAGACTTCGTCTGAAAAAAAAAAAAAGAAAAAAGAAAATAGATGGCTCTATTTAAATAATGTATTCCAAATGTCAGTCTGCCAAGAATGCATCTGCTTGGCAGAATTGAAGTCACATCTGGAACTCTTGCTGTGAGAGAGTCTGAGAAATGTGGGTTTTAGCTTTCCAAGCACTGCAGGAATGAGTTGGGTGGGTGCTAAGAGAGACATTGAGTAGCCAAGCCACCATCTGTACTACCTCTTCCATGTCTTCTGAGGTGTAGGAACCAGAAATGGTCTGTGTATGTCAGTAGGGATAAGCCAGAGCTCTTTGTAGAGTGGTTTCCCCTCCTGCTCCCCGGCCATGCTGGGGCACTACGCAATTTGTGTACCTTTATCCCCATGGTGGAAAGTTGAGCCAACACTCTCACATTCTTCTCAAGTGAAGCCTGTGCTCCTTTTCTGGGTTTCCACCGTGCAGCTTAGAGCCCAGCTTAGCATCACCATATCTGGGGACAGTGCTCATAGGGTGGCTGACTCACAGAGACTAACTTGATACTCTTCTACAAGTGAATGTAGTACAGAGTATGGGGCTTGGAGGAGAGGTCTTGTCCCACCATGAGCCCTACTCTTCAATAGCTGTGTGACCCTGGACAGACTCCTGCAATGTTCTGGATCTTGTTTGGTGCTTTGTGATATCAAAATGCTCACTCATAAAGTGAGTGGTCAGGATAGGAGCTACTGCCACAGGTAATCCAATGCCTTTTGTGTCTTGCTTCACTCCCTCAGATTCAAAGTCTTCAGTAAGAGCATCCATGTGACCTATAAGCAAAGGCTCATGTGCCCACACTTTCCTCACTATCAGGGAGGAGGAAGGGAGTAGTTGGTTCTTTCTGGTTATGAAATGGAAGGCAGAGCCCTGTCTTCCACCAAAACGAGACCAGTGTGGAATTCATCCCCAAATGGAAAGCATGTTTAGTTAATGGGTAGAAAATTTAAAAGCCACTACACTGCGAATGCCTGTATAATTGCACATATTTTTAAATAGAGATTGCTCACTTTTGCTTCCTCCTGGGCATGACACTGATATCCATGAAATCATAAGTTTAATGGACTGTGTATTTCTATTACATCTTGAAATAAACACATAATAATACTATTAAAACACAGAAATACATCCTGAGATCTGAAATTAATCCTGTGTACCACCAGTGATATACATCACATACTTTAGGAACCCAAATGCAAAGTGTTGACAACAATTAGTGTGGCAAATTAATCTTTATGGGTAGATCCATGTGCATCAGTCAGGTCTCTGTGGAACAAGCAGTGGAAATAGACTTCAGACTAATTTAAACAGAAATTTATTTATTTTTAGAAAAAAGTATTCAAAAAAAATCAGGTTAGTTCCCAGAATTAATAGGAAAGCTGGATAACTGGCTTAGAAAATGGACAGAGATCAAGGGAGATTTTTGTAGGGGGTGGGGAATGTGCCAATGAAAGATAGAGAGGGGCTATTCACAGAGGAAGGATCATTCTGCTGTAACATTCTCTTCTTCCTTTAAAACAAATATTTTTTGGGTGGTGCTGGGAATGAAAATCATTTTATTTTCAGCATTACTTCGTTTCTGCGTGTGATTACATTTTTTTCAATAGGTTGCTGGGAAACAGGCATGTTTGGTTACATGAATAAGTTCTTCAGTGGGGAGTTTTGAGATTTTAGTGCACCCATCACACAAGCAGTGTACACTGTACCCGCTGTGTAGTCTTTTATCCCTCATTCCTCCTCCCACCCTTTCCCCCTGAGTCCCCAAAGTCCATTGTATCATTCTTATGCCTTTGAGTCCTTACAGCTTAGCTCCCACTTATGAGTGATATATATATATATGTATATCACATTTTCTTTATCCCCTCATTGATTGATGGGCTTTTGGGCTGGCTTCATATTTTTGCAATTGTGAATTGTGCTGCTATAAACATGCGTGTGCAAGTATCTTTTTCATATAATGACTTCTTTTCCTCTGGATAGATACCCAAAAGTGGGATTGCTGGATCAAAGAGTAGATATATTTTTAGTTCTTTAAGAAATCTTCACACTGTTTTCCATAGTGGTTACACCAGTTTACGTTCCCACCAACAGTGTAAAAGTGTTCCCTTTTTACCACACCCATGCCAACATCTATTTTTTTTTATTATGGCCATTCTTGTGGGAATAACTTGTTATTGCATTGCGGTTTTGATTTGCGTTTCCCTGATAGTGATATTGAACATTTTTCCATAAGTTTGTTGGCCATTCCTATATCTTCTTTTGAGAATTGTCTATTCATGTCCTTAGCCCACTTTTTGATGGGTTTGTTTTTTTTTCTTGCTGATTTGTTTGAGTTTCTTGTAGATTCTGGATATTAGTCCTTTTTTGGATGTATAGATTGTGAAGATTTGCTCTCACTCTATGGGTTGTCGGTTTACTCTGTTGATTATTTCTTTTGTTGTGCAGAAGCTTTTTATTTTAATTAAGTGCCGTTTATTTGTCTTTATTTTTGTTGTGTTTGCTTTTGCGTTCTTGGTAATGAAGACTTTGCCTAAGCCAATGTCTAGAAGGGTTTCCCAATGTCTAGAAGGGTTTTCTAGAATTTTTATGGTTTTTGGTCTTAGATTTAAGTTCTTGATCCATCTTGAGTTGATTTTTGTATAAGATGAGAGATGAGGATCCAGTTTCATTTTTCTACATGTGGCTTCCCAATTATCTCAGCACCATTTGTTGAATAGGGTGTCCTTTTCCCACTTTACGTTTTTGTTTGCTTTGTCAAAGATCAGTTGACTGTAAGTATTTGGCTTTATTTCTGGGTCCTCTATTCTGTTCCATTGGTCTATATGCTGATTTTTATACCAGTACTATGCTGTTTTGGTGACTATGGCCTTTTTTTTTTTAATTAATTAATTAATTTATTTATTGATTGATCATTCTTGGGTGTTTCTCGCAGAGGGGGATTTGGCAGGGTCATAGGACAATAGTGGAGGGAAGGTCAGCAGATAAACAAGTGAACAAAGGTCTCTGGTTTTCCTAGGCAGAGGACCCTGCGGCCTTCCGCAGTGTTTGTGTCCCTGGGTACTTAAGATTAGGGAGTGGTGATGACTCTTAACGAGCTTGCTGCCTTCAAGCATCTGTTTAACAAAGCACATCTTGCACCGCCCTTAATCCATTTAACCCTGAGTGGACACAGCACATGTTTCAGAGAGCACAGGGTTGGGGGTAAGGTCACAGATCAACAGGATCCCAAGGCAGAATAATTTTTCTTAGTACAGAACAAAACGAAAAGTCTCCCATGTCTACCTCCCTCTACACAGACACGGCAACCATCCGACTTCTTAATCTTTTCTCCACCCTTCCCCGCTCTCTATTCCACAAAACCGCCATTGTCATCATGGCCCGTTCTCAATGAACTGTTGGGTACACCTCCCAGACGGGGTGGTGGCCGGGCAGAGGGGCTCCTCACTTCCCAGTAGGGGCGGCCGGGCAGAGGTGCCCCTCACCTCCCGGACGGGGTGGCTGGCTGGGTGGGGGGCTGACCCCCCCACCTCCCTCCCAGACGGGGCGGCTGGCCGGGCGGGGGGACTATGGCCTTATAGTATAGTTTGAAGTCGAGTAATGTAATGCTTCTAGATTTGCTCTTTTTGCTTAGTCACACTTTGACTATGTGGGCTCTTTTTTGGTTCCTTATGAATTTTAGGATTGTTTTTTCTAGCTCTGTGAAAATGATGGTGGCATTTTGTTGGGAATTGCATTGAATTTAGATTGCTTTTGGCAGCACGGTCATTTTCACAATACTGATTCTACCATCCATGAGCATGGGATGTGTTTCCATTTGTTTGTGTCATCTATGATTTCTTTCAGCAGTGTTTTGTAGTTTTCCTTGTAGAGGTCTTTCATCTCCTTGGGTTAAGTATATTCCTAAGTATTTATTTTTATTTTTATTTTTTTGCAGCTGTTGTAAAAGGGATTGAGTTCTTGATTTGATTCTCAGCTTGGTTGCTGTTGGTGTATAGCAGGGCTGTTGATTAGTGTACACTAATTTTGTATCCTGAAAGTTTGCCAAATTCATTTACCAGTTCTAGGAACTTTCTGGATGAGTCTTTAGGGTTTTCTAAGTATACAGTCATGTCATCAGCAAACAGCAACAGTTTGACTTCCTCTTTACTTGTTTGGATGTCCTTTATTGCTTTCTCTTGTCTGATTTTTCTGGCTAGGACTTCCAGTACTATGTTAAATAGAAGTGGTGAAAGTGGGCATTCTTGTCTTGTTCCAGTTCTCAAGGGGAATGCTTTCAACTTTTTCCTGTTCAGTATAATGTTGGCTGTGGGTTTGTGATAGATAACTTTTATTACCTTAAGGTATGTCCCTTCGATGCCAATTTTGCTGAGGGTTTTAGATCATAAAAGGATGCTGGATTTTGTCACATGCTTTTTCTGCATCTATTGAGATGATCATGTGATTTTTGTTTTTAATTCTTTTTATGTAATGTGTCACATTTATTGAGTTGTGAATGTTAAACTATCCCTGCATTCCTGGTATGAAACCCATTTGATCATGGTGGATTACCTTTTTGATATACTGCTGGATTCGATTAGCTAGTATTTTGGTGAGGATTTTTGTGTCATGTTCATCAGGGATATTGGTCTATAGTTTTCTTTTTTGTTATGTCCTTTCCTAGTTTGGCATTAGGGTGATACTGGCTTCATAGAATGATTTAGTGAGGATTCCCTCTTTCTCTATTTTTTGGAATAGTGTCAATAGTATTGATACCAATTCTTCTTTGAATGTCTGATAGAATTCAGCTGTGAATCCATCTGGCCCTGGACTTTTCTTGTTGTTACCATTTCCATTACAATTACTTCTAACTACCACTTCAATCTCACTGCTTGTTATTGGTCTGTTCAGAGTTTCTATTTCTTCCTGGTTTAATCTAGGAGGGCTGTATATTTCCAGGAAATTATCCATCTCCTATAGGTATTCTAGTTTATGCACATGAAGGTGTTCATAGTAGGCTTGAATGACCTTTTGTATTTCTGTAGTATTGGAATGTTTCCCATTTCATTTCTAATTGAGCTTATTTGGATCTTCTCTCTTTTTCTTGGTTAATCTCGCTAATGGTCTATCACTTTTGTTTATCTTTTCAAAGAACCAGTTTTTGTTTCATTTTTCTTTTGTATTTTTTTTGGTTTCAATTTCATTTAGTTCTGCTCTGATCTTGTCATATTACCAGAATAGCTTTACTGGTTCCTTCTCATTTGGGTAGACTACGTCAGAGTGAATATCTGGGACTCAAGGGCTGCTGTTCAGTTTCTTTTGTGCCTCGGGGTGCTCCCTTGATGTGCTGCTCTCCTTTCCCCTAAGGATGGGGCTTCCTTAGAGCTGAACTGCAGTGATTGTTATTTATCTTCTGGACCTGGCCACCCAGTGGAGCTACTGGGCTCTGGGCTAGTACTGGGGAGTATCTGCAGAATCCCGTGATATGATCCGTCTTCAGGTCTGTCAGCCATGGATTCCAGCACTTGCTTTGGTGGAGGCAGCAGGGGAGTGAAGTAGACTCTGTGAGGGTTCTTGTATTTTTGTTAACTGCACTGATTTTGTGTTGGTTGGCCTCCAGCTAGGAGTTGGTGCTCTCAAGAATGCATCAGTATACGGAGGATCAGGCAGTGGGTGAGACCTACTCCTGGCCTTAAAGCTCCCAAGAGATTATGTATTTTGTATTTGGCTGTCAGGGCGGGTAGAGAAAGATCATCAGGTAGGGGCAGGATTGGGTGTGTCTGAGCTCATACTCTCCTTGGGCCAGGCTTGCTAAGGCGGCTATGGGGTCTGGGGGTGTGGTTCCCAGGCCAATCGAGTTCTGTTCCCAGGTGGATTATGGCTGCCTCCGCTGTGTCACACAGGTTGCTGGGGTGTGGTTCCCAGGCCAATCAAGTTCTGTTCCCAGGTGGATTATGGCTGCCTCCGCTGTGTCACACAGGTTGCTGGGGTGTGGTTCCCAGGCCAATCGAGTTCTGTTCCCAGGTGGATTATGGCTGCCTCCGCTGTCACACAGGCTGCTGGGGTGTGGTTCCCAGGCCAATTGAGTTCTGTTCCCAGGTGGATTATGGCTGCCTCCTCTGTGTCACACAGGTTGCTGGGGTGTGGTTCCCAGGCCAATCGAGTTCTGTTCCCAGGTGGATTATGGCTGCCTCCGCTGTGTCACACAGGTTGCTGGGGGTGTGGTTCCCAGGCCAATCGAGTTCTGTTCCCAGGTGGATTATGGCTGCCTCCACTGTGTCACACAGGTTGCTGGGGTGTGGTTCCCAGGCCAATCGAGTTCTGTTCCCAGGTGGATTATGGCTGCCTCCGCTGTGTCACACAGGTTGCTGGGAAGTAGGAGAAAGCTGGCAGCCACAGGCCTCACCCAGCTCCCATGCAGCCCACAGCCCTAAAGGCCGGTTTCACTCCCACCATGCCCCACCAACAGCAATGAGTTTACTTCCAGGAAGCTGGTGAGCAGGGCTGAGAACTTGCTCCAGGCTACAAGCCTCCCAGCTGAGAAAACGAGCGAACTCACAGTTCCTCGACTGTCCCATGGAGCCTGCAGTGGCAATCCGCCTCCTTCAAAGGGTCTGTGGACTTTCTCGGCTTTCCTGGTATGTTCCTGTGGAAGTTCTTGGAGCAAAAGTTCACGATGTGGGTCTCCATACACTGCTCTGTTCATCTGAGTGGGAGCTGCAAATTAGTCCTGCCTCCTATCCGCCATTTTTCCTCAGCATCCTCTTCTTTCTTTTCTTTTTTTTTTTTTTTTTTTTTTTTGAGACGGAGTCTCGCTCTGTCGCCCAGGCTGGAGTGCAGTGGCGGGATCTCGGCTCACTGCAAGCTCCGCCTCCCGGGTTCACGCCCTTCTCCTGCCTCAGCCTCCCGAGTAGCTGGGACTACAGGCACCTGCCACCACGCCCGGCTAATTTTTTGTATTTTTAGTAGAGACGGGGTTTCACCGTGTTAGCCAGGATGGTCTCGATCTCCTGACCTCGTGATCCGCCCGCCTCGGCCTCCCAAAGTGCTGGGATTACAGGCGTGAGCCACCGCGACTGGCCCCTCTTCCTTCTTAAAAGCTGGACCACGCCTGTAATCCCAGCACTTTGGGAGGCCGAGGCGGGCAGATCACAAGGTCAGGAGATCAAGACCATCCTGGCTAACATGGTGAAACCCCGTCTCTACTAAAAAAGTACAAAAACAATTAGCCGGGCGTGGTGGCGGGCGCCTGTAGTGCCAGCTACTTGGGAGGCTGAGACAGGAGAATGGCATGAACCTGGGAGGTGGAGCTTGCAGTGAGCCGAGATCGCACCACTGCACTCCAGCCCGGGCGACAGAGCGAGACTCCGTCTCAAAAAAAAAAAAAAAAGGCTGGAAAACTGGAGATTATTTTGAGGCCAGGCGTATTCATGTTCAGGCCAACAGGTACTAGCTGAGCCTTGTGCTAGTCACAAGAGAAGCAGCAAATGACAAGGGGAGGACAGGAGTCTGTCAGGCCAAGCACTGGTCCCTTATGGAGACAAAGAAGAATGAGCCGGACCACAGCTATGAGGTTGACCTAATGGTTTCTCTTGCAGGCACAGTGCCATTGCATTTCCTACAGGGCCCCACTTAGGAGGCACTTCTATCACTCTATCGCACAGATGCAGAAACTGAGGCTCGGAGAGGTTAAGGAACTTATCCCAGTTAGTAAGTGGTGCCGACAAGAATCAAATTTAGACAGTTCTGACAGAAAGCCATGTTTGTAATCACCACATATTCATGCTCCTTCTTAGCACAGGGTGGCTAAAAAGCTCAAACAAGCCAAGATTTAAATACCACAAAGAAGATCCAAGTGACCTGTGAGGAGGAGACTGCCAGTGGATGGGCGATCAGGAAGACTTTGTAGGAGAGGAAAAATATTTTTTTCTCAGTTCTCATAAGTTCTTAGTTGGAATGGGCAGATGAATAAGAGAAAAACAAGCAGATGTTAATTAACATGTATATTTCTTATATACATGGGAGACACCCAGGGAATAAGTAGCTTTCAAAGAGGTGGCTTTGAATTCCAGCTTATATAGTGTCTTCAACAAAGAACAGTAAAGTTTTAGAGACATGACAAGGGAATTAAAAAGGACTTTGAGTCTCTAAGAGTAGTGACTTGTGGAAAGGCGAAATGTCAGATAAAGGCTAGTTTGTAAAGCTTGTTAATGTAGATTCCCCTGGTGCCATCTCCAGACTGATAAGAGTCTTAAAGTTGTCTTCGCTGGTTGACCTTTGTCCTCTCTGGTAGACGCAGTGGGGGTGAGGAGTAGGGGTTAGGGTAGCGAGGGGGTTTCCTTCCACCTGTGGGAAGAGGCATTCACATTTTAAGATTGGGAGCAGGAGGCCTGATGTGATTACAGCTGTGATGTAAAACCGACATTCAATGATATTTTAATATCTCATACCTGTAATCTTTTTAAAAACTTGGGAAAACAACTTATAATTTTTACAAGAACATTAATAAAAATAACAAGTTGCACCTACTATAGCCACTATTTCATAAAAGAAAGGCCATTTTTACATTTCCTCTCCACTCAGTGAGCATGATCTCAGAAGAAAGGACTGCCTTTCTCAAGAATGAAGAGTTAACAATAGCATCCCAACATATTTAAATATCAAGCCCTGGGCTCTCGATTTTCTAATTTAATTTAGCTCATCATTAAAACTGGCACTGGTCTAAGGACCAACATGTAGAAACCACCGCTCTGAAAGATCTGGCAGTAGCATAGAAGGCAGATTGGAGCTGGGGAAGAGAGACTTTTTTATTCTTTTTTTATTTTTATTTTTTGAGATGGAGTTTCTCTCTTGTTACCCAGGCTGGAGTGCAATGGCGTGATCTTGGCTCACTGCAACCTCCACCTCCCCAGTTCAAGTGATTCTCCTGCCTCAGCCTCCCAAGTAGCTGGGATTACAGGTGTGCGTTATCACACCCGGCTAATTTTGTATTTTTAGTAGAGACAGGGTTTCTCCATGTTGGTCAGGCTGGTCTCGAACTCCCGAACTCAGGTGATCTGCCCACCTCGGTCTCCCAAAGTGCTGGGATTACAGGTGTGAGCCACCGTGCCCCGCCCGAGACTTTTTTTCTTAAGGAGATTGTCTTAGTCACCTCAGACTGCCATAACAAAATACCACAGGCTGGGTGGCTTAACCAACAGGAAGAATGTATTTGCTCCCAGTTCTGGAGGCTGTGATCAAGTCTCAGATCATCCACTTGCTGGCTGGCAGACAGCTACCTTCTCACTGTGGCCTTTCCTTGGTGTCTGTGCAGGCACGGGGACAGTGAGAGCTCTCTGGTGTCTCTACCTCTTCTTATAAGGACACCAATTCTATTGTGTTAGGGCCCCACCCTTATTTAACCTCAATTACTTTCTTATAGGCTCTATCTTCAAATACAGCCACACTGGGAGTTAGGACTTTGATATGTGGATTGTGGAGGGATTCAGTTCACACAGAGCTATTGCAATGGTTTGGACAAGCAGCTCTAATTGGGGAAGGGGGAAGCCTGTAGGCATGGGAAGGAGAGGTCAGGCGTGTCACGTGCGTCTGTGTGAAAAGACCACCAAACAGGCTTTGTGTGAGCAACAAGGCTGTTTATTTCACCTGGGTGCAGGTGGGCTGAGTCTGAAAGAGAGTCAGCGAAGGGAGATGGGGTGGGGAGGTTTTATAGGATTTGGGTAGGTAGTGGAAAATTACAGTCAAAGGGGGTTTCTCTCTTTGGGCAGGCGTGGGGGTCACAAGGTGCTCAGTGGGGGAGGTTCTGAGCCAGGAAAAGGAATTTCACAAGGTTAATCGCTCAGTTAAGGTGGGGCAGGAATAAATCACAATGGTGGAATGTCATCAGTTAAGGCAGGAACTGGCCATTTTCACTTCTTTTGTGATTCTTCACTTGCTTCAGGCCATCTGGATGTATATGTGCAGGTCACAGGGCATACATTGGCTTAGCTTGGGCTCAGAGGCCTGACAAGGCACAGAAGGAGCTGGGATAGAGGTGCAAAGTACTCATGCTGACCTGACATCCCATGCCCACGGCAGACATGACTACTTGATCGGACAATACTTTCTTGGAATCAAAGACACAACTTCACAGTCCTCAGCATCATAGTTCAGGCAGCCTGTATCAGTAGATCAGAGTGGGCACATGGCCTGGTGCTATCACTCCATCCTGTGAGGGGAGATGGGATTGGAATGGAGGTGGAGGAGTCACAGGTGGTCCTGATATCACAGGCCTGGGAGTCTGAAAGAAGTGCAGTAGGTAGTATTATGGCCCTCAAAGACATCTGTGTCCTACTGTCTAGAGTCAATTAAAGTGTTACCTAACATAGAAAAAAGGATTTTGCAGGTGGGATTAAACTAAGGATCTCAAGATAGAAAGACTCTCCTGGAGTATCCAGTTGTGTCCAATGTAAGAACAAGCGTTCTCAAAATAGGGACACAGGAGATTGAATTGCAAAGGAGATGTGCTGATAAACGGAGAGGTTGGAGTGATGCCGCCATGAGGCAAGGAATGTGGGTGGCCTCTAGCAGCTAGCAATGATTCGGAAATGGATTCTCCCCCAGAGTCCAGAAAGATCACAGCAGTGCTGACACCTTGATTTGAGCCCAGTGTCACCTCTGTCAGACTTCTGCCCTATAGAACTGTAAGAGGATAAATTTGTGTTTTAAGGCACAAAGTTTATGGTAATTTGTTATAGCAGCAATGGGAAACTAATACAAGAAGGGTTGTGTTATCAACAGAAATACAGCAATCAGAAGAAAGATGGTTGGGGAGAGCAGAGGGTGGGGTGGGAAGGTGATGGATTCTGTTTGGGACATTCTGGGTGTCATATGAATATTATTGGGGAACTGTCCATCAAAAGCTCAGACTTCAAAGAAAGAAAGGAAGGAGCAACAATATTTTGAAAGGGAGAAAGTAGGTAATATTCAATATGTGTTGAGTACCTACAAGGTTTTTAGTTCTTTCACCAAGTTATTTTATTTAATTTTTATGGCATCAAGGGGTGTTTTTTTTTTTTCTTAAACCAAATTTTCTCAGTTAAGCATCCCATGTAAGTGGCCAGGGGTTAAGAGATGTGACTAAGACTAGACAGAGTGATTTTCATCATTACATGGTACTATGGTTCTACTGAAGCACTGAGGAAGGAAGTCAAGAGAGTTCCTGAGAAATGTCTGGAGTCTTAGTAACATGCAAAGTGAGGCAGAGGTATTGTCAGTGTTAGCTGGTCACTTTGAAAGGTTAGAGGTAAATAAAGTTCAGGGCAATGGTACTTGGAGAGGAGTGAATCTTTGGTAACCTGGAGGAGATGCTTCTCAGAGGAAAATTTCTTCACAGCATGAAGTCACCAGCTCTAAGACTAGTGGGTGTTCTGGGGGATGTTAGCAGTGACTCACTGACTGTTGGCCCAGTGAGGGGAGGGATGAAAGGCTGGGTAGTGGGTAGAGAATCTGACTCCTCCTGCCCCCACATGTCTATTCCTGGGCCTTCTCATGGTGGGGGCAAAAGGTATGCAAAGGGATTTCCGCAGTGTCTGAGTGCTCCCAGGAGACGGAAAAGTAACTGATGACTTGGAGTTGGAGTCTTGTTGGCTCAGGCAGCTGGGGCGTTTTGGGATTTCAACACCTCCCTTTAGTTTCTATGTATGGTGCTGAGCAAGTAGTCAAAGACTTTGGTCTTGCTTTACCCCAGTAGCCCACAAGCCTGAGTACATGGCTAACATTTATTGGGCACTTAGTGTGTGCCAAAGAGCTTTATGAGACAGGTTCTTTTTGAGTCCCATTATACTGATAATGGGACTGATAAGAAACAGAAGGTCAGAAAGGCCCAGTAACTTGGGCAAGGTCATGTAGCTAGTAAGTGGTCCAGCTGAAATTTAAAACCAGGTTTATCCAACTCCAAATCCCACATCTGATTTATTTTGCCATGAATTAAAACATAGTTCTGATTTTGAGAAACTCCCAGTCCCAGTGGGAAAACAGATGGAATCACAAATTACCATAACACAGTGTAGTGATGTAGATATAAAAACAAAGACATGGGAACCCTGAAAGGAAGTTGTAACACCAATAGAGGAATGCACGGAGGAGATCTTTCAGAGGAGGTAGCCTCGTAGCTGGGCTCAGGGGTGGATGAGTTTCTGGCTAGAAGCGCATTGTGGGTAGAGGGAGAACATATATAGAAAGGCATGAAGATGGTGGACATGTTTGGAAAGAGTGAGTACTAGACTGATGAACACGATGAGTCAGGAGCTTATGACGTCAGGGGCTACTGCTAGCCTAGCTAATGACTGAAGATTCTGTGAAAAGAAAACCCTAACATTTCCAGCTGAGTACTAGGGCCATGGTGATTATATATCATCTCTCATGACAACACAAATGTTTGGGCTTACTTATCATCCTGCTCAGTAATCATTATGTCACTCATTAAAGATGTATCAGGGTAAATTTTAGGTGAGAATTGATTAGAAATGTAAACTCTATATATGTAGTTACAGGCTTCACAGTTTGCCACTCAAACAATATGGTCATCCAATCATGAGGCACAACCTTCTGCTCAGAACTTTTTTATAATTGGGAGAAAGTGACATCCGAGTTCCATCTCTTCTGAGAACTGTGCAGCTCAGAAATCTTCTTCCCTTTTTTGATCCCCCAGTTGGGTGAGATGACATTAACAGTGTGTTATAAGCACTTTTCATGTTTACTACCCCATATTCAAAATTAAGCATTTCAAACAACTGTATAATTGTCTATAAATGTAGCATTATTAGTTAATTTTCCTTTTAACACATTGAGGTTACCTCTAATGTTTTGCTATTTTTAACTATGTTGAAATAATCATGTGGTTTTTATTCTTTGAATTATTTTATATTGTAATGTTCCCTGAAATGAAATTAGTTGATCAAAAGATGAGTAATCTTTTCATGACTTTTGATACATGTCACTCAATCACCTTCTGGAAGAGTTGGAACAAGAGCCTATTGCTGGCATCCCATTTCATAGCCATCTCACCAATGTTGGAAAATGGGCTTTTCCTATTTTCTGCTAATTCATTAGTTGTTAATGGCTTATTTTAACTATTAATCCCTTGTTATTGATGAAAGTTAAGCATTTTCTGTATTTTTATTTTCTGTCTAAATTCTACTTTTTGCACAATTTCCTTTGCTCACTTCTTCACTGGAATTTAGTATTTTTCTTTCCAATTTGTATGACTCCAAAATCAGTGATAAAATAAGCAAAGGGTCTTTCTTAGAGGCTAAACAAGGGAATGAATAAGGAACAAGAACAGCAAAGGGATAGTGAATAAAGATACAAAATAATAACTTATTTTTATTTTTGAAGCTTTCCCCAGGCAGTAATTCTTGACCTTTTTAAGATTATAAATTATTTTGAGATATGCATTCTTATCCTCAAAATGAATTAGTACATAAAATTTAAATGGGTTGATAGATCCCCTGAAGTGTATCCACAAAATGCTCTCAGGTTAAGCAACATTGTTCTATAATAACTGCTTTAACCAAAATGTTTAATTATTGCTTGTGTTTACCTGTCCTAGCAAAGAGCTAATTGTTAAATTTTGTGTTAGAGGGTCAATATTATAAATAACTTAATGTGGCCTCTCTTTCCTTTCCTTTTTTTGAGAGTTTTGAGGCTATCACTAAGTGGGCTTTAGAGTACCAGGTGGGAATCTGACCTCACTGCTCAAACTTTCAACTTCAGGCATGAAGTGGTCCCAGTGATGTGGGAACCTCAGAGTCTAAAACAAAAATAGTAGACTGAGGCCCTCAGAAACCAGACTTATCAGATTCAGAATTTAATATAACTATGTTTGAAAGATTTAAAGAAAATAAATCAAATTAAAAAGTGAGCAAGAAGCAAGAATAACAAATGAACTGGCATATTTGAGAAAGAATTTTGAGCTTTTAGAAATAATACATACAGTTATTGAAGTAAAAACTCAAGTCAATAGGTTTAAACAGCAAAATGAATATAGTTAAAGAAAACTATTGTGCTGAAAGATTTAAAAAACTATTACACAGAATGCAAAATGATGAAATAGGGTAATTTAATATATGGCAGATATGTTAAGACACTATGAGGATAGTATGAGAAGACCTGATAGACATCTAATCACAGCACCTTAAGGTGAAAATAGAGAGAGTGCACCAATATTGAGGAGTTAATGTCTGAGACTATTCCAGAACTGATAAATAGATGAATCTACAGATCTCAGAAACACAGCTTTTACAAAGGATAAATGAAGAGAAATTCACCAGAGATACATTGTAATGAATCTGTAAATCACCAAAGCTAAAGATATTATTTCACAAGTGGAATGACAGCTGACTTCTCAACAACAACGAAAGCAAGGAGACAGTTGAAAGACATCTTGAAAATGGTGAGAGAAAAACTAACTGTTAATATAAAATTGTGTACCTATCAAAAATATCTTTTGGCCAGGCGTGGTGGCTCACGCCTATAATCCTAGCACTTTGGGAAGCCAAGGAACGTGGATCACTTGAGGTCAGGAGTTTGAGACCGTCCTGGCCAACATGGTGAAACCCCATCTCTACTAAAAATACAAAAAAAAAAAAAAATAGCCATGTGTGGTGGTGTGCACCTGTAATCCCAGCTACTTGGGAGGCTGAGGCAGGAGAATCGCTTGAACCCAGGAGGTAGAGGTTGCAGTGAGCTGAGATCATGCTGCTGCACTCCAGTCTGGGTGACAGAGTGAGACTGCCTCAAAACCAAACCAAACCAAACCAAACCAATCTTTCAAGAAGTACACCATAAAGACATTTCTGGATAAACAGTGAATGAGATTACTTCCTAAACGAATATGTAAGGATGTTTCTTTTTAAAATTTTTTTTGGGTGTATTCATCACCTCAAGCATTTATTCTTTTGTGTTGTTACAACTGATAAGAATATCTAAGGATGTTTCAAAAGGAAGAAAAATGATCCCTAAAGTCTGGTATATTAGTTTCTTATTAGTTGCTCTAAGAAATTACTGCAAACTTAGTGGCTTTAAAAAACACGAAATTATCTTTCAGTTCTGTAGGTCAGAAATTTAACCTCCTGATTTCTGGTCAGAAGTCTTACTGGGCTAAAATCAGGGTATCAGCAGGGCTGCTGGAGGCTCTGGAGATGATGTTTCTCTAATTTCTAGAGGCATTTGCATTCCTTAGCTAGTGGCTTCTTCCCACATCTTCAAAGCTAACAGTGGCAGTCGAGTCCTTCTCTTATCTTTTTTTTTTGGGGGGGGTTATAAATTTTTTTTATTATTATTATACTTTAAGTTTTAGGGTACATGTGCACAACGTGCAGGTTTGTTACATATGTATACATGTGCCACATTGGTGTGCTGCACCCATTAACTCATCATTTAGCATTAGGTATATCTCCTAATGCTATCCGTCCCCCCTCCCCCACCCCACAACAGTCCCCAGTGTGCGATGTTCCCCTTCCCTTCTCTTATCTTATCACTCTGACCTCTTCTGCCTCCTTTCTCTACTTTTAAGGACCCTTGTGATTAGATTGGGTCCACCTAAATAATCCAGGATAATCTCTTTATTTTAAGGTTAGCTGATTAGCAACCTCAATTCCATCTGTAACCTTAATTTCTTTTTTGCCATGTAACCTAACATAGTCACAGGCCCAAGGGAATAATAGGATGTGGGAATTGCGGGTGGTGGAGTAGGGGCATTATTCTGCTTACCACAGGGGACCTTGGATGTCAGTAAAAAATGGTGAGGAAGAAAACAGGAAACGTAGAATAATCTAAACAAATCTTTGAAAAATAAGTCGAAATGTGGGGTTAGAAAAAGGGCAGAACTAAAATGTTAAGACAAATTAAAATGTTAAGCCTATAAGTTGAGAGGGAGATGATCAAGGTTAAAAATACTCATAAATCATATTTTTTTGGGTAGGGGGTTAGATATTTATTAATTTTAGACCCTGAGAAGTAAAATAGTCATGACAAAAATTTAATAGTAACCACTAAAACAAGAGAAACAGAGTATATAACTTCTAAATCAATATGGGAAGGGGAATGGAATAAGAAAACAATAGCAACCACCAACACCCCACCCAAAATAAATAATAAGGTGAGAGAGAAAAAGAAGCATTGAAAAGGGGCTAAAATAAAATAAAAAATTAAGTCATGCCCGTAATCCCAGCACTTTGAGAGGCCAAGATGGGTGGATCACCTGAGGTCAGGAGTTCGAGACCAGCCTGACCAACATGGGGAAACCCCATCTCTACTAAAAATTCAAAATTAGCTGGGTGTGGGGGTGCATGCCTGTAATCCCAGCTACTCTGGAGGCTGAGGCAGGAGAATCGCTTGAACCCAGGAGGCAGAGGTTGTGGTGAGCAGAGATTGTGCCATTGCATTCCAGCCTGGGCAGCAAGAGCGAAACGCCATCTAAAAAAAAAAAAAAAAAAATTAAGATAGTAAAACAAATCCAAATACATTAAAGATTACAAAAAATGAAAATGAACTAAACTTCCTAGTTGAAAGACATATTGTCAGATTGGATTTTAAAATCTGGCAATGATATTTCCAGGACACAGTCCTAAAATATTAAACACAGAAAAGTTGAAAGTAAAGGGATGGAAGAACACAGTCAAACTAACTAGAAGAGAGCTGGGTTCACCCTTTTATATCAGAGCAGAATTTCACTGAGAAAACACTAACAGGAAGGGGGAAAGGCACAACATAGTGATGAAGCACTTAATTCTCAACAAATGTATGACACTTCTAAACTATTATGACTGCAAAAAAAAAAAAAACCTCAGCATATATAAAATTTTGGAAGAGCCATGGCTATCAGCTGACATGCACTTACCATATTTGCATTGTCCTACTACAAACTTTACCCATATGACCAAGGTGCTGTCTTCATCCCCATTTTACAGATGGGGAAATTTCCCCATAGAGAAAAAGATTTGGGCCATGCCTTGGTTTCTTCTTGACTCTGCTTCCTGCTGATTGATCCTCACACCTCACCTGGAGACCTACTTCACATTATCCATCAGGATGAGAACTGGTGTGCCTTTACCAAAGGACCACAGTCACCTTCAAAACGTGTTTAGATAGATCTGGATGGAGACTTATGTGGTTGCAGATGAAAAAAAAGTCCCCATGGTATATCTGACTCCATGTCATTCACTGCATGAACACTCACACACATGCACACGTACACAGGCAAACACAATCCTGTTCTGGTCCGGCAGTAGTGCCAACACTCAAATCCCAGGTCCTACTCTGAAGCCTTTGAGGAAACCATTGTCATTCTGGGGTTTATGGGAATATTTCTTCTTGGTGCCCCTTGTTCCTCACAGAAGCTTTTTTTCTGTGCTGTGGGCTTGCTATCCTAGCTTTCCAAGCTATCCTAGTTTTGCAAATTTCTCTGATCAATCACATCAGGTTCTTGGATCATCCCAAAATTAAAGAGGTACGTTTTGCTGCAAGAGACAAAGACATTCACCTCTCACACAGTTTGAATTCCTGGGTAGAAACAGATTTCAATGCTGGCCAGCCTCTGTAGCTCCCAGTGCCCCCTCAATTATGACTCCCGAGGCATTGGAGCAGGATCCTCACCTTGCGCAAAGATAATTAGGTGTGCTGAAGAAAGCCAGACACTGCTCTTTCTTAGCTCTGCATCCTTAAAAAGTTACCACTACTCCTTCTCTTTGAACCTTTGACTTGTCAATGGTAAAGTGCCTATGATTCTTAAAGGGATAAAAACGCAACCTATATAAAGCACCTGGCATAGTGCCTGGCACAGGTGGGTGTTTAACAAATGTTAACTCCTTTCTATCCCACTGTGGGTGTCCATATCCTCTTGGGTAGGCTGCCTCTGGTTTCCATTGTGTCATCAGAGCCATACTAAATCGATGTGTTGGACATGGATCCCAAGAACTAATTTCTGGAATGAGTTATGCCTACCAACTTCCCTGATACTTACTTCTGTCTCTCCATTTATCAAATGGAAATGTTTGCATTTGGCCTCTGCCAGTTGGAGTAACCAAAAGGCTTAGAGGTTTTGGAGAGGTCCTACACTGCCATCTGTTTGACCACATACTGCCTTTCACGTGTAATAAGCATTGTTTCTTACATTTGTCTAGGAATTAGCAGTTCACAAAGCACATTCGCATATAAGGGCTTGTTTTGAATTGATCTTGGCAGCAATTCTATGAGACAAGTAAAAGGTAGGTCAAGCATTATAATCCTCATTTTAAATCTGGGAAAACTGAATCTCAAAAAGGTTGAAAGACTTGTCTAGGGGACAGTGTGTGGGTAAATGAGAAGTTAAGATTTGCTGAACTGGCATTTCCTGACTACATATCTAGTGTTTATTTATGGAGAAGGCACTACGGTGGCCAAGTGGCTCAGAGTCACACAGCTCTGTGCCTCAGTTTATTTGTCTGTAAAATGAAGATAATAATATATTCTGAATACTGTTGTGGAATTTCATTGAGATAGTTCACATAATGGCATGGATACTGTAGTACACCGCCTAGATTCACAACCCCACGACTATCCATGAGAATGGCCCATAGCTCAAGAGGTCACATTCTTTCCCCAGGTGAAGCCCGCATCCAATGACTGCTCAGTGTGGGTATATAAAGGCCTGGCTCCCTTGCCAGTGCCACCCTACCTCCTGGCGAATGGACTGAGGCTTGCATTATGACTGCATTGCAGCTCAACTGTTCTTTCCATTCAGTCTTTCCTTTACACTCACACAGGTGAGGACCCAGCCATTAAATGCCTCACATGATAACCTCTATTGCATGCTAGGCTTCGTGTGCACACACAAAAACCATCCTCTATCAGTCAGGTCCCTTACTTGCAGAGGCAAAGAGGCCAGTCTGGGTTAGATGTGCACCCTGTTTTTACAACAGAACGAGACAAACAGGTCCTCCTTAGGTGTAAGTTCATGGCCTTGGCCCCACCCCTGAAACTCAGCCATCTGAGACAGTTTTAGGCCTGAGGCAACCCCAGACTTTGGGTTGTTGTTTGCTGGGCACAGCCTCCTTTTGCCAATGTTGCAATCCTTTGTAAGAGACCACAGGTTGATCACCCGTTCCTGTTACTGAGCACAGAGAGGTTTGTAGGCCAGTCTCTCCAGGAATTCTGACGCACTGCAAAATCCCATGGTCTGAATGCTTCTACCTTCCCTGTGAAAGCCCCTGGCCTCAGAAAAGGAAGCTGGTTTAAGTGACCAACATTTGGGGCGGAGCTTCCGAGGGCCCAGCCACCGTGTTACATGCAACACTCAACAGAGATATTCTTTGGCTAGAGTTGTTTTTCTGGGTATAGGACCCTATAATTAAAATCAGCTCTCCAACTTCCCTTCCTCCAAAAAGTATACAATGTAAGGAGGAAAATGCAAATTGAAAAGTTGCTAGTCCTTCCCGCCAGAATGCCACCTCAAGCCTCCCCTGCAGGAAGTTCTGGAGTCCCCAACTCTGCCCCAAGCCTGAGGCCCTTGATAAGGTAAAGGGATGTGAGTGTGGAGGCCGGAGCCCCCCTCGCCCTGTAGGCTGCTCCCCTTGCTTTTCCCTTTGAATGTTACAGTTTAGTTCTGTGACTTACTTATAATTGCCTGAATTCCCCGCCCACGCTTTCTCTTACTTTGGGGCTTCTCACCGTTCCTCTTCCTCCATCTTCCTCCTCTGACCCCACTCCCAAGCCTGAATGGGGTGTTCCTCTTCCGTGCTCCCACAAAACCCTGTGCCTCTTTCATCGTTGCATATATTATGCTGTAATGTAGTTTTCTGGAGGTGTGAAGACTATGAATCCTATGAAGACAAATACACACCTACCTTGCTGACCGTTGTATCCTCAGAATCTAATACTGCACTTGGCACACAGTGGTTGGGAGTAAATATTCATGAGGCAAACACACAGGAAGGACTCTTTTGTTATGGTTGTTTGTTGTTGTTGCAAGTAACATAACCCCACCTTGATCTAGCTGACTGACGGCTCTACCACCTTGTCTTTTGCAGCACAAGAGGAATAGGAACTGCACCTCTTCCTTCAGTTTCAGCTTGAATAATATCAGGAAGATTCGTATCGGTCTGAGTTGGGTCACGTACCCGACGTGCTATAGCTGAGGATGGGGTAAGCTGATTGGAGTTTGCAACACTGTTCACATAGCCAAGATATGGAAAGAACCTAAATGTCAACTGGTGGATGAATGGATAAAGAAATTGTGGTATATACATACACTGGAATATTATTCAACCTTAAAAAGAAGGAAATCCTAACATTTGTGACAACATGGATGGACCTGGAGGGAATTATGCTGAGTGAAATAAGACAGACACAAAAAGACATTTCTTGCAGGAGCTCACTTATATGTGGAATCTAAAATAGTCAAGCTTAAAGAAGAGAGTAGACTACTGGTTGTCAGGAGCAGGAGAAAAGTGGAAATGAAGAGGTGATAGTTAAAGGGTACAAAGTTTCAGTTATACAAGATAAATAAGTTCTGGAGGTTTACTATTAATATATCACATAGTACCTATAAGTAACAATACTGTATTGTATACTTAAAATTGCTAAGAGGGTATATCTTATATGTTCTTACCAATAATAATAATAATGGTAATAATTAAGGGGCAGGAGGACACTTCAAAAGGTGATGGATATGTTTATGGCCTTGATGGTGGTGATGGTTTCATGAGAGTATACTTATCCCCAAACTAATTGAGATGTAAATATTAAATATGTACAGCTTTTTGTATGTCAATCGTACCTCAGTAAAGTAGTTTAAAAATGGTTGGACTGAGAAAAGGAGGAGCTGCTCAGCAACATGAGGCTGGGTGCTGGGCAGACAAAACCTCACACATGCATTACTGAACCCACGGACTCATGTCTGTGAGCTTTGTGGCTGTGGATGCACCATGCCAATGTAGTCAAGGATTCTTCAATGTGTACCTTACTGGATTAGTTCCCTCTGTTTATTTGTATTGACTCCTCAGTTCCCTTATGGGTTGCTTGTTGGCTCTTGTGGAATTATTTAAGTAAGGCTTTGGTTGCAGGAGTCAGACATGCTTAAGCTGGTTTTGGCTGTAATGGGGAATTTGTGAGATGTGACACAGTGACAGGAAGTGCAGCCAGACGTTGTGAGAGGCAGTAACTGGGAATAGGAAAGTTATGAGAAGTTAAGGCAGTAGTAATTGTTTCTCTATCGAAGGCCATAATGTTATCATTCCTGCCTCTATCTGTTTGCTTGTTCTTCTCTCTCAGCAGAATGGTCTTCTCTGCTTCTCTGTGCACCTGCAGAAGGTGACCACCCTAAGGCTTATGGATTCAGGAGTCCTCAGTTTGAGAGCAGTTACCAAATGCCTCGCCCCTGTGAACTCTAGTCCCAGTTTCTTATTCCTGGTACTGGCTTAGTTTGAGGCAGCTGCCCACCGTTAAGTCCAGTGAGCCATGGCCTGGGGACAAGGTCAGGTACATGTGTAATCAGCTGGGTCTGTGAGTTGTGGTGGTGGCGATGGAGGTAGCTCCCAGAAAAATGGATTACAGGTTAAGAAGAGTCTATATATCTTGACCACATTTGATGTGACTTGGAAGTTTCAATGTGTGACCACTTACAAAGTTATGATCAGGTGTCTCATTTATTTATGGTGATGTATGAGTCCGTGTGTGAGTGTGTGTGTGTCTGTGTTTGTGTGTGTGTGTGAGAGAGAGAGAGAGAATGAGAATATGAGTGGTGGTTTCCCATTTATTTTTCTATGGGCCAAATCCTGGGCTATGAGCTGGAGATATAAGAGTAAACAAAATAGACACGGTGCTTGCTGTGACCTGCCCTGGGAGACAGATATTACACGGAGGATCACATAAATGCAGAGTCTGAGCTGAGGTCTTAAGGGTGAGGATAAGTAACTAGTCAGTGGAGCAGGGGAGGGAAGGGTGTTCCATGCCTGTGTCAAGGTCCTGAGGTGAGAGAAAGAGGTGAATTTGAGGAACCAAAAGGAGTTCAGGGAACAAGAGGGGCTGTTTCACAAGCTGAGTCTGGAAGCTGAGCAGGCTGAGCAGATTCTTAGGAACTCTGCAAAAACTTAAGGGCTTGTCTATGACCGTAAACAACTACGGTCGTAGATAAACAAGTTGGCAAACAACTCAAGGATTTACAGTCATCAGAATTGTAAAACTGATCCCATGTATTTTCAAACCTCAAATCCCTTGCTCTGACCTTGTGTGTCTAAGCTAGAAGGAAGCAGGATGCACCTCTCCCCTGGCTGGAATGAAGGGATTCACCCAAGCTCTCAGTCTTCTCACGGCATCCAGGGCCCCCCTGCTTGTGTGTGGTCTAGATTTCCATTCCCATAGTAGGAATTCCTTTGGGAGCCTTGGGGTCTCTCCTGCTAGAGGGCTTCACCTGTGACTGTCTCAATTCAAGGGAGGGGTTCTAATAACATTAAACCTCAATATCTTGCTCCTCCATTCCTGATGCCTCCCTTTCCTTCTACCCTTCCCCTACCTCCTTCTTTCCTATGCCACAGGCTGGCAGGTTAGTGCCAGAGCAAGTGGCCAGTCACCATCATTGGGGTTGTGGATCCTCAGGGTTCTTCAGAAGCCCCTTCACCATGATCAAGAGTCTCCAGTCACTCAGAATTCCACGGTTCCCAAATGCCAGCTCTCCCACTACTCCCAGCGTTCTCCATCTCTGGGATGTTGGGCTCCAGGCTTCTCAGATGCACTGAGTACCCTAGGCTAAGCCACTGATCCATCAGAACTTCATAGCCTGAGAGGAGAGGGAGACAGGCTTGCAAAGGAGAGTTCTGACTAGACACTGGGGTGCTACAGATGCCCGTAAGTTGTCCCTTTACCCTCGATGTCCCCAGTGTTGGGACCACCTGGGAATGCCCAGCCTTGTGTGCTGATTGACTTGTAGTCCCCTGGCCCTGACTGGAAGCCTAGTTTTCTCTCTCATGACCAGCTAGGCCCCTAGCTCCCCAGGGAAGAAATCCAATCTATTTCCTCTGATAGTAATGGCTAATACTTAAATAATGCCAACCACATGCCAAGCACTTTACAGTTGTTAGCCCAGTCTTCACAAGCACCTTGTGAGGTGGGCAAGAGTCTTATCTTACTCTCATTTTATAGATGTGGCCCAGGATCCCACAGCTATAGTTCATGGTGCTGGGATTTGAACCTCTGGCCACCAGAGCCCACCTTAATGTGTCCTCCTCCTGTTGTCATAACAGAAAAGTACAACACCATGATGACACATCAGGCTATCCTGGCAGGTTCCCAGGCTGCCCCAATGCCCAACTTTCTAGGTTTACAAAGTTGACATTTACGAAGTTTCCAGGTTTACAAATCTAGTTTCTGATTCTTTAGTCAGCAGGAATTTCTCTACAAAAGCTGCTTCGAAAATTTCCAGCCAAACCTTACACACCTTGGCATTACATCTTGGTGAGCCAAGGCGGAAGAGAACAGGAAGTGAAGGCCCCATGGGAAGTCCCTGCGGTCGGGAGCACCCAGGCGGGGCGGGGGGTGGGGGGCTTTCCTGTGGCCGGCTCCCTGCCCCTCCCACCCCCATTCAGGCCCTGTGAGTTGAATGAAGAGACCCTGGGAATGAGTCCAGGTCTGCAGGGTTAGAGGAAATTGAAGGCCCTTACCAGATCCCTGTTGAGAAGTTTATGAATTATGAGCCCTTCTGCAAATGAGAGGGTTCTTCCCTGTCAGGAGGGACAGATTGTAGGTGGCAAGATTGGTGGCAGCCAGTAGGCTGGTCTGCTCCTTCCTCTCTATTTCATATGTGTATGAAGGCATTACCTGCAGCAAGGGCCTGTGTAAATGCATGTGATTTACAGAGCATTTTATGTACTGCGTGTCATTCATGCTTCCGGTGAGCCCTAAGTCTAAGATAGGGCAGATAGCATCAGGTCCATTTTGCAGCTGTCAAAATGAGGTCTGAAGGGCAGAAGTGGTGTGCCCACACACACACAACTGGTTGGCTGCAGACCTGGGGACTAGACCCGGGACTTCGTCCTGCCCAGGGGTCTCTTGCCACTGCTCCCCATCAACTTGGATGGCTTTAAGCATTTGTGAGTTGTCTGCTCCCTGATGGCAGAATGCAGAGACATGAAGCTACAAGCAGGTTCGCTCCCAACGGCAAAAAGGAGGAGGGGTGTTCAGAACATCAGGTGCTTCTAGAGAAAGCAGGGAGAGAGTATCTGGCCTTGTGGACAATGTCACGGCAGAGGCCAGGTATAGGGCATGGGGGTAACTGGAAGCGGGATGGACCCTGTTATTCCCTAAGACATGGCTTCCACGTAGTGCTCAAACAAGGCCTTTGCCCTTGCTGTTCCCTCCACCTGGAATATTCTTCCCCTTCCTTGACATTGCTCAGGTCTCCACTCTTATGTCACCCTCTCAGAGAGGGCTTCCCTGGCCACTTTCCCTAAAATAGCCACCCACTCCTAGGTCCCTCAAAAGCATATCCTGCTTTGGATTTTCCCTATAGCAATATGCCCTATGAAGTTATTTTATTTGCTAACTTGTTTCTTGTCTGTTTTCCTTTGTTAGAGCGTTGGGGACCTTGTCTGGCTTGTTCCCAATGCCTGGAAGAGTGCCTGGCACACAGGATTAAGCCAACACATATGTTTTGAATGAATGTGTGCACACATGCATGAGCTGGCGGCAGTCGGGGTTGGGGTAAGCACGAAGGCCCAGCTCAGTTCTCTGCATGTGACCTCCCATCTTACGCAGATAAGAACCAGTTTGGTTTCTGCTAGCCTGAGTCACCCTCCTGGAAACTGGGCCTGCTTGGCATCAAGTCAGCCATCAGCCGGCCCATCTCCTCATGCTGGCCAACCCTCTGTGAGTGTGTGGGAGGGGAGGCTGGGCTCCTCCTTGTACTCTCTGAGGTGCTCTGGAAGGAGGGGCAGCTCCACCCTGGGAGGGACTGTGGCCCAGGTACTGCCCGGGTGCTACTTTATGGGCAGCAGCTCAGTTGAGTTAGAGTCTGGAAGACCTCAGAAGACCTCCTGTCCTATGAGGCCCTCCCCATGGCTTTAGGTAAGCTCCTTCCACTCTCATTTTTTCACCTGAGAAATGAGAGAGGAAAATGTCTACAATTGGTGTTTATCAAATGCTTTCAGGCTCTGGTGAGCAAGCGTCCAGGAAAATGTCAAGCGCATGGAGCTCCAGGCCTGTCTGGGGGATCTGGGCACGGGGAGGCATCCATGGGAGACCATGCAGGCACTCTGAGGCAGGGGCTGCAAGCCTAGTGCCTGCTGGGGCAGCAGGTGAACAGAGAGGTGTAACTGCTGTGACAGAAGTCATGGAGTCCTTGGAGTGTGAGGGTCATTTTCCACTGTTGATAGAATAGGGAAATTGGTGAAATAGCCCTGTTAAATGAGAGAAAGAACAGTGTGAGCTCAATGAGAAATACTAATAGAATGTGGCACTGAGCCACAAGGTCTGAGGGTTGATTGATAAGGAAGGGTGGGGACTGTGGAGAATTAAGGGCTTGGCACAGTCAGTTCCACCAGTTGTCACAAGAGAATGCAGGCTCAGGTGGCCAGAACTTCTCGCTTTTCCAGAAGAGTCCGATATTCTGATTTCATTATATATAGTATTCTGATTAAACCAGACAATAAAGCAAGCAGATAAAATATTTAAATTATAAGCTGCCAGTTTGCAACCTCCGGTTAGGATTTGTGTGGGGCAAAGAAAAAAACTCTCAGGATCATTGGTATGTAGACTCTAATTTTAAGTTTCTAATTTAAAATTGGCCCCTGAGGCTGGGCGTGGTGGCTCACACCTGTAATCCCAGCATTTTGGGAGGCCAAGGTGGGTGGATCTCTTGAGGTCAAGAGTTCAAGGCCTGCCTGGCCAACATGGTGAAACCCTGTCTCTATTAAAAATACAAAAATTAGCTGGGCATGGTGGTGCATGTCTGCAATCTTAGCTACTTGGGTAGCTAAGGCAGGAGAATTGCTGGAACCCGGGAGGTAGAGGTTGCAGTGAATGGAGATCACACCACTGCACTCCAGTCTGGGCAATAGAGAGAGACGCTCTCTCTAAAAAAAAATATGTAAAGATAAATAAAATGAAATAAAATAGGCCTCTAATGAGCAGGCCATTCTCCTTTCTGGGTCTTACTTTCCTTGCACTCCTTTCTGGGTGTTAAGAGGAGGTCTAGAGGAAGCTGGACAACTCTTAGCTTGTAGTAAGCACAGTGGAAGTGTCAGCTCTTAATGGGTCATGGACACGTTACAAGCTAGGCGCCTTGCTGAGCACTTTACATGGTTTATCCCACTGAACCCTCTCAATAACCCTATGAGGAAGGGCTATTATTGCTCACATTTTCAGAAGAGGAAATGGATATAGAGAGATTAGATAATTTGCCCATGGCCAGACAGCTAGTATAAGAGGAGGAGGTGGATTGACTGCAGACATTCTGTCTTCAAACCACTACACTATGCTATGGGGGCACAGAGACTTAATGAAATCATGGAGAGGGGAATTGCTTTGTCAACCACAAGCAGTTATTCCGGGGGCAGCAGATCCTCCCCTGTCCCCCAGTGGGTACAATGGTCCCTGGTGGGTTGTGCTACAATGTTAGCCCATGGTCTTATGTGTTTTTCAAATGTGTAAAGTAGGATGCTGGAACCACTCTTAGAACCAGATACCAATACATTGTGAAGAAATAAATCTCTGTGCTTAAAACTGGTTCATCCCAAAATATTTTGAACTGACACACAATAGGTGCTAAATAAATGTGTGTTAACTTGAATTGGATTGAATTCGGGAAAAAAGTGCAATAAGCTTAGTGAAGACACCATGTTCCCTGGGTAGAGGAACCACATTCTCCATCTAAGGCCAGGAGTATGGGAGGTATCAATGTTTGCCCAGCACAGAACAGGGTGCCAAGAAGAGAAAAGTTGACGGGGTGCATACTCGGACTGGAAACTGGAAGGGTGAGAACAGAGGGTAAAGGATAGAGATGGAACCATGTGCATACACTTTGTGTTACCTTGGACAAGTCATTCATTTCTCTGGACCTCTGCTTTCTCTCTACACAATGGGGTCCCACCACTTCCCTTACAGCTGACTTGTATGAAGAAGGAGGTGGAGGAGGAGGAGAAGGTGAAGACAATGCTGACTCAAAGGGTAAATTATTTTTAGGATCCAAGTTTGAAAACAATTTTAGGCTACTAGATATGAACAACATCTTGATTATGTAGTTGAAGGAAATTAAAGATGAATGGTTTAATTAAAAATTAATCAGAATGAAAACGATTGATTACTAATATATCTGCAATGGTTTATTTTCCTGAGTGGCAGACTCACTAAGGTTTTTGAATACTCCTGTGTGATTGCTCTATGTATGTATGTATGTATGTATGTATGCATGTATCTATCTATCTGTTGTCTAATAAAATGGATCACATCTCTGCTAATAAAAACACTACACTGGCAGGGTACAATTATAATCATTAACTGTGCCTGGAATTTGCAGCAGCAGCCACCAGAGGTACCAGTGCCCTTTAAGGGTTCATAATTTAGAATAATCCAATTATCTGAGTTTTTCAGGGACTGAGGGGTTTGGCAAGGTGTAGAACTTTCAGTAATAAAGTCAAGAAAGTCCTGGACAAACCAAGGTAGTTGGTCACTCTAGTCCATAACCAGGTAAAGAGCTTTCCCTGTAACCTGTGTAAGGTTTTAGAATCATTTCTTTCCTTATTACCAAAAATCCTCCCCAAATTTTCAAGAAATTATGAACTAAATAGTTACTCTATGAGATAGGAGTTCAGCCCAAAAGAAACACCATAAGAACAAATATAATTCTTGCTTATGTTAACCATGCAATGAAGCAGAGAGAAAAAGTCAGTGGCCTCTTTAGGAGGACTGTAGTGTGGGAAGAAATAACTAAACTGGGTTTCAATCCTGGCCTGGCCAGGATCTGGAGCAAGTGAGTTAATCTTTCTAAGCCTTGAGTAGTTTCTTCTTCTTCTTCTTCTTCTTCCTCCCCCTTCTCCTCTTCTTCTTCCTCCTCCTTCTCCTCTTCTTCTTCTTCTTCTTCTTCCTCTTCTTCTTCTTCCTCCTCCTCCTCCTCCTCTTCTTCTTCTTCTTCTTCCTCTTCCTCTTCCTCTTCTTCCTCTTCCTCTTATTCTTCTTCATCGTCTTCGTCTTCGTCTTCTTTTTATTTTCAAAGTGAAAGCAAGTTTATTAAGAAAGTAAAGGAATAAAAGAATGGCCACTCCATAGACAGAGTAGCCTGAACCTTGAGTTCTTCTATAAAGTCACTATGAATTTATACTCATTTTGAAAGTGGGTGTCAATATGTCTGTCCACTTTGCACAGCTGTTATGTGGACAAAAGGAGATCTGTGTGAAAGTGTAACACAGAGCCTAAACTATAACAGGTAAGCAACACAGTTGTCCCCTTCCCCATGGTGTCTGTTCTTCTCCATTTCCTCCTGTCTGCAGGGGGATTATAAAACTAATCATCAAAGCCAAGAAGGCAAGAGCAAGCATGTACCGCTGAAAACACAAGATAACTGCATAAGTAATGACTTTCAGTGCAGATTCATAGCTAACCCATAAACTGCTGGGGCAAAAATCATCTTGGAAGGCTCTGAACCTCAGAAAGGATTCACAGTAAGTTAACCATGTAGATCTGAGAGGAGAGTAGCTTCTTGTAGATAACAGTTGGATTATATACCATGTCCTGATCCCCTTCATCATCCAGGAGAGCAGAGGTGGTCACCCTGATAGCAGCAAGCCTGGGGGCTGCAGCTTGGTGGGTAGAGGTACTCAGGGGTACAGATGTCTCCAAACCTGTCCTGCTGCCTTAGGGAGCTTCTAATAAGTTGATGGATTTGGTTAAAATTAACTTGGCTACTTGGCAGGACTGGGTCAGTGAGGACCAACAAAAAGAAGACATCAGATTATACCCTGGGGGTTTGTATTTCTTGTGTTTCTTTCTCTTCTTTGTACTAAAATATTTACCCATGACTGGGAAAGAGCAACTGGAGTCTTTGTAGCATTATCTTAGCAAAAATTTACAAAGTTTGGAAAACAATATTGCCCATATTGTGTGGTGTGTCCTGTGACACTCAGGATTCAAGTGTTGGCCGAAGCCACTAAATGTGAGATGAAGCCATTACAAGGCAGTGTGCACATCTGTCCACCCAAGCTGGATGCCAACATTTCACAAATAGTGCTTGCGTGACACAAATGCAGTTCCAGGAGGCCCAAATGAAAATGTTTGTACTGAAATTTGTTAAAGCTTCCCGACAAACTAGATTTATCAGTAAGGATTGTTTTCTGCAAGGGGGATGAAACTTGTGGGGTGAGCCATTTGGGCTGAGGAGGAGGGAGGTTGGAGCTGAGAAATGTGGAGACAATTTCCCTTTAGAAGGACTGAATCTCCCTGCCTCTCTGGGGTGCGGCAGCCAGCAGGATCCAATGGTGTATATGTCTCCCCAGCTCCCCATTCAGTGATATCATGTCAGTAGCTTGAAATTATCCGTGGTGGGAGTATTATGTCATGGAAATTGGCAAATGGAAACTTTTATTGGAGATTCAATTGTTAAACTTTTACCAGCACAACACTGCCCTGCCTTCAGAGTCAATGACCCTATCCAAGTTTAATCCATCTGTCCACTGTCTCCAACACGATCTTTATAAAACACACCTGACAACATTACCCTTTTATTCAGTTTTTTAAAAGATAAGTTTCCAGCTCATCGGGCTGGCTTTAAAGGCCATTTCTCCTCTGGACCTCACCCAACTTTTCAAATCACTTTTCCTACCCCTACCTCTAAATGCTACTCAAACTCCAGCCATCCTGAATAATAAGACTTTTGAAAAGTAGATTATGGGCTGGGCACAGTGGCTCACACCTGTAATCCCAGCACTTTGGGAGGCCAAGATGGGTGGATCACCTGAGGTCGGGAGTTCGAGACCAGCCTGACTAACATAGTGAAACCCTGTCTCTACTAAAAATACAAAATTAGTTGGGGGTGGTGGCACAAGCCTGTAATCCCAGCTACTCAGGAGGTTGAGGCAGGGGAATTGCTTGAACCTGGGAGGCGGAGGTTGCGGTGAGCCTAGATTGCTCCACTGCACTCCAGCCTGGGCAACAAGAGCGAAACTCCATCTCAAAAAAATAAATAAATAAATAAAGTAGATTACATCAGATACCTCTGGCCTAGGTTGTTTATGACCAACTCTCCTGCTGAGAATAACTAGAAAAGCTAGACAAAACATATTTCCAAAAGATCTCTTTGGAGGCATCAGAGAATGGCCAAGGCTGTAAGGAACTGCCTGAGCCCAGAGAGGTGGAGCCCAGCACTGGTGCCCTTTACTCCTGGGGACATGTGCTGGTTTCAAAAACTTCAGCTGAGTTTTTGAGCATTCATGGAACTTGGTGGGGGAGATGAAATTTGTACCTTAAATCCTGCCTACAGGGAGGGTCCCTGATAATCCCCACCCAATTTGGAAATCTGGGTCAGCCTTCACAGGTACTGAAGCCCTCCTCTGAATGATCTCAAGTCCTGCTAGGGTAGAGGTTACCTGCTTTTGAAAGGCTCCTGGCCTACCTGTGCAGCAGGAGCAAAAGTGAACCATCTCAGGGTACAGATAACAATCATCCAGAGCCTTGAATGACCTCTACTGTGCTTAATATATAGTATTCAGCAGTCAGTAAAAAGGATTTAGGCACATGCAAGATGACCTGTGTATCAGGGAGAAATAGGCAATAAATTGAGATCCAGCAGGGATTTGAATCATGGATTTGAATCAGGGGCAGCCTTCGAAAGAACTGTGGAGAATATACTCAGATTTAAAACATAAGATTGGAATTTTTGGCAGAGAACTAACAACTGTACAAAAAAGGAACCAAATGGAAATCCTAGAACTGAAAGATGCAATTAACCGATGTTGAGAAATAGCCAACATCTATTGAACACTTCCCATGTGGACAGCTGTGCTAAACACTTTACAGGCATCAACATAAGATGTGTCCCCTTACAGCAGTGCAGTGTCCCTCCTAAGACATGGACAGCCTGGTTTCCCTATCTCTCTGCTTCATCAAAACCCCTTTACGTGGGGCTTAGACACTCCTGTTGTCTCTAGTGTCTAGTAGCACAGGGCTCAGCACATGGAAGCCACTAGATACAATTTGATGACCAGGACCTCCGATGAAAGCCATGGGTGCTGATTGGGAAGGCATTGTCTTTTATGTGCTATGGTCTTAAAGCTTCATCCAGGAAGCAGAACTCGGGGGGTGCTGAGGACCCAGAACCGAGAATAAGATTAGTCAGAGATTTCCTGTGGGCAGAAATCATAAGGACGCCAACTGTTTGGGTGAGATAAGACGAAACCAAGAGTGGACTTGTGGCCAGAAGCGTGAGGAAGAGGGAGAGAGCTTCCCTTGTCCCCTTTCTTCCTCTCCCTAAGCCACAGTGATTGACAGCCCCCCCCCTTTGGAGTCAGAGCAGGCTTGAGACTGGACTGGGAAAGGAGGGTGGGTCAGGATACAGAGCAGGAAGGCTGGGAGTGCAGGGCAGGAGCAAGGGGCTGGGGCATTCATTGTGCCTGATCTCTCCCACTTTACCTGGGGTAAAGAAGCATATGCAAAAGCCACGGTGTGAGTATTTCCCAAGTGCCAGGGTCAGGGCATGATTCATCACGTGCAGCATTTCATTCAATCCTTATAGTAACCGATGATGTGGCTTCTATTATTAGCTCTATCAGATAATGAAACTGAGACCAAGACAGGCTCTGCACATTGTGTGGGGTAATGACACAGGGGGATTCAGACCTAGACTCCATAACTCCTGCCCCAGGGACCACCCCCACCCTCACCCTGTGCATGTCGACAAAGGACAGACTGGGCCACTTCTCAGGACACAGCGGGGAAATGACACAGAGCAGGGAGGTTCCAGGAGCCCCGAGCGTCTTTTCTCCAGGAGAATACTCTCTGAATTCAGACTGGGGTCAGAGAAACATTTACCCAGGAGCCGCAGTGTGGGTGGGGCTTTTTACTTGAAACGCTGTCTGAAGGCAGTGGCCAGGATGGAACTCTCCACCCTACCTTGGCAAGCCACTTCTCTTCTGCAATCTGTAAGGACATTGTTGAGAGAATTATGGTCTTCCAATTCCGGAGGGTTGAAGAAAGACAAATAGGAGAGAACCTATCATAGTCAGGTGCTAGCTGCCTTCTCTTTCAGAGAGTGTGAGAATAAAGTGATACACTTGATTATTAGCAAATACTTTGGAAATTTTAAACGCTAATATTCAACACACTCTGGAAGAGGCAAATAAGTAGACAGGTTCATATACATCATCTCCTTCAGCTAGTCCTCACAAAAACAAACAAATGAATAAACAAAATTCTTCTTTGGCCCTCATAGGAAGACACTGTTTCTTGAACGTGTTTCAAAAAGGATGGGTGACTCACTCAAGGTCACACTGTTTATGAGGACAGTACAGGAATACAGACATGCCATTTTGCCTGAAAAAATCCATCACCCAGGGAGGTGACACAATTTTGCAGAAATGTTCTATTTCCTCTGAAGGATACATTCTTTAAACCTTTGGGAAATTCATTCATAGTCTTCCTCCTTTGAAGGATTAACTCTCTGGACACAAAGTGTTTGATTCTGATTTGTTGGTTGGAAGATGTGTTGGTTGAGAGAAAGATTCTGATTTGTTGGTTGAAAATAGACTCATCAAGATCAACTGCTGTAGTAGTAAATATTTTGACATTTTGTCTGTATTCCTGTGCTGCCCTCACAAGCTGCATCACCTTGAGTGAGTCATTCATACTTTTTTGTTTGTTTTTGTTTTGGAGATGGAGTCTTACTCTGTTGCCTAGGCTGGAGTGCGGTGGCGTGATCTTGGCTCACTGCGACCTCCATCTCCTGGGTTCAAGTGATCCTCCTGCCTCAGCCTCCCGAGTAGCTGGGATTACAGGCACATGCCACCATCCCTGCTAATTTTTGCATTTTCAGTAGAGACGGAGTTTCACCATGTTGGTCAGGTTGGTCTTGAACTCCTGACCTCAGGTGATCCGCCCACCTCAGCCTCCCCAAGTGCTGGGATTACAGGTGTGAGCCACCGTGCCCAGCCCAGCCATCATTTTTGAAACACGTTTGAGAAATAGTGTCTTCCTTTGAGGGCCAAGGAGACATTTTTTTTGTTTATTTGTTTGTTTTTGTGAGGACTAGCTGAAGGGGGTGATGTATATTAACCTGCCTACTTATTTGCCTCTTCCCAGAGTGTGATGAATATTAGGGTTTAAAGTTTCTGAAGCATTTGTTAATAAAGCCCGGGGCTGGAGGTCAGAAGACCTGGATTTCTCTGCATACTTTTGCCATCAGCAAGCTGTGTGACCTTGGACAGATCCCTTTTTTGTCTAAATCTTTCTGAGTCTTCTTGAAAACAATGCCAGGTTGGGACAGGATGATTGCCAAGCTCCCGTCCAGCTCTAAAACACTGCAACGTATGCTTCTGCACCAGCACTGTCCATCCTGTAGATCATGCAGAAATTCTCTTCAACTTTTTCCTACCCATAAAATAGGAGCATGCTTACCTTTTTCCTAATGTTCCAGGCCCCGGGTCTAGAATATTGTAAGTAAGGAAGTTAATGTGTATCAGAGCCCATTATGGGCCAGAAGTTCTCCTCTTCCTTCCTACACCTGCTTCCTCCCTCCCTCCCTCCCTCTTTCCCTTCCTTCCTTCCATCCATTTGTGAAGAAGACATGATCACCCTCATTCTGAGAGTGAAGAGACAGAGGCTCAACTAATGAAATGATTTGTTCAAGGTCACACGGGTGGCACAAGGCAAGTGGCAGAGGTTGAATTTAGACCCATTCCTGTCCAAATGCTGAGTTTATGTCATCGTCCCGAGACCATAACTTTAAAGATGTAAGATAGTGGGAAAAGAGTTGATTTCAAAGCACCTCTCAGAAGGACTCACTTTACATCAGGGGTCAGCAGACTCAGGCCAAATCCGGTCCATTCCCCGCTTTTGCAAAGAAAGTTGTAGTGGAACACAGCTAGGCTTATTGATTTATGGATTGCCAACGTCCTTTTGTGAAACAGACAGCTGAGCTGAGTAATCGTGGCGCACAAAACCTAAAATATTTACTATCTCGTCCTTTACAGAATGTTTGCCAATCTATGGTCCGGAGTCCAAGGCTGTCCATTTTTCAAAGAACACAAAGTGACATGAGACTGTCCCATGTGCAGGGAGCCCTATCATTTTATTATGAAAAAACGGCCTTTCTGCTCAAATCTGTTTTTTAAAAAGTCAACAAACAGACTCTGGGTACCTGTCAGGAACAGTAGGGAGTTTGGTTTCCATTGTGCTCTTCTTCCCAGGAACTCAATGAAGGGGAAATAGAAATCTTAATTTTGGGGAAATTGCACAGGGGAAAAAGGGGAGGGAATCAGTTACAACACTCCATTGCGACACTTAGTGGGGTTGAAAGTGACAACAGCAAGGGTTTCTCTTTTTGGAAATGCGAGGAGGGTATTTCCGCTTCTCGCAGTGGGGCAGGGTGGCAGACGCCTAGCTTGGGTGAGTGACTATTTCTTTATAAACCACAACTCTGGGCCCGCAATGGCAGTCCACTGCCTTGCTGCAGTCACAGAATGGAAATCTGCAGAGGCCTCCGCAGTCACCTAATCACTCTCCTCCTCTTCCTGTTCCATTCAGAGACGATCTGCCGACCCTCTGGGAGAAAATCCAGCAAGATGCAAGCCTTCAGGTAAGGCTACCCCAAGGAGGAGAAGGTGAGGGTGGATCAGCTGGAGACTGGAAACATATCACAGCTGCCAGGGGCTGCCAGGCCCCAGAGGGCCTGAGAACTGGGTTTGGGCTGGAGAGGATGTCCATTATTCAAGAAAGAGGCTGTTACATGCATGGGCTTCAGGACTTGTGTTTCAAAATATCCCAGATGTGGATAGTGCGACCGGAGGGCTGTCTTACTTTCCCAGAGACTCAGGAACCCAGTGAGTAATAGATGCATGCCAAGGAGTGGGACTGCGATTCAGGCCTAGTTGAATGTGCTGACAGAGAAGCAGAGAGGGGCACCAGGGGCACAGCCCGAAGGCCCAGACTGATATGGGCAAGGCCTGTCTGTGCTGACATGTCGGAGGGTCCCACTCTCCAGGGACCTTGGTTTCCCCGTCTGTGACATCTGTGACATGAGAGTCACGATAACTCCTTGTGTGCCTTACAGGGTTGTTGTGAAAATTAAATGCACAGATAATAGCGTAACAGTATTCCGTGCATTGTAAAGAGCCTGAAAACCATTATGATTTGAAAATGGAATCGGCTTTGTGAGACCATCACTATTGTAAAGATGTGATGCTGATAGAAATGACAGGACTGCTTGTGCATGCCCTCTGCAGTGTGACATTCCAGCAGTGAAATCATGTTGGGGTGACTTCTCCCCCACTCTGACCTTTATGTTTGTCTGGGCCGAGGCTGCAAGTCGGGCTCTGTGGGTGTATGAGTGACAAGTCTCTCCCTTCCAGATATGGGGACTGTCTGCTTCCCTAGGTTGCCTCTCCCTGCTCTGATCAGCTAGAAGCTCCAGGAGATCCTCCTGGAGGCCCCAGCAGGTGATGTTTATCCCTCCAGACTGAGGCTAAATCTAGAAACTAGGATAATCACAAACAGGCCAATGCTGCCATATGCAAAGCACTTTGGTTTGCCTGGCCACCCCTCGTCGAGCATGTGGGCTCTTCAGAGCCACCTGATGAGGTGGGTACAGTTAGCCACACTTCACAGGTGAAGAGGTGAGGCACAGGTCCCAGGTCAGGCTGGCCAGAGCTCTGTTTATTACGTCTCACAGCTTTGAGTCCTGCTCTCAACCAGAGAGGCCCTTTACCAAGAAGAAAGGATTGGGACCCAGAATCAGGTCACTGGCTGAGGTAGAGAGGAAGCCGGGTTGTTCCCAAGGGTAGCTGCTCCTGCAGGACTCTGAGCAGGTCACCAGCTAATGGAGGAAAGGCTCTAGGGAAAGACCCTTCTGGTCTCAGACTCAGAGCGAGTTAGCTGCAAGGTGTTCCGTCTCTTGAAACTTCTACCTAGGTGCTATGGTAGCCACTAGTCTCAGGTGGCTATTTAAATTTATACTTAAATGAATGAAAATAGAAGAAAATTTAAAATCCAGACCCTTGGTCACACTATCCACATTTAAAGAGGTCAATAGCCACATGTGGTTAGTGGCCACCCTATTGGGCAGTGCAGCTACAGAACATTTTTGCATCCCAGAAAGTTCTTTTGGATGTTGCTGCTCTACAGCATGCTTTGCTGAAACAGAAGTGCCTTCCCTGGGAATCTCAGATGGGAAGCAAGTAAGGAGGGGAGTCAAATGTGGGCTCACTGCTCACCAGCTGTGAGGGTTGGGCCTGCCTCTTAACCATTGTCAGCCTCAGTCTTCTCATCCATGCATGCCGTGGGTATACTAAAATACTATACCCCTGGAAGAGCTGGATGCAAATTTGACAAGTTCTGGGGGACACAGGAAGGTGCCAAGCACAAGGCTGGGCACATGGTGGCTGTGCACTACAGCTGAGTCCTTTTCCTTTTCAGAATCTGGGATGTTAACCAGAAGACCTTCTATCTGAGGAACAACCAACTAGTTGCTGGATACTTGCAAGGACCAAATGTCAATTTAGAAGGTGAGTGGTTGCCAGGAAAGCCAATGTATGTGGGCATCACGTCACTTTGCCCGTCTGTCTGCAGCAGCATGGCCTGCCTGCACAAACCCTAGGTGCAATGTCCTAATCCTTGTTGGGTCTTTGTATTCAAGTTTGAAGCTGGGAGGGCCTGGCTACTGAAGGGCACATATGAGGGCAGCCTGAAGAGGGTGTGGAGAGGTAGAGTCTAGGTCAGAGGTCAGTGCCTATAGGCACAGTGGTCCCAGGGCCACAGCTGGGAAGGGCAAATACCAGAAGGCAAGGTTGACCATTCCCTTCCTCAAGTGCCTATTAAGGCTCCATGTTCCTATGTTGTTCAAACCCTAACTCAATCCCAAATTAATCCACCATGTATAAGGTTGAGCTATGTCTCTTATTCCTGGACACCATACTCAGCCATATTCTGGTCCACACATTAAACAAGCTGGATGACCTTGAAGAAGCTTCACCCACTCTGTTCCTCAGCTTTCCCTTCAGTGGGATGATATCAACTGGACAACAGGATGTGCGATTCTTTTAGTTCCAGCCTTCCAGGATGTTTTCACTCCCCTGTTTGTTGTTGTAGGATGGTATTACCTCCACCTTCCCACCTTCCCTATGCCCTGGTTCTGTCTCCTGTGCCTCGCTCTGAAAGTGGATGAGACCTACAATTCCTGTCCTGGTAGTTCTCCTAATGAACACACTGAAGCACGAGGAAGCTGAGATTTTTGTTGCTACATGAGAGCATGGAGGCCTCTTAGGGAGAGAGGAGGTTCAGAGACTCCTAGGCTCCTGTGGAGCCCCACTCATGGCCTTGTTCATTTTCCCTGCCCCTCAGCAACACTCCTATTGACCTGGAGCACAGGTATCCTGGGGAAAGTGAGGGAAATATGGACATCACATGGAACAACATCCAGGAGACTCAGGCCTCTAGGAGTAACTGGGTAGTGTGCATCCTGGGGAAAGTGAGGGAAATATGGACATCACATGGAACAACATCCAGGAGACTCAGGCCTCTAGGAGTAACTGGGTAGTGTGCATCCTGGGGAAAGTGAGGGAAATATGGACATCACATGGAACAACATCCAGGAGACTCAGGCCTCTAGGAGTAACTGGGTAGTGTGCATCCTGGGGAAAGTGAGGGAAATATGGACATCACATGGAACAACATCCAGGAGACTCAGGCCTCTAGGAGTAACTGGGTAGTGTGCTTGGTTTAATCTTCTATTTACCTGCAGACCAGGAAGATGAGACCTCTCTGCCCTTCTGACCTCGGGATTTTAGTTTTGTGGGGACCAGGGGAGATAGAAAAATACCCGGGGTCTCTTCATTATTGCTGCTTCCTCTTCTATTAACCTGACCCTCCCCTCTGTTCTTCCCCAGAAAAGATAGATGTGGTACCCATTGAGCCTCATGCTCTGTTCTTGGGAATCCATGGAGGGAAGATGTGCCTGTCCTGTGTCAAGTCTGGTGATGAGACCAGACTCCAGCTGGAGGTAAAAACATGCTTTGGATCTCAAATCACCCCAAAACCCAGTGGCTTGAAACAACCAAAATTTTTTCTTATGATTCTGTGGGTTGACCAGGATTAGCTGGGTAGTTCTGTTCCATGTGGTGGAACATGCTGGGGTCACTTTGGAAGCTGCATTCAGCAGAGTGCCTGGCTTGCGCTGGGCATCCAAGGTGGTCCCTCATCCTCCAGGCTCTCTTTCCATGTGATCTCTCAGTGTTTAAGAGTTAGTTGGAGCTTCCTTACAGCATGGCGGCTGACTTCCAAAAGGGATTATTCCAAAAAGAGCCTCAACATGCAGGCGCTTATTATGACTTCTGCTTGCATCATCCTATTGGCCAAAGCCAGTCACGTGGCTAAGTCTAGCCCCCTGTGAGAGGAGACTGCATAAGAGTGTGAACACCAGGAGACACGGTCACTGGGGGCCACCACTGTAACCATCTACCACAGGACCTGAATCTCTGTGTGCTACTCCCTTGCTCAAGGGCCCCCCTACCCACGCAGACCTGCTGTCTTCTAGCAAAGCCCATCCTCAGGACCTTTCTCTTCCAATCCTTATTGACTCAAATTGATTAGTTGGTGCTCCACCCAGAGCCCTGTGCTCCTTTATCTCATGTAATGTTAATGGGTTTCCCAGCCCTGGGAAAACATGGCTTTGTCTCAGGGGCTTGCTGGATGCAAGCTTAACCTCAATGTGAGTGGCCATACTGTGGCACTGTCCCATCCCTCACCAGGGACACTGTTCTGGAGGGTGACTGCCTGTTCTGTGAGGAGTGGGGATGGCTAGGACATTGCATGGAACACACCACCACCCCATCTTCTCAGAGCTCAAACCCTGACAGAACACCAGCTCCACAGGCCTTGGCTTCTGCTGATGGTGCCGTGTATTTACCAGACTTAGTGGTCCAAGGCCAGAGTGGCCAGATTTCCCAAAGTCAAGGTGTGACAGTGGGACAGCCTCTTTGTGTCTTTGCTGTCCTAAGAAACCTGGGCCAGGCCAGGCGCAGTGGCTCACGCCTGTAATCCCAGCACTTTGAGAAGCCAAGGTGGGCAGATCACGAGGTCAGGAGTTTGAGACCAGCCTGGCCAACATGGTGAAACCCTGTCTCTATTAAAAATAGAAAACATTAGACAGGTGTGGTGGTGCATGCCTGTAATCCCAGCTACTCAGGAGGCTGAGGCAGGAGAATCGCTTGAACCCAGGAGGTGGAGGTTGCAGTGAGCCGAGATTGTGCCACTGCACTCCAGCCTAGGCGACAGAGCAAGACTCCGTCTCGGGAAAATTAATTAATAAATAAATAAACCTAGGTCCCAGAGTCCCACAGAATGGCAGACAGGAGCACCTGGGGGCTTTTAGGGTATGGCATTTCCCCTGTACTAACTCTGGGCTGTCCAGA
The DNA here is from genome assembly GCF_000001405.40 of Homo sapiens. Lineage (NCBI taxonomy): Eukaryota > Metazoa > Chordata > Mammalia > Primates > Hominidae > Homo > Homo sapiens. Next base: position 113,132,569 of record NC_000002.12, read on the forward strand.
GGGCCATTTCATGGCGTGGAGTGGAGAGGGAGGCAGCACAGGACTTCCTAGGCCTCAGCTCTCACCTGCCCATCTTTTGATTTCCAGGCAGTTAACATCACTGACCTGAGCGAGAACAGAAAGCAGGACAAGCGCTTCGCCTTCATCCGCTCAGACAGTGGCCCCACCACCAGTTTTGAGTCTGCCGCCTGCCCCGGTTGGTTCCTCTGCACAGCGATGGAAGCTGACCAGCCCGTCAGCCTCACCAATATGCCTGACGAAGGCGTCATGGTCACCAAATTCTACTTCCAGGAGGACGAGTAGTACTGCCCAGGCCTGCCTGTTCCCATTCTTGCATGGCAAGGACTGCAGGGACTGCCAGTCCCCCTGCCCCAGGGCTCCCGGCTATGGGGGCACTGAGGACCAGCCATTGAGGGGTGGACCCTCAGAAGGCGTCACAACAACCTGGTCACAGGACTCTGCCTCCTCTTCAACTGACCAGCCTCCATGCTGCCTCCAGAATGGTCTTTCTAATGTGTGAATCAGAGCACAGCAGCCCCTGCACAAAGCCCTTCCATGTCGCCTCTGCATTCAGGATCAAACCCCGACCACCTGCCCAACCTGCTCTCCTCTTGCCACTGCCTCTTCCTCCCTCATTCCACCTTCCCATGCCCTGGATCCATCAGGCCACTTGATGACCCCCAACCAAGTGGCTCCCACACCCTGTTTTACAAAAAAGAAAAGACCAGTCCATGAGGGAGGTTTTTAAGGGTTTGTGGAAAATGAAAATTAGGATTTCATGATTTTTTTTTTTCAGTCCCCGTGAAGGAGAGCCCTTCATTTGGAGATTATGTTCTTTCGGGGAGAGGCTGAGGACTTAAAATATTCCTGCATTTGTGAAATGATGGTGAAAGTAAGTGGTAGCTTTTCCCTTCTTTTTCTTCTTTTTTTGTGATGTCCCAACTTGTAAAAATTAAAAGTTATGGTACTATGTTAGCCCCATAATTTTTTTTTTCCTTTTAAAACACTTCCATAATCTGGACTCCTCTGTCCAGGCACTGCTGCCCAGCCTCCAAGCTCCATCTCCACTCCAGATTTTTTACAGCTGCCTGCAGTACTTTACCTCCTATCAGAAGTTTCTCAGCTCCCAAGGCTCTGAGCAAATGTGGCTCCTGGGGGTTCTTTCTTCCTCTGCTGAAGGAATAAATTGCTCCTTGACATTGTAGAGCTTCTGGCACTTGGAGACTTGTATGAAAGATGGCTGTGCCTCTGCCTGTCTCCCCCACCGGGCTGGGAGCTCTGCAGAGCAGGAAACATGACTCGTATATGTCTCAGGTCCCTGCAGGGCCAAGCACCTAGCCTCGCTCTTGGCAGGTACTCAGCGAATGAATGCTGTATATGTTGGGTGCAAAGTTCCCTACTTCCTGTGACTTCAGCTCTGTTTTACAATAAAATCTTGAAAATGCCTATATTGTTGACTATGTCCTTGGCCTTGACAGGCTTTGGGTATAGAGTGCTGAGGAAACTGAAAGACCAATGTGTCTTTCTTACCCCAGAGGCTGGCGCCTGGCCTCTTCTCTGAGAGTTCTTTTCTTCCTTCAGCCTCACTCTCCCTGGATAACATGAGAGCAAATCTCTCTGCAAAAAAGATATGGGGCAGCACTGTCCACAACAGCCTCTGCTGGAAACAACCCAAGCACCCATCACAGAATGAATTAGTACATCATGTATCTGCACACAACACAGTGCTCCTTGGCAAAGAAAATGAATGAATTACAGCCAGCTGCACCTCACAAGACAGATAATCTTACAAACATCATGTGGGTACAAGAATCACAAAAGCATGCATAGAGTGTGATTCCATTTCTACAAAGTTCAAAACGGGCAACATGGGGCTGTTGTGTGGAGGGCTGTGGAAACAGGTGGTGCAGAGAGAAGCAAGGCCATGCTCTGTCTGAAGGCCCAGTGACACTTGGCCCCTGCGAGAGAGAGTGGCAGGCAGGAGCACCTGGGGGATTTTAGGGTCCAGACAACATTCTATTTCTTGGCATGGATGCAGTTAGGCGGTTTTCTGTATGTATATTTTATTTCACAATACCTAGAAAATAAAAAGACTTGCCCCCCAACAACCAGGGTGTAAAGAAAGGAGCATCTGGGAAATTATGAGATTAGTGAATGGAGTATTGAATTTGTCCCCATAGGTGGGAGTGCAAGACCATGAGTGACCACTTATCAAACACACCTCAGTAAACAGTCAGGAGAGTGAGGAGTGTGGTCCTTTCACCTGCCCAGGTTGTTTCTGTTAGATTCTGGGCTTGGTCTCTGGAGTCCAAGAGGCAGGCCCCAGTGAGGTCATGCACTTGCTGTCTGATTTTGGCCAAGTCACCTCCCTTTGTGGGGACTGTTCCTCATTTGTTTGAGGGGAATGTTGATTTGGATGGGGATTTTCCAAACAGAGCTCCTTGGACCCTTCCCTCTAAGGTCTCTGGAAATGGGAAACCCTGCAGAGGGGAGGATAAATGGGCCAGGATTCATCCCTTGAACCCTGTTCCCAACAGAGCCCTCTGTTTTTCTCTTCTTTACAACTTGGACCTCCCATGGGACTTTGTTTGAAAGGGAGACTTCATTGCTAAAAGCAAACTAAACTAAATAGGCTAAAAGGCAACAAACTGGAGAAAATGTTTAAGGTCTTCTCTAGATCTAAGATCCTATGACGTTGAGGAGGTCATCCAACATCTCTGAGTTTTCTCTTTCTTGTATATAAAATGGAAGTAGCTGGCAGGGCAGGGCATGTGTCGTTGATATATTTTTAATCCTGGTAAAAGGAGGAGGTTCAAGGCAGAAAACTCATCAAAGCTTAATGACAACAATAGCAGCTAACATTTGTGAGGCTCTAAGGTAAAACCCAAGGCTAAGACTCTTCATGCAAACTAGGTCAAGCAGCAAGCTACAGGTTAGAAACAGGCAAGGCAGCAAAACAGTCACATGGGTGAACTCTGGGACTCTGCAGTCACACTCTGACTCTCCTGCTTGCACTGGGTGCTCATAAGCAAGCTAGTTAACACCTCAGAGCCTTGGTTTTCCCACCACTAAATGCAAATAATAGGCAATGCTGAGTTATTGCAAAGTTACTTAATCTTTGCAATAGCCTTCTGTGGTGAGTGGCATATTCTTATTATTATTATTAGTCCTAGAAGAGTCAGTGCTCAAAGGAATCTGCTTTAGAGCCTTATTGCTCCAAGTGTGGTTCATGCATCAGCAACATCAGCATACTTCTGGAGTTAAAATGCAGATTCTCAGATCTCAGGCTTGACTTACTGACTTAGGGTCATCATCTTAACCAGATCTCCCATGCACATTAAATTTGAGAAGCACTGTTTTAAAATGCATTAGCCGGGTGCAGTAGTTCATGCTTGTAATCTCAGCACTTTGGGAGGCCGAGGCAGGTGGATCACATGAGGTCAGGAGTTCGAGATCAGCCTGACCAACATGGTGAAACCTCATCTCTATTAAAAATATAAAATTAGCTGGGCATGGTGGCGCATACCTGTAATCCTAGCTACTCAGGAGGCTGAGGCAGGAGAATCACTTGAACCTGGGAGGTGGAGGTTGCAGTGAGCCGAGATCACACCATTGCACTCCAACCTGGGCAACAAGAGCAAAACTCTGTCTCAAAATAAAGAAAGAAATAAGATAAAATAAAAAGCATAAATCGCACAATGCATAAGTTTTGGCATACGCACTAGCATAAAGGGATTCTCCTACTTATAAACCTAGCCCATCTCCTTACTCTCTATCACACTAGCCCATTGATGACACCAAAAACTCCCCTCTTAACACTTTAGCTGGGCATGGTGGTTCACGCCTGTAATCCCAGCACTTTGGGAGGCTGAGGTGGGCAGAGCACTTGAGGCCAGGAGTTCAAGACCAGCCTGACCAACATGGCAAAACCCTGTCTCTACTGAAAATGCCAAAAAATTAGCCAGGCATGGTGGTACATGCCTGTAATCCCAGCTACTTGGGAGGCTGAGGCATGAGAATCACTCAAACCTGGAAGGTGACAGTTGCGGTGAGCTGAGATCATGCCACTGCATCCCAGCCTGGGTGATAGTGAGACCCTGTCTCAAACAAACAAAAAAACAAAACACTTCCTTACTTTGGTTTAAAGTGTTCCATAAAATATTCCTAAGAGGAAAAACTTTAAATCATCATCGTGCTGCTAGAATGTCAGCTCAACCCATGCAGATATTTTTGTCTGTTTTGTTCTACAGTGTATCTCAAGTGCCAAGGCCATTGCTTGCGATATACTGGGTGCTAAGTGAATATCTGGCCAGTGAATAAATGAATTGGCCACTGATATATCAATATGGATTAATTTATTCGACAGGTCAGCAAATTTGAGAAGACTGGGGACTTGGATCAGGAATATTTTGAAGGAAGCTTAGAAGAGGGAAAAGGCCCAGAGTGAAGGATTTTTCAGATATTTGGAGGTTAAGAAAAAAGATATGACCACGAGGTGGCGGTAGCACACATAGGCTTTCGGGTTGATGCTTTAACAGGTTTACACTGGGGAAGGTCCTTTATAGCAGGAATTGGTCAAGGAGGCTATAGTGTGGAGATGGGGTCCTACTCAGAGGGGAAGGAGGGCAAGAGGACTCCTAGGAAAGAAGAGAATTGGAAAGGGGGCTTACATGGCCAGGTGAAGTCACCCAGCAGCACAGCAGGGAATCTCTGGGTCAGAGAGCTCCTATGGGCTGCAGTGGCTTGAGGCCTTTATGGCTTGGGGCTTATCCTTGGCCAGCAGATATTGGATACAGTTTCATGGAGTATACAGAGCAGGCAGGTTCTAAATGGATTACCATAGGCTTATTGGGGCTATGTTTAAAGCAAGTGGATGTGCAAACATTTGAGTTTGGCTTGGTGGGGTATTCCAGGTCTGGTCTCAGCCTGCGGTGAGGAAATTAATAATCAAGGGGCCAGCACTTTATATAGCACAAGGCAGGGGCCATGGATTAGGAAAGCCAGGCCTGGGGTTCATGCTTAAGTGAGGCTTTTGTTCAACTGGGAGGCGGTGCACAGGTGACTGGGAGGTGGAGGGGCTGAGATGGGAGAGAAAAGCACAGAGAGGGAAGACAAGCAAGCCTCAAGAGGATTGTGGCTTCTTCCGTCACTTCTGGGCCTGATCTACTACAACACTACAGAATCAAGGACAACTGTTTGAAAATTCAAGGCTGAATTCAGGTCTTTCATTGGTGAGTCAGAGTTTTCCTACAGACTCCCTGGGGGGCCCTTGGCCAAGCAACCTCTCCTCCCTAGGCCTCAGTTTTCATAAAAGGAGGGAATTGAACTAGATATGTGTCTTCATCAGGCTGACCTGCAGGAGCTTTTTACCAAAAGTGGCCTACCTCCTCCATCCAGAGGTTCTGATTCACTTGATCTGGGTGTGGGACAAGGACATCATGATGCCAGGGCTGAGGCCCTGTGGACCACATAGCTCCTAAGTCAGGGACCCTGAGGTCAAGTCCTCCCAGCTCTCCCACCTGGCCCTGGTAGTGTCTGTCAATACAATGGAGGGAGATGGTCTTTAACTTCAAAGAAAGGCCACTTACCGCATCAGCAGTACATTTTGACTACATGTTAATTTGGGTTGAAGGTAGAAGATTTTCTATTTTCTCAATCACAGGCTGGCTAAAACACATTTCAAGCTTCATTCTGGGGGGAACATAAATTGGCCTTCAACAGGGGGTGTCAAATTGGGGTAAAATTCTTGCAAATCTTGGGGAAACCAAATAAGTTTTTGTTTTCTCTTCACATAACTATGAAATCCCTAGCCACAACAGCAAATCTCAACATGCTTGATATTCAGCCCAGTTCTCTCCATAAAAGTTTCTGGAGACAATGAAACTCATCTATTGGGTTCTTAGCTTTAAACCTGAGAAAGCTTAAAAACAGGGAAGATTAGCTTTGACGTCTTGCCTCTGGGTCTCCTTCATGTGGAGCTAAAAGAGTAGTTCAGGAAATATCCACCAGGGGTCAGCATTTTGTACACACCTGACTGCTCTGGAAAGTGTTTTTGTTTTTTTTTTTTTAAATAGAAACGGGGTTTCACCATTTTGCCCAGGCTGGTGTCCAACTCCCAGACTCAAGCAATCCGCCCGCCTCAGCCTCCCAAAGTTCTAGCATTACCGTGTGAGCCACCACACCCGGCCTGGAAAGAATCTTGACAAGGCAAATAATCAGTTTGGTTCATGCTCTCAAATTAGTGAAGGTCTGGTTTTTCAAGACTCTCTAGGTGTTTCACTCTAAGGAAAAATTTATTTTCATTCACCTATCAATCAAGCTGAGGTGGGGCCTGACTCCTGACAAGTATCCAAATGTTGCCTATTGCCAATGTCTAGTCTCCAAGGGGTGACACCCGAGAAATTCTAAGTCTTCTGTGCCTGCTTTAAAGTCCACTTCCTGTCATCCTGTTATCTGTTGCAGACCTTTTACCTGTATGATTGACTGGTGTGTGGAATTAACACTTCCCTCCTCGGCCGGGGGAACACACCCACATGTTGGAACTCAGCACAGGAATCCCAACGGCGTGCCTACAAGGGAAATGCGTACTTTTGTGTGTTGGTGGGTAGTGGACAGAACTCGTAAAAGAGATAGATAAAATACCCAGGCACTCACTACAGTGGGGAATGGATCTGTTCAGGGGCCAGCTATGCCTGCATTCTTTCCCAGGGACAGTTGACACAGTCAGATGACTCAGGAAACTTGATTTGCTTGGAGTCAGAGCAGAGGAAAGATCTTAGTGACCAGGGACCTCAAGCTGCCCCACCTGAGCGCTCCACCTCCACTCCAAGGGGCTTCCTGCCAAGAGATCAGTATGTCTGTGTGTAGAGTCAAGACACATCTTCCTTAGGCCACAATGGAGTCACACTGACATCTTCGCCTTCCCTCCTTGGCAGTATTTATTATAAGTCACAGGAGTTTAGTTTTCTTTCAACTCAGGCCTGTGGTTGGAGCACAGGGAGCTAGGCTGGGGCTAGATCTTGCTAACCTAGTAGGCAATGGTAAGGATTCTAGTCTGTCCTAAAGCATAAATAGGCCTTGGACACTCTGAAATTTGTCCTTTCACCACCCCATGCTCTACTTCTAAGTGCTCTCTCTCCCCATCTGCACCCCCTAGTTCCTACAAAAATCTCCTCAAAGCGAGGCTCTTGGACAATTTGTTCCATGAAGACATCGAGCACGGTCCATACCAGCCCTCAATAACCCCCTCTTCTAGACTCCATGAGGACCTGTAGCCCAGACCCCTGATCTGCATGGCGCCTCTGGGGTCTTTCCAGAGGTGTATGTTTTAACCATCCCCTGAGCACCTTAAAGTAAAGATTCAGTGTTTTGCTGTTTGTGCTCCCTAGAGCACCTGGGCGCTTATCGGAAACTGATGAAAACTCACTGCCAACATATTCTGAAGTATATTCATTCATTTATTTAATTTATTTATTTTTTTATTTTTCCATAGGTTAATGGGGTACAGGAGGTGTTTGGTTACATGTAGTAAGCTCTTTAGTGGAGATTTGTGAGATCCTGGTGGACCCATCACCCAAGCCGTATACACTGTACCCTATTTGTAGTCTTTTATCTCTCACCCCCCACCCACCCTTCCCCCCAAGTCCCCAAAGACCATTGTATCATTCTTATGCCTTTGCATCCTCATAGCTTAGCTCCCACATATCAGTGAGAACATACAATGTTTGGTTTTCCATTCCTGAGTTACTTCACTTAGAATAATAGTCTCCAATCTCATCCAGGTCACTGCAAATGCTGTTAATTAATTCCTTTTTATGGCAGAGTAGTATTCCACCTTATAGCTATATCTATCAATATATATATATATATATCATATATCATATATAGATATCATATATATCACAGTTTCTTTATCCACTCATTGATTGATGAGCATTTGGGTTGGTTCCACGATTTTGTGATTGCAAATTGTGCTGCTATGAACATGCGTGTGCAAGTATCTTTTTCGTGTAATGACTTCTTTTCCCAGTAGTGGGATTGCTGAATCAAAGGGTAGTTCTACTTTTAGTTCTTTATGAAATATATTAGTTTAATATGCACTTCCCATTTTTTCTTCTCTCTTAGAATACTGTACCCCAGAGATACACCTGACTTATTTCTTCTTCCGCATTGAGGCCTCTGCACCCATGGCTCCTTATCAGAGAGGTCATTTTTGACCACCTTATCTAAAATAGCATTTGCCTCCTGAAAGCCACCTGTACCTCCTTTGCTTACTGTTTCTGTACTTTGCTTTATTTTTCTTCCTAAAAATGGTTGCTGGGTGGGCACGGTGGCTCACGCCTGTAGTCCCAGCACTTTGGGAGGCCAAGACGGGCAGATCGCCTGAGGTCGGGAGTTCGAGACCAGCCTGACCAACATGGAGAAACCCCATCTCTACTAAAAATACAAACTTAGCCGGGCGTGGTGTTACATGCCTGTAATCCGAGCTACTCGGGAGGCTGAGGCAGAATCGCTTGAACCTGGGAGGCAGAGGTTTTGGTGAGCCGAGATGGCGCTATTGCATCTGGCCTGGGCAAGAAGAGCGACACTCTGCCAAAAAAAAAAAAAAAAAGATTACCTTCTGCCATGCTATGTGTTTGTGTGCTTATTTAAGATTTTTTTCCTACTACATTTTAAGCTCCATTAAGATAAGGGCATTTCCACCCACACCAGTGCCTGCTTATTAATTCAACAGTCTTATTCATTGAGTACCTACTATCGTTCATCTCCAGGTGCAGGAGACCATCAGCAGAGCACTCCCTACAGTGCTTAGCCATGAATGGAAACCAGCTGTCAGTAGTAGTATTTTTACATAGCTAATTTATATTCCCAGTTTTGTCTTTTTTTTGTGTATTGTGGGGCAAATTAGGAAAATAATAATTCCACTCCTGAGGTAGAATAACAGGGCCCCAGGGTACAAATTGTGTGTCTCTGTGTTCACCCATGGTGTGTGAAGAAAGCCTGTAAGTCCCCACGCTCCTCCTTCTCTCTGTGAGAGCCACAAAACCGCATAGAGGCAGGTGTGGTGGAATTAACTGGGAAGAATGAACAATGTTCGAAATAGTGATTAAAGGATCATAGCAGAGCCACTGAATATGAGATGGCACTGTCAACACGCCCCAGCCTCACCACCCGACAGGGCAGGATCCCCAGGCCTGGCTTGCTGCTTATGATTGTTCTCTATCTGCCAGCCCGCAATGCCCACATTTCTGTTGCTATTTTCTGTGAAGGATCTCACTTCTCCTGACCTCCTGCCACTTCAAGTGCATCCAGGGCTCACCTTTGGCTCTCCAAACACTGACCAAAGTTCTCTGCTAAACACAGAGCCCATCCACTCCAGAAGGGCAGAGCTTTAAAATTACAGTTATCTTTAATATCAAACTCTTCGACAGAACTTGTACCCCTTTCAGACCAGGGCGAATCTCCTGACGAAAGTATGCCTCCCCCATGCCCCTTCTGAGAAACTCAATTCAGAAGATTGTGCTGCAGGGAGCAGAGGGGAAGGGGGCCAGCTCCAGACAGAGCTGATTTTCAGATAGGCCATTTGCAAGTGGAAAGGGACAAGAGTCTCTAGTTTGAAATCATAACTCTCAGGGATGAGGTCCAGCTACATCATTTAATAGCCAAGTGATTTTGAACCAGCTTCTGAAGCTTCCTGAAGCTCATTTCATTCATTTAGAAAATCAAGGCTGGGCACAGTATCTCATGCCTATAATCCCAGCACTTTGGGAGGCTGAGGTGGAAGGATCGCTTTAGGCCAGGAGTTCAAGACAAGCCTGGCCAACAGAGCAAGACCCCCCATCTCTACAAAAAAGTTAAAAAAATTAGCCAGCTGTGGAGGCTGAAGCAGGAGGATCACTTGAGCCCCGGAGGCCTGGCTGCAGTGAGCCATGATTGTGCCACTGCACTCCAGCCTGGGTGACAGAGCAAGACCTTATCTCTAAAATAAACAAAAAATAAAGAAAACCAAGATCATAATACTTCTCAGAGTTATTGTCATTATTAAATAACATGCAAAGTGCTCTGGGTAAAAGCTCACTATAAAACTGCTTGAATAAGGTTATAACCCAAGTATCACCAGATGTCTCCAGCCCGTGGGTCATCTGAATGTCCTGGTCCTGACTCAGCTCACCGTTAAGCCCCACACTACACCCTGACATGCCCCATGTACAGATTTTAAATGCTCAGTTGCATAAAGTTTGAGAAATATATACATTCATTTAACTACCACCCCAATGAAAATGTAAAACATTTCCATAACTCCTGAAAATTCATTTATGTCCTTCTCTAATCAATTCCTCCCACTCAAGAGGTATCCACTGTTCTAACTTTTATCCCATAGGTTGGTTGTGTCCTGTTTCAAACTTCACATAAATGGAATCATACAGTATGTACTATTTTACTTGGCTTCTTCCTCTCAACATAATGTTTTTGAGATTAATCCATGTTGTTGTGAGAAATCAACAGATTGTTCCTTTCTATTGTTGAGTAGTATTCCAACTTATGAATAAATCATAACAGATTATCCATGGACTTTTGAGATGTTTTCAGTTTTTGTCTATGATGCGTAGAGCAGCTATTCTTTTATACCATTCTTCTTGTGGATATTTGTTTTCAACTCTCTTGCTTTGAGTAAATGCCTAGCAGTGAAAGGACTAGGTCAAAAGGTAGGTCAATTTACAAGAAATTGGCGACTTGTTCTCCAAGTTGTTGCATGGTTTTACACTGCTGTGAGCAAAGTATAAGAGTACCAGTGGCGGCCAGGCGCAGTGGCTCGCGCCTGTAATCTCAGCACTTTGGGAGGCCAAGGTGGGTGGATGTCAGGAGTTCCAAATGTCCAGGAACTCCTGATGTCAGGAGTTCCAGACCAGCCTGGCCAACATGGTGAAACACTGTCTCCACTAAAAATACAAAAATTAGCTGGGCGTGGTGGCGGTGGTAGCTGTAGTCCCAGCTACTTGGGAGGCTGAGGCAGGAGAATTGCTGAAACCCAGGAGGAGGAGGTTGCAGTCAGCTGAGATCACTCCATTGCATTCCAGCCTGGGCGACAGAGTGAGACTTGGCCTCAAAAAAAAAAAAAAAAAAAAAAAAAAAAAGGAGTGCCAGTGGCTCCAGTTCCTTGTCAACTCGTCAATATTTGGTATTGTCAGTATTTTAAATTCTAGCCATTCTTATGAGGATGAAGTAGTATCTCTTTGAGGTTTGAATTTGTACTAAAAATATTGAGCATCTTTTCATGTGTTTATTGGTCATCTGTGATTTTTTTAAATTGTAAAATGTCTGTTTAACCCTTTCAGCCATTATTTTATTTGAGTAGTTTGTCATTTTCTTATTCATTTATAGTTTTTAAACAAATTATTTTTAATTTTTGTGAGTACATAGTAGGTGTATATATTTATGGGGTACATGAGATATTTTGATATGGGTATGCAATGCATAATAATCACATCAGGGTAAATAGGGTATCCATCCCCTCAAGCATTTATTCTTTGTGTTACAATAATCCAATTATACTCTTTTAGTTATTTAAAAATATACAATTAAATTATTATTGGCTATAGTCACCCTGTTGTGCTATCAAGTACTAGGCCTTTTTTATTCTTCTAGCTATTTTTTGCACCCATTAACCATCCCTACTTCTTCCTCACTCCCTCACTACCTTTTGCAGCCTCTGGTAACCATCATTCCACTATCTCCACGAGTTCAATTGTTTTCATTTTTAGCTCCCACAAGTAAATGAAAACATGCGAGGTTCGTCTTTCTATCCCTGACTTATTTCACTTAACATAATGACCTCCAGTTCCATCCATATTATTGCAAATGCCAGGATCTCATTCTTTTTTATGGCTGTATAGTACTCCACTGTGTATATGTACCTCATTTTCTTTATTCAGTCATCTGTTGATTGACAAGTTGGTTCCAATCTCGGTGATTGTGAAGAGTGCTATAATAAACATGGGAGTGCAGATATCTCTTCATTATACTGATTTCCTTTCTTTTGGGTATATACCCAGCAGTGGGATTGCTGGATCATATGGTAGCTCTATTTTTGGTTTCTTGAGGAGCCTCCAAATTGTTCTCCATAGTGGTTGTACTAATTTACATCCCCACCAAGAGTGTTTAAGGATTCCCTTTTCTCCACATTGTTGCCAGCATTTGTTATTGCCTGTCTTTTGGATAAAAGTCATTTTAACGGGGTGAGATAATAGCTCATTGTAGTTTTGATTTGCATTTCTCTGATGATGTTGAGCACATTTTCACATATCTGTTTTCCATTTGTATGTCTTCTTTTGAGCAAGGTCTGTTCAGATCTTTTGTCCATTTTTAATTGGATTATTAGATTTTTTTTTTCCTAGAGAGTTGTTTGAGTTCCTTATATATTCTGGTTATTAATTTCTTGTCAGATGGATAGAGTGTAAACATTTTCTTCCATTCTTTGGATTGCCTCTTCACTTTATTGATTGTTTCCTTTGCTGTGCAGAAGCTTTTTAACTTAATGTGGTCCCATTTGTCCATTTTCCTTTGGTTGCCTATGCTTGTGGGGTATTACTCAAGATATCTTTGCCTGGTCCAATGCCCTGAAGAGTTTCCCCAATGTTTTCTTGTAGTTTCATAGTTTGAGGTCTTAGGTTTAAGTCTTTAATCCATTTTGATTTGATTTTTGTGAACGGTAAGAGACAGGAGTGAAGTTTCATTCTTCTGCATACGGATATCCAGTTTTCCCAGTACCATTTTTGAAGAGACTGTCCTTTTCCCAATGTATGTTCTGGCACGTTCGTCAAAAATGAGTTCACTGTAGGTGTATGGATTTTTTTCTAAGTTTTCTACACTGTTCCATTGGTTTATGTGTCTGTTTTTATGCAAGTACCATGCTGCTTTGGTTACTGTAGCTCTGTAGTATAATTTGAAGTCAGGTAATGTGATTCCTCCAGTTTTGTTCTTTTTGCACAGAAGAGCTTTGTCTATTCTGGGTCTTTTGTGGTTCCACATAAATTTTAGGATTACTTTTTCTGTTTCTGTGAAGAATGTCATTGGTATTTTGATAGGGATTGTATTGAATCTGAAGGTGGCTTTGGGTAGTATGGACATTTTAACAATACTGATTCTTTCAGTGTATGAACATTTTAACAATATTGATTCTTCCAGTCCATGAACATAGAATATCTTTACATGTGCTTGTATAGTTTCCAAAGTTCTTCTTGTTATTGATTTCTAGTCTTATTCCATCGTGGTCAGAGAAAATACTTGATATTATTTTAATTTTTTAAAATGTTTTAAGACTTATTTTGTGGCCTAAAATGGTCTATCCTTGAGAATGATTCATGTGCTGAGAAGAATGTGTATTCTTCAGCTGTTGGATGAAATGTTCTGTAAATATCTATTAGGTCCATTGTGTCTATAGAGCAGATTAAGTCTTATGTTTCTTTGTTGATTTTCTGTCTGGATGATCTGTCCAATGCTGAAAGTGGGGTGTTGAAGTTTCCAGCTAGTACTGTGTTGGGGTCTATCTTCCTCTTTAGCTCTAATATTTGCTTTATATATCTGGGTGCTCCAGTGTTGGGGATGTATATATTTACTCTTGTCATATCCTTTTGTTAAAGTAGCCCTTTTATTCTTATATAATGACCTTTTTGTCTTTTCTTATAGTGTTTGTCTCGAAATCTATTTTGTCTCATGTAGGTAGAGCTACACCTGCTTCCTTTTTGTTTCCAGTGGCATGGAAACAAAAAACAATCATCTCTTTATTTTCAGTTTATGTTTGTCTTTTTAGGTGGAATGTGTTTCTTGTAGGGAACAGATCATTGGGTCTTATTTTTTTTTTTAATCCATTCAGCCACTCTATGTCTTTTGATTGAAGAGTTTAGTCTATTTACATTCAATGTTGTTATTGATAAGTAAGGACTTACCCCTACCATTTTGTTATTTGTTTTCTGGTTGTTTTGTGGTCTTCTCTTCCTTCTTTCTTTCCTTTCTGTCTTCATTTTAGTGAAGGTGATTTTCTCTGGTGGTATGTTTTAATTTCCTGCTTTCTTATTATTCATGTATCCTTTGTAGGTTTTTTGATTTGAGGTTACCACGAGGCTTGCAAATAATATTGTATAACTATATTTATTTATTTATTTACTGAGACAGAGTCTCGTGCTATCAGCCAGGCTGGAGTGCAGTGGCATGATCTTGGCTCACTGGAATAACTCATTATTTTAAACTGATGACAATTTTACACTGATTGCATGAACAAACAAGCAAAAAGAAAATTAATAAAATCTCTACACTATAACTTTATCCCTCACTTTTTAACTTTTTGGTGTTTCTGTTTATATCTTATTGTACTGTCTATGTCTTGAAAAGTTGTTACAGGCCAGGCGCTGTGGTTCATGCCTGTAATCCCAGCACTTTGGGAGGCCGAGGAATGCAGATCACTTGAACCCAGGAGTTTCTGACCAGCCTGGGCAACATGGCGAAACACCATCTCTACAGAAAATACAAAAATGAGCCAGGCATGGTGTTGTGCACCCATGGTCCCAGTTACTCAGGAGGCTGAGGTGGGAGGATCACCTAAGCCAGGGAGGCTGAGGCTGCAGTGAGCCATGATTGCACTACTGCACCCTAGCCTGGGTGACAGAGTGAGACCTTGTCTCAAAAAGAAAAAAGTTGGTATAGTTATTATTTTTGAACAGTTCTTTTCATCTTTCTACCTAAGTTATGAGTAGTTTACACATCCCAATTACAGTGTTATAATATTTATTTTTTGTGTACTTACTATTACCAGTAATTATCTGAATTTTGTACCTTCAGATGATTTCTTATTGCTCATTAATGTCCTTTTCTTTCAGATTGAAGAACACACTTTAGCATTTCTTGTAGGACAGTTCTTGTGTTGATGAAGTCTCTCATATTTTATTTGTCTGGGAAAGTATTTCTCCTTCATGTTTCAAAGATATTTTTGCTGGATATACTATTCTACGGTAAATATTTTTTTTCCTTCGGCACTTTAAATATGTCATGCCACTCTCTCCTGGCCTGTGAAGTTTCTACTGAACAGTCTGCTGCTAGATGTATTGGAGCTCCATTGTATGTTATTTGTTTTTCTTATTTACTGCTATTAGGATTCTTTCCTTAATCTTCGAGAGTTTGATTATTAAATGCCTTCAGGTAGTCTTCTTCGGGTTAACTCCACTTGGTGTTCTACAGTCCTCTTATACTTGAAAATTGATTTATCTCTCTAGATTTGGGAAGTTCTTGTTATGATCCCTTTGAATGAACTTTCTACCCCTATCTCTCTCTCCACCTCCTCTTTAAGGCCAATAACTCTTACATTTGCCCTTTTGAGGCTATTTTCTAGATCCCGTAGGCATTCTTCTTTTTTTATTCATTTGTGTCCTGTATCTGTGCATTTTCAAATAGCTTGTCTTCAACCTAATTCTTTCTTCTGCTTGATCAAATCTGCTATTAAAAGACTCTGAGGCTGAATGCAGTGGCTCATGCTTGTAATCGAGCACTTTGGGAGGCTGAGGCAGGAGGATCACATGAGGCCAGGAGTTCGACACCAGCCTGGCCAATATGGCAAAACCCCGTCTCTACTAAAAGTACTAAAATTAGTTGGGTGTGATGGTGCAAGTCTGTAATCCCAGCTACTCAGGAGACTGAGGCCTGAGACTCACTTAAGCCCAGGAGGCAGAGGTTGCAATGAGCTGAGATTGCACCACTGCACTCCAGCCTTGGTAACAGAGAGAGATTCTGTCTCTGAAAAAAAAAAAAAAGAGAGAGAGAGAGATAAAGAGAGACTCTGATGCATTCTTTAGTATGTCAACTGCATTTTTCAATTCCAGAATTCCTGCTTGATTATGTTTAATTATTTCAATCTCTTTGTTAAATTTATCTAATAGGATTCGGAATTTCTCCTTTGCGTTGTCATGGATTTCATTGAGTTTCCTCAAACAGCTATTTTGAATTCTCTGTCTGAAAGGTCACATATCTCTGTCTCTCAGGATTGGTCCCTGATTCCTTATTTTGTCCCTTATTCGGTAAGGTCATGTTTTCCTTTATGGTTGTAATGGCTTGTGAATGTTCATCAGTGCATGGGCACTGAAGAGTCAGGTACATATTGTAGTCTTCATAGTCTGGGCTTGTTTGTACCCATCCTTCTTGGGAAAATTTTCCAGGTATTTGAAAGGATTTGGGTGTTGCGGTCTAAGTTTTTGGTCACTGCAGTCATACATGCTTCAGGGGGCTTGTCAAGCTTAGTAACACTGTGGCTCTTGCAGACTCATAGAGGTATCACCTTTGTGGTCTTGAATAAGATCCAGAAGAATTCCCTAGATTGCCAGGCAGAGACTCTTATTCTTTTCCTTTACTTTCTCCCAAATAAACAAAATCTTTCTCTCTGTGCTGAGTGGCCTAAAGCTGGGGATAGTGGGACACAAGCACCTCTGTGGCCACCACAACTTGGAATGCACTGGGTCAGACCTGAAACCCAGCACGGCACTGGGTCAAGGCCCACTGTAACCACTACCTGTCTACCATCTCTGTTGGCTCAAGGCAGTAGGGCTCTACGATCAACAGGTGTTGCAGCCAGCCATGCTTGCATCCTTCCTTTCAGGGCGATGAGTTGTTGTCTGGAGGAAATGGTCTGATGTCGGAAACCTTAGAAATCTAACTTGTGCTCTAGTCTACTGCAGCTGAGCTGGCACACAGGCCACAAGACTTTTCCCTCCCCTTTCCATAAGCAAAGGAGTCTCTCCTTATGGCCACCATTGCCACAGGGCCTTGGGGCATACTGTCAGGCTACTGCCAATGTTTACTCAAGGCCAAAGTGCTCTTCAGTCAGCTTGTAGTGAATGTTGCCAGGCCTGGGACTCACTCGCCTTCAAGGCAGTGGGCTCCCATCTGGCCCAGGGCAGGTCCAGAAATGCCGTCCAAGTGCCAAGGCCTGGAATCAGGGACCTCAAGAGTCTGCCTGGTGCAAGCCTTAATGTCTCTGGGGTCCTAAATAAACTTGAAAGCTGCAAGACAAAGTCCCCTCCTTTATTCTTCCCTCTGCTTTTCTCAAGCTGAAGGAGTCCCTTTCCATAGCTACCCAGCTGGGAATGTGCTGGGTCATACTTGAAGCCAGCATGGCTCTGAGTCTCACTCAAGGCCCACAGTGTATACTACCTGCCTACAGCTGCTGATTATTCAGGGCTCAGGGGCTCATTACTCGGCAGGTTATGAATCCTGCCAGGACTAGGTCCTTCCCTTCAAGGCAGTGATTTCTCTTCTGGTCCAGGGTATATCTAGAAATGTCATCTGAGAGCTAGGGCTTGGAATGTGTGCCTCAGGACTCTGCATAGTGCCCTATCCTACTATGGCTGAGCTGGTATCCAGGTTGCAAAACAACATCCTCTTTATTATACCTTCATTTCTCCTCAAGCAGAAGGAAGGAGTATCTTTTGGAGCTGTGAGCTGCACTGCCTGGGATTGGAGGAGGGGTAATGCAGGCCCTCCCTTGGCCTTCCCATCTGGCCTATCACCAGGTCATGTGCTCTCCAAGTCCACTGACTCTGAGCCCAGAACAGCACTAGGACTTGCCTAGGAATTGCAGTCCTTGTGGCTTAGATTGCCTTTCAAGTTTACTTAGGACCCCAGAGACCTTTAGTTCATGACATTAAGGCTTGCCAAAACTTAAGTTCCTTCCTCTGGGATGGACGATTCCCCTCTGGCTAGGGCTGGTCTAGATGCTCCCTCTGTGTGCATCAGCTAAGTTCTGCTTGGTGTTGCTTTCCACTGTGTCAGGGCATCGCTGGGTTCCAATACAAAGTCCGGCAATCACTGCACTATCCCTCCTCCATGCTCATTGATTCATTGATTCTCTCCCTGTGCCACATGGCTGCTGCTGGGGGATGGGGGAGGGGTGACATAGGTAATTCAAAACCGTCTTTTCTACCCTATTCAATGCCGCTTTCAGTGATATGAAGTTAAAACCAGGTACTGTGATGCTCACCTGATTTTTGGTTCTTTTTTTTTTTTTTTGAGACGGAGTTTGGCTGTTGTCGCCCAGGCTGGAGTGCAATAGCATGATCTCGGCTCACTGCAACCTCCGCCTCCCGAGTTCAAGCGATTCTCCTGCCTCAGCCTCCCGAGTAGCTGGGATTACAGGCATGCGCCACCACGCCCAGCTAATTTTGTATTTTTAGTAGAGACGGGTTTTCTCCATGTTGGTCAGACTGGTCTCGCACTCCCGACCTCAGGTGATCCGCCCGCCTCGGCCTCCCAATGTGCTGGTGAGTCACTGCACCCGCCCTTGATGTTTGGTTCTTATGAAGGTATTTTTTTTTTTACATAGATCGTTGTTAAATTTGGTGTTCCTGTGGGGAGAATGATTGTTGAAGTCTTCTGTATAGCCATCCTCCTCTGCCTCCCAGGCCTAGGAGTGAAATTCTGGGTCATACGGAAACTCTACGTTTCATGTTTTGAAGAATTCCCAAACTGTTTTCCAAAGTGGCTGCACCATTTTACAAACCTACCAAAAGTATATGAGATTTCCAATTTTTTGCAACCTTGCCAATACTTGTTATTATAGGTACTTTTTATTATAGCCAATCCAGTACCTTATTGTGATTCTGACTTGTGTTTCCCTGATTGCTAATGAAGTTGAGCATCTTTTCATGTGTTTATTGGTAATTTGTCTACCTTAGAGAAATGTCTATTCAGGTCCTTTGCCTATTTTAAAATTGAATTCTTCTTTCAATGATTGGGCTATAAGTATTATTTATATATTAGATACAAGTCCCAGGGTTCATTTTTTTAATCATATATATTTCTAGTTGCTCCAGCACTGTTTGTTGAAAAGGCTTTTCTTTCTTCATGAATTATCTTGACACCTTTGTCAAAAGATATGTAGATATATATTAGGACACTTTAATTCTGTTACATTGATCTGTTTTTATATATTTATGCCATTCTAATTTGAAGGATTTCCTCACATTTCCTGTGATTTCTTGTTTGACCTATGAGTTATTTGGAAGTACATTGCTTTATTTCCAAACATTTGAATATTTTCTTACATAGGATATTATTATGGGTTGCTAATTTAGTTCCGCGGTAGTCAGGATCTTATGATTTCTTCCATTGAAATTTAGAGATTCTTCTATAGTTCATGAATCATAAGTCTTGGTGAATACTCCATGAGCCGCTGAAAAGAATATGTATTTTGCCATTGGTGGTGTAATATTATATGATGTCAATTTGGTCAAGTTGAACAATTATGTTGTTCAAATCTGTATCCTTAATAATTGTTTGTATATTTGTTTTATTAATTATTGAGAAATGGGTTTTATCACGTCCAACTAAGTGGGTTTTCTGCTTCCATTTTTGCTTGACATATTTGGAAATTCTGTTGTTACATTCCTATACATTTAGGATTGTTATGTTTCTTCTTCTTCCTCTTCCTCTTGTTCTTCTTCTAGTTCTTCTTTTCTTCTTCCTTCTCTCTTTTGAGACAGAGTCTCACTCTGTCACCCAAGCTGGAATGCAATGGCAGGATCTTGGCTCACTGTAACCTCCTCCTCCTGGGTTCAAGCAATTCTCCTGCCTCAGCCTCCTGAGTAGCTGTGATTACAGGCGTGTGCCACTGCACGCAGCTGATTTTTGTATTTTTAGTAGAGACAGGGTTTCACCATGTTGGTCAGGCTGGTCTTGAACTCCTGACCCCAGGTGATCCACTCGCTTTGGCCTCCCAAAATGCTGGAATTACAGGCATGAGCCACCGTGCCCGGCTTGTTATGTCTTCTTGATAAATTGATCCTTTTGTCATTTTAATATGACCTTTTTTATTTCTGGTAATTTGCTTGTATTAAAGCCTACTTTGTCTAAAATTCATATTATATAGTATATTTTCCCTATACTTTTACTTTCAACTAGTCTGGGTTTTTATATTTAACGTGTGTCTTGTAAACACAGTATAGTTGGGTCTTGTTTTCTTAGCCTATTTGACAGGTCTATCTTTTATTTAGGGTATTTAGTGTAATTATTGATACATTTTCTATCTTGCTATTTGTTTTATGTGTCCTCCCTCTTCTTAATTTTTTCTTACTTCCCTGACCTCTCTTGGGTAAGCTATTTTTCAGTGATAATTTTTATATCTTCTACTGGATTTTAGTCTGAATTAATATTATAAAATATCATACACAACATAAAAATCTTACAATGTACTTCCATTTTTCTTCCCCTTCTGTGCTTTGTGCTTTTCTTGTTATACATCTTGCTTCTATAAATGCCACAAATCTCCCAAAATCTTACTATTTTTGCTTTAGTCAATGAACTTTTAAATAACTTAATACAAACGTGAAAAAGTATTTTATATTTATCCATATATTTATCATTCCCACTGCTCTTCATTGCTTCACTGTAGATTATAATTTTTATTTAATATCATTCCCTTTATCTTGAATAATTTATTTACTTTTCATATAATACTGTCGGATTTTATTTATTTGAAGATGTCTTACTTCCTATTTACAAATTTTTTAGGGGATAAAGTCACTGTAAGTTGCTAGCTTTTTTCCTTTTAGCACTTTAAAGATGATATTCCATTCTGGCTCGGCCTGGTGGCTTACGCCTGTAATCCCAGCACTTTGGGAGGCCGAGGCCGGGGGATCACTTGAGGCCAGGAGTCCGAGAGCAGCCTAACAGCATGGCGAAACCCTGTCTCTATCAAAAATATGAAAATTAGCCAGGCATGGTGGCGTGCACCTGTAATCGTAGCTACTTGGGAGGCTGAGGCAAGGTAATCACTTGAACCTGGGAGGCAGAGGTTGTAGTGAGCCGAGCTTGCACCACTGCACTCCAGCCTGGGAGACAGAGCAAGACTCCATCTCAAACAAACAAACAAACAAAACAACATTTTGTCCTCTGGCCTACATGGTTTCTGATGAAAAATTATCCGTCATTCCTGTATGCAATGTACATTTTTTTATTTGGTTGCTTTTAAGAGTTTTATCTTTATCTCTGTTAAGTCAGTAACTGTGAAAGGGTCTGAGTTTTTATTCTGCTTGCAAGCTAACTAGATAACCCATCACAATTTCATAGATTCTAATAGAAGATGGTGGAAGACAATTTATTACTCACAGCAGCAGTAATACACAGACTCCTTGAGCCCCACTTTTTTTTTTCTTTTTTTTTTGAGACAGAGTCTCGCTGTGTCGCCCAGGCTGGAGTGCAAAGGCGCGATCTCGGCTCAATGCAAGCTCCACTTCCCGGGTTCAAACAATTCTCCTGCCTCAGCCTCCAGAGTAGCTGGGATTACAGGCGCCCGCCACCACGCCCGGCCTTGAGCCCCACTTTCTACAGGGACTTGTGATGAGCTCCATATGTTACCTGAACACATAGTGAAGCACATTACGAAAAGGGACCCTGGTCGGGCGCGGCGGCTCACGCCTGTCATCCCAGCACTTTGGGAGGCCGAGGCGGGCGGATCACGAGGTCAGGAGATTGAGACCATCCTGGCTAACACGGTGAAACCCCGTCTCTACTAAAAATACAAAAAATTAGCCAGGCATGGTGGCGTGCACCTGTAATCGTAGCTACTTGGGAGGCTGAGGCAAGGGAATCACTTGAACCTGGGAGGCAGAGGTTGCAGTGAGCCGAGATGGTGCCACTGCACTCCAGCCTGGGTGACAGAGCGAGACTCCGTCTTAAAAAAAAAAAAAAAAAAAAGGGACCCTAATATTAGGAGGCCCTGAACTTACACAGGGGCTGTTGGCAAACCTGCCCAGGCTTCCCCCTGGAGGGCAAAAGTTGGGATGTCTCTTCATTCTGGGGTAATAAAGATACAGATATCGCCTTCATTGATGTGGATTTATTTATATTCCTTTTGGCACTTTATTTAAAAAATGGTTATATTTCTGCTGAAATGCCTGGTTTCTTTACCCGTTATATCTATATTTTGCTGAAAGTGTTTTTTAACCATATTTATCATAGTTTTTCTTTTTAATTCCTTGTCTTTTGATCCCAATATCTTGGTCACCTGTGGGTCTATTTCGATTGATTTTTTTCTCTTGACTATGGCTCACATTTTCCTGCTTTTTTGAATGTCTAATAATTTTTTGTCATATGATGAACATTGTGAATGATACATTGTAGATGCTCTGCATTCTATTTTCCTTTGAAGAGTGTCAAGTTTTGTTCTAACAGTAAGTTAAATTATTGAAAACTCACCTTGGTTTTGTGGAGATTTGGTTTTGTGCTTTGTTTGGATGAATTTCTTTTGGTTTTGTCCCTAATTCTAGGGTATATCCCTTAATGCTGGGATGCAGTCTTTCCTGCTAAGGGGTGGTCATTCTAGGGTTTCAGTGGAAAGCACAATAGAACCAAGTCCCTCTCAGATGGTGGAACTTTCCCAGAGACGGTAACTAACTGCTCAGATCTCTGCTCACTATTGATCTCCTTCAGGTTATCTAGATTCTTCCTCCTTGCATTGTTCATTCAGGAATCTGCCAAGAGTTTAAAGGAGTTTGCATGTAGTTGTTGGGCTTCTGTTCTTTGTGGCTCCCTCCTTCAGGATTTCCCCCCTCAAAGACATCCCACTCAGCCTCCCAAGTTTACAATTTACAAGTGTACCTCACACTACTGCTTATATTCCCTGCTAGCTGCAAGCTCTTGGAGTTTTCAGTTCATTGTTTTAACCAGTGCTTGGCATATATACAGTAGGTGAATACTGAAGTGAATATTTGTAGAGTGAAGAAATGAACTAATAAGTTATAGGATTATTAAACCTAGCATCAGATCCCCATCTAAAAAGATTAAGCAGTAGTGTTGCACATTGATTTAGAGCAAGGGTCCCCAATCCCCTGTTCATGGCCTGTTAGGACCATGTTGGGGGTGGGGGATTGAGAGCAAAGCTTCATCTGCATTTACAGGCACTCCCCATTGCTTGTATTACCACCTGAGCTCCACCTCCTGTCAGATCAGCTGCGGCATTAGATTCTCATGGGAGTGCAAACACTATCGTGAACTGTGTGTGCGAAGGATCTATGTTGTGCATTCCTTATGAGAATCTAGTGCTTGATGATGTGTCGCCGTCTCCTATCACCCCTAGATGGGATTGTCTAGTTTCAGGAAAACAAGCTTAGTGCTCCCACTGATTCTACATTATGGTGAGTTATAAAATCATTTCATTATATATTACAATGTAATAATAACAGAAATAAAGTGCACACAATAAATGTAAGGTGCTTGAATCATCCTGAAACACCATCCACTCCCACCTCCCCTATCTGTGGAAGAATTGCCTTCCACAGAAACCAGTCCCTCCCTGGTGCCAAAAAGGTTGCAGACTGCTGATTTAGAGCATGGTCTTTGGGTCTTGCCTGATTGCCTGTCCGTGCGTCCTTGATCAGGTTACTCAGCCTCTCTGTGCCTCAGTTTCCTCATGAGGTGTAAAGCTTCCTAACTCATAGGGTTGCCGTGAGGATTAAATGTTTTAGGACAGCTTATTGCCTAGCACTCAATAAATATTAGGTGTTATCATGGTTGTTGCTGCTTGTAGAGAGCCTGGTCAGCTTCATTTTAGCAGCATCAAATCAAGAAATGGACCTCTCTAGGTTGCCAATTCCTAGGGGAGCTAAAATGTTCACTAGATATTGTGAATAAATGTGAACTTTCAAGAGCCAATTCTTCAAGATGGATCCTGAGTGGCTAACTCGGCCTAAATCTGTTTTATTTTATTTTATTTTTCCGTTTTTACATGTCAAATAACTGGACTGTATTGGTCTAAATTCAAAATAGAGCCAAGTGGTCACTTGCTGACTAAAGGTCACATATGCTGAGCTCTCTGGAAACCAGCACCTTCTTGTTTCTGGGATTTTCAGAGCTCACCTGAACCAACCAATCAGAGCTCACCTGCCTTGGC
This sequence comes from Homo sapiens, assembly GCF_000001405.40. Taxonomy (NCBI): domain Eukaryota; kingdom Metazoa; phylum Chordata; class Mammalia; order Primates; family Hominidae; genus Homo; species Homo sapiens. The sequence goes on from NC_000002.12 coordinate 113,156,495, forward strand.
CAATCAGGGCTCAGCTGTATCACCCAGTCAGGACTCAGATGTATTGATCGATCAGAAGTTGGCCTTGTAAAGCAATCAGAACTAAGCAAATTTCAAACCTTCATTTGCACAGGAAACCTGTGTGGGACCATTTGCTATGAAACCCGAGCCTTCCCTTTGTTCTTTGGAAGGGCACCTTTGTTTTACAATAAAGGTTGTGCCTCTCCAGTTTACAAACTGCTTACTGGAAGATTCCTTCTGGAGAACTTTTATTCACAATATACAGGAAATATGGAATCATTTAACTCAAAATGTCATTATACGGTGCCTTACATAGTTACAGAAATAGAAACCAGATAGTGCCATCAAGGGTGATATTGAAAAATAATAGCGTCTCGCCAATGACAACCTGTTCTGAGCTTATGTTTGCTAAAATAGATTGAGTGTAAAATCACAGCTATTTGCTTCTGTGCCACCAATCCCCAAACCAACTAGTGAATGTTCACCGTAAGCCAACAGTTACAGACAGGTGAAATTTGGAAATCAAATAATGCAACTTTTTCTTGTGCCCAGTGAATGGTAAATGAACAAGGGGTTTGTAGGGACTCCAGACAGTCCCTGTCAAGGCTCACGCGTATCTGGGGCGGGCCTCAGTTTCCGGTTCAGGTACTGGAAAAATAACCGGAGGGCTTTGCAGAGCCTGCGGCCCGGTAGCGCACAGGCCAGACGACGGCGCCGTGCGGGGCGCGCAGGAGGTACCCGGCCTGCCCGGCGGCCCAGCCCGGCGCCACAGCGGTCAGACCAGTCCCACAGCTTCGCCCCCGCCACCCCCAACCCCGGCCCGGCCTCAGCCCGCCCCTCCCCGCCCTGCGCCGCCGCCCGCCCGCCTGCGCTCCCGGAAACCGAGTCCCTCCTGCGAGCGCGCAGAGCCGGACTGGCCCAGCCCCCCGCGCGCGCAGCCGAGGCCCCGCAGCTCTCGCCGCCCCCAGCCGGCGCCTGGGCGCGGGGCCGTGGGGCGCGCGGGCCCGCGGGAGGCCGGAGCAGGAGCCCGGCGGGAAATGGGTAAGGGACCACGGGGAGGCCTGGGCCGGGCGGGGGCACCCCCGGCCGTCGCCGCCCTCGACGGTGACCGTGTGCCGTGCAGCGCTCTCGCCACGCCGGCGAGCACCTGCGGAGCGGCTGTCGCTGAGGGTTAGGGTCCCTGGAGCCGGAGAGAGGGTTGAGAGCGAGCAGGGGACCCTGAGGATCCAGCCTAACCGAGCGGCGGAGACTGGGACGGCAAGGGGACGCTGTCTCCACTGAAGGAGTCAGCCTGGGCTCTCTCGCCGCGGGCGACTCCAGCCGCGCTGTTGGATCCTGGCTCCAAGCCCCGCTGGCTGGCGAGCAGGAGGAGCCCTTAAAGCCATCCAGGTGTCAGAATCAGGCGACACTGAGGGCTTTGCTCCTAATCTGTCATGGCCCTGTGCCTCAGTGGTTTCTGGTGCTCATGACCAGGCCAGGCTGTGGCCCCGGCTTGGTGGGAGCTGCCCCCCCGGGACTGCACTGGGCTAGAGGACCAGGCAGCTCTTCTCTACCCCCTTGGGTGCTGGCCCTCCTCCTAGGTGTGTCTAGCAAGAAAGTATGAGAGATTTCTGGGAAGGTAAAAAGTGTCTGCACAGCTGACAAACTCATATCCCTCTAGGATTTCTTTTTGGCTCTAGAATTGTCTAGCTCATCTTTTCTGTAGGATGATGGAGCTAAGAATGTGAGTGAGTTCTTTGCTGGATTTTTCCACGCTGCAGGATGGACTTGCTGCTCTGGTCAATGCACTCGCCAGACCTCTGTGTCCATGGTCCGCATGTCTAGGTCAGGGGACCAGTATCAAAGTGAAGACTGGGCAAGTAAGCCCCACCTGCCCTTGAACCTCAGGCTTGGCCCCTCCCGAGGCCCAGAGCTGATTGAATGTTAATTAGCAACTAATTGGATGTCCATGAGACTCTCTACATAAAGAACACACCAAGGTCAGGTTTAGACAGTGTGTAGTGCCAAGTGATTCATTCTTTTCTTCCAGACGTGATATTTCCTGTATGTGAAGCATATAAAGAAGAGTCATTCATTCACTCATCTAGCAGATATTTACTGAGTGTCAACTACGAATCAGGCATGCAGGCACTGCGAATACTACTGCTCTTATTTGCATATGGGTTGGAAAGAGAAAATAAGCAAGTAAGCTGTTGAATGACATTATTTCAGAGAGCAATAAATGCTGAAAACACAAAACTGAAAAATTCCCAAAAAGAGGGATATGGGGCATGACAGTGAAACGTATAAGAGAAATTGGGCCTTAACTAGAAAGTGTAGCAAACAGACTTTCTAAATTAGGTGGGAAAATGGTCTCATGTTCAGGTCCTCAAAATCTAGGGGCACAGAATGAGGTGCCCTCTGTTCCTATCAGCAGGGAGTTATAAGCTGCTTATAAAGGATCAGTGAGAAATGAACTAGTGGTGAGTAGCCCCTCTCTAAGAGTATGTTTCTTATTGGGAAGCTTAAATCTAAGACAGAGATTAAGATTCCCAGAAAACATGGTCTATTGACTCACTCACTCATTTGTATATTTATTCAACAAATATTTATTGAAGGCCTGTATGTCCCAGGCACTATTCCAGGTTTTAAGGATACATCAGTGAACAAGACAATCCTGCATCTCACAGAGCTTATTTCTTGTGGGAGAAACAGACAATAAACAACATAGCAATTTTAATGTCGTGTCAGATGAAGGATCTGAAGAAAAGCAAGGCAGCTTAAGGGGTTAAAGTTGATAGGGGCTGCTGTGTTCAACAGAGTAGTCAGGACAGGCTGTGCTTAGATGAAATTTGAGCAGAGACGTGAATGTATGTGGGACATAGCCATGTGACTGCCTGGGGGAAGAACATTCCAGGCAGAGGGAACAGCAAGTGCAAAGGCCCTGAAGCCAGAGCGAGGCATGAAAATGCTGGGCATGCTGGACGAACAGGGAGGAGGTCAGTGTGGCTCTGGGGTGGGGAGCAGGCATCTCAGAGACTTGTCTTAAAGGAGGCTGGGGTAGGGCTCAGCCTTGACCAAAGGCACCCAGGAAAGCAGATGGTGTCCCTCACTGCTGTGGCAGGAAGATTTACAATCTCCAACTTATGGACAGGCCTGGTAGTTTATGCCAAGTAGGGCAAGAAGTGATCAACAGAGATGGAGAGCATGTCTTTTGCTAGGAGAGGTATCATTTGCTTTTCTTACTCACACTCTGCATCCTTCAAAACATTATGGGCAGCCTAACTAACATGGTGAAATCCCGTCTCAGCTAAAAATACAAAAATTAGCCAGGAGTGTTGGCGCTTTCCTGTAATCCCAGCTACTCGGGAGGCTAAGGCATGAGAATCGCTTGAACCCAGGAGGCAGAAGTTGCAGGAGCGGAGACTGTGCCACTGCACTCCAGCCTGGGCGACAGAGTGAGACCTTGCCTCGAAAATAAAATAAAATATAATAATCATCATAATAATAACATTATGGGGCCACACAATGAGAATTAAGTGGGCAGCAGACCCTGAGGTTTTCAAATTTAGTATTAGGTTGGTGCAAAAGCAATTGTGACGTTTGTCATTACTTTTAATGGCAAAAACCACAATTGCTTTTGCACCAACCTAATAAATGCCCAGGGAATGAAAGATGAGAAAAAACCTGCCTTCCGGGAAAATTCCAATAATCTATTTTTATTTTCATCCTTAAAACTATTAGATGATCTCATTAACAGGTTTTTCTTAAAAAAAAAAAAAAAAAACCAGCCCAAGAGCATATAAATCATTAGCATTTATTGAACACATACTATATGCCAGGCCCTACTTTGGGTAACTTGTGTGCAGTAACACAAATAATTCCCGCAGCAAGTCTATGCAGTTTATACTATTATGATCCCACTTCACAGATGGGAAAACTGAGGCCCAGAGCAAGTAAGAAAGTTGGCCAAGGTTACATGGGTAGTAAGTGAAGAATCAGAATTTGCCATCAGCTGGTGCCATTTTTGAGCCAAGTGCTCTCATACTATGCTGTAACAATGTCAGAGAGCCAACCTTGGGCCCAAATTTTGAAGATATTCTGTCCACCAAAATGGACTTCTGACTGCCCTAACTTTTGGAGAAGCTCCTAGTTGGCAAATGAAATTGGTCCCTTTATAAAATAGTCGTGGCTGGCCGGGCGTGGTAGCCTGTAATCCCAGCACTTAGGGAGACTGAGGCTGGCAGATCACTCAAGGTCAGGAGTTCGAGACCAGCCTGGCCAACATGGTGAAACCCCATCTCTACTTAAAAAGAAAGAAAGAAAGAAAGAAAGAAAGAAAAATACAAAACTTAGCCAGGCATGGTGGCTCACGCCTGTATTCCCAGCTACTTGGGAGGCTGAGGCATGAGAATCACTTGAACCACGAAGGTGGAGGTTGCAGTGAGACAAGATTTTGCCACTGCATCCCAGCCTGGGTGACAGAGCAAGACTCTTGTCTCAAAAAGAAATAAATAAATAAAATAAAATAGTTGTGGCCATGTGGCATATTCCACAAATACTGGTCTCAGACCATGGTGAGGATGCGGGTGCAGGGTGAGGACTACATAGGGTGCGGTAGGTCAGTGGATCAGATCCAGTTAGCCGGGGCTCAGCCTTGTGCCCAGGAGGCTAAAGCAGGAGGATTACATGAGACCAGGAGGGCAGGTTTTGTCCATAGTGCATGACAACAGATGGTTAGAGAGAAGACAGCTGCTGGGTTTGAGCACATTCTACTTCTCTCCTTCTTTAAAAAAGATGTTTTTAAGATAGTACTGGCCGGGCACAGCGGCTCATGCCTGTAATCCCAGCACTTTGGGAGGCCAAGGCAGGCAGATCACCTGAGGTTAAGAGTTCAAGACCAGCCTGACCAACATGGAGAAACCCTGTCTCTACCAAAAATACAAAATTAGCCAGGCGTGGTGGCACATGCCTGTAATCCCAGCTACTCGGAAGGCTGAGGCAGAAGAATCGCTTGAACCCAGGAGGTGGAGGTTGCGGTGAGCCGAGATTGCACCATTGCACTCCAGCCTGAGCAACAAGAGTGAAACTCCATCTCAAAAAAAAAAAAAAAAAAAAAGATAGAACTTACATAGGTTAACACTCTTTAAAAATATTTTTAAAGGCAATATTTACATGTATTCAAAAATCTTTTTAAAATATTAATGCAAACAGCCCTTAAGGTACACAGTGAAAAATCTCTTTCCCTCTCCTGTCCTGTCATCTCCAATTCTCCTCGGAGGCAATTTCTTGAGAATACTTTCAGAGCGACATATTCTATTTGTAAACAAGCATATATGTATGTATACCTTCCTTGTCTTCTTCTTTTTTTAAAACATAAATAGTAGGAAATAATACTTAGGTATGCACTTTTTAAACTTAATATACTTAATCATTCTGCTTCAAGACATATAGACAGGTTTCATCTTTCTTTCTTTTTTTTTTGAGACGGAGTCTTGCTCTGTTGCCAGGCTGGAGTGCAGTGGCATGATCTCGGCTCACTGTTACCTCCGCCTCCTGGGTCAAGTGATTCTGCTGCTTCAGTCTCCTGAGTAGCTGGGACTACAGGCATGCACCACCACAACCAGCTAATTTTTGTATTTTTGGTACAGACGGGGTTTCACCATGTTGGCCACGATGGTCTCGATCTCTTGACCTCGTGATCCACCCGTCTCGGCCTCCCAAAGTGCTAGGATTACAGGCATGAGCCACCATGCCCGGCTTTGCTTTTTTTTTTTTTGGAAACAAGGTCTCACTCTGTCACCCAGGCCGGAGTACAGTGGTACAGTCATGGCTCACTGCAGCCCGACCTCCTGGGTTCAAGTGATCCTCCAGCCTCAGTGCCCTGCCCTGCCCACCCTCTGCCCAGTAGCTGGGACCACAAGCAGGCGCCACCACGCCAGGCTGAATTTTGTAATTTTTGTAGAGATGGGAGTGTCACTGTGTTGCCCAGGCTGGTCTCAAACTGCTAGCCTCAAGCAATCCTCCCACCTCAGCCAGCCTCCCAAAGTGCTGGGATTATAGTCGTCAGCCACCACACCCGCCTTCATCGTTTTTAAGTACGTATATGCTGCTGTATCTCATTGAATGAGCTACCATATTTATCTAGCCAGTGCACTGTGGGTTTATAAGCTATTTCCCCCATCTCTATTTGTTTGCTGTGATAGACAATAACACATTAAGCATACCTGTACCTATATAATCTCAGTTCTGTGACTGTTTCAGCAGGAGGAATTCATAAATGTGGTTTAAAAGTTACTGCCAGTCTGCTTTCCGAAGGCATGCATGTCTTTGTACTTAGGAGAGTGCTGCTTTCCCCTCGGCTCCACCAACTTGATGTATCATCAACTTTTTATTCTTCCCAATTTGACAGATGAGAAAAATGCCATCATGCTATAGTTTAAATAGGTATTTCTTTCTAGTGAGTTGTGTTACAGGACTTACAAGCTATTTGTATTTCTGTGGACTGTTCATATACTTGGCCTATGTTTTCAATTGGGTTTTTGTTGTTGTTACTGAGTTATCATTTCCTCTTCATCTCTCATTCCTAGTCCCAGTGATTTCCCCTCACACTTACCCTCTAACCCTACCCTCATGAGCAACAGCTACTCTGACATATTTATGATAGGTTTATCCTTAGATTTGGATGTATTTAAGAAAGATATATGATGTTGATTTATATATGCATGTATTTTTAACCCTACATAAATTGCACTATGGAGCTGGGCACAGTGGCTTATGCCTGTAATCCCAGCCTTTTGGGATGCTAAGGTGGGAAGATTGCCTGAGGCCAGGGTTTCAAGACCAGCCTGGGCAACAGAGCAAGACTCTTGTCTCCAAAAAAAAAAAAAAAAAAAAAAAGGTAATAATAAAAAAAATTAGCCAGGTGTGGTGGTGCACTCCTATTTTCCTAGCTACTTGGGAGGCTGAGGCTGGAAGATCACTTGAGCCCAGGAGTTTGAGGCTGCAGTGAGTTATTATAGCATCACTGTACTAGAGCTTCAGCAACAGAATGAGACCCTGTCTTTATGGGGTCACAATTGCTTCGTGCTATAAATCCTTAAATTTTTCTTGCTTTTTAAAACCAGCACTATTTTTTTTTTTTTTTTGAGACAGAGTCTCGCTCTGTCAACGATCTTGGCTCACTGCATCCCCCGCCTCCTGGGTTCAAGTGAGCACGCTCAGCTAATTTTTGTACTTTTAGTAGAGACGGGGTTTCACCATGTTGGCTAGGGTGGTCTCAAACTCCTGACCTCCAGTGATCCACCCGCCTCGGGCCCCCAAAGTGCTGGGATCACAGTTGTGAGCCACCATCCCTGGCTAACCAGCACTATGTTTTTTTTTTTTTTTTTTTTGAGAGTGAGTCTCACTCTGTCTCCCAGGCTGGAGTGCAGTGGTGTGATCTCGACTCACTGCAACCTCCGCCCCCCCAAGGTTCAAGCAATTCTCCTGCCTCAGCTACTCGAGTAGCTGTGATTACAGGTGCCTGCCACTGTGCCTGGCTGATTTTTGTATTTTTAGTAGAGATGGGGTTTCACCATCTTGGCCAAGCTGGTGTTGAACGCCTGACCTCGTGATCCACCCTCCTTGGCCTCCCAAAGTGCTGGGATTATAGGCATAAGCCACCGCACCCAGCCACCAGCACTATTTTTTAAAAGATCTATTTGACTGCAGTGTGTACTCTTGGTTTGTTGCTTCTAATTGCTGCATTGTACTCTGTAGCTGGAGTTAGGGAGTTATTGTAATAGTCAATTCCTACTGGATTGGTCTAGAAAGGTTGTATGGAGAATTGGCATTATGGGGTGAGCCTCGAAGGATGAAGAGGACTGGGGAAGGAAATGGAGCTGTCCAAGAGGACGTATGAACATGCCAAGAACATTTAGGGAAGGACCCGTTGCCTGCTGAGGCCATAGGTCAGGGTGTGGTTGTGTGTGGTCATAGGAGAGGCTGGAGAGGTCTCAGATAACAGCGTTGGACATTCCCTAAAGCAATGGAAGAGAGAGGCAGTTAGGGGCATTGTTAGAGAATGGGGGACGAGGGTGCCAGGTGAAGATTTTCTAGGACAGGAGTGATCTCTCAGTGGAGAATTAGGCAGGCAATTGCTGCAGTCCTCCAGAAAAGCGAGGACGCGCTCTGTGAGCTGGTGGAGCCCAGGGGCCTGCAGGGGAGGAGGATCCAGCAGGACTGGGTACCAAAGCCATGAGGGGAGAGGGACCTGGGCTGGTGCCAAGGTTGCTAACTTGGGAAGCTGGTGGATGTGATGCCAGTCTAGACAGGTCCTGGGAGGGGCAGGCACGGGCATGGGATGGGAAGGATGCTTACAGGCATGTGAGCAGGCTGCGAAGTCTGATGCTCTGCTGTACATCCAGCTAGAAGATTCCTGCTGGTAATTAAGACGCTGGGCTAGAGAGGGAATTGTGAGCCTTTAGTGAGTAGGTGGGAGGTTAACATGTGGGACTGGGTGAGGTCCTCACAGAAGAATGTGAGGGCGAGAGATGCCCATCAGGAACAGAGCATGGGGCAGGTTTACAGGGAGGAGCTGACAATAATATGTGGTGCCCTTTTGAACTCTGGCCTTTCCTGGCTTGACAACCTCTGGAAATTATCCTCTTGGCATGGACTCTGTGCTGCTGTGGAGCCTGGGCAGGGGAGGGATGGGAGGTGGGTATATACAATAAGGCCCAACGAGTGGACTCTGCCTTTCTGGAGCTCTCAGTGCGGCCTTGGAAGATGCATAGATGTATTGAGTCAGAGAGGAGGGAAATGGCCCCAGGAAGCTTAGGTGTGCGGGCTCTCCTCCTGGGGTATGAGCTCCGAGGCCCCAGCGCTCTTCCTGCTAGGAGCTGCCAAACCAGCCGTCCCTTTTGTCTTCTGAAGATGACAATGGATAGAGTGTGGGTCAGCTCCTGCTGCTGCAGAGGGCACTGCGAAGCTCACGGCTTTGTTGCTATGGGCAGGGTTAAGCATGAGCCTCCCCAGGGGAACACGTGACCCTTTACAAGGCCCAGGAAATGTCCTGCTCTGAGTTTGTCTTCCTCCTTCACTTTGTGAGAGCATACCTGTTCTCTGTTTAATGACAGAGCTTTGCTTTTCTGCAAATCATACCCGCTTGAATTCGTATTCAGTGATTGGTGGCCAATCAGGGCTAATGAGCATTATAAGGAAGACTTTCAGCTCTTTCTCCAAAGGAGAAAATGCTGCAAAGGTCAGATCCAGCTGCACAAAGTGTCTGCTCTTTACATATCCCTACTATAATTTTTGAGATAAGAGTTTTGATATTTATTTATATTTATTATATTATCAAATAATATTTAATATTTTTCTGTGAATACATATACTTAACAACATAAAGTAGATATTTTCTACTTTACTGTGTTCCTAAATCACAGGTTTGCTACACTCTATCTTATTCTAGTGCATATTGAAGTAAATGCTTAACTATTAATGTTTAGTATGTGTACCACATATCCATGTAGGCAAACACAGCCTCAGATTTGTGGGTTCATGGAGAAGGTAATCTTGGGGTTCATGGAGAAGGTAATCTTGGGTTAATCTTGTTAGGATATGCTTTATCCTAACCCTAGGTAGGGGAGGAAATAACCCTTTTCCTCTTCCTTCTTAGGTTTAGGGACTGGGACCTGCAAATTAAACTGACAAAAGCCAGATTAACAGAAGAAAAAGGTTTTACTCACATGTACATGGGAGCCAACAAAAGTAGTAGCTGGCTTGTTAGATAGTTAAAGTTCAAGGCCATGTACCTAACTCAGTAGGGGAAAGGGAGGGGGCAGAAACAGTAACTTTATTATTTTTGCTGATGACAAACATAAAGTATATTTATTTTAAAAAGTTGAATACATATGAAACAAGCATGAAGAAATTGAAATCATGTATACTGTTGCCAGGCACAGATAGCTACTGTCAATCAATGCTTTGATGTTTTATTGCCTAAATACACAAACACAAACAAGTTTTTTAAAAACTGGGACCATAGGCCGGGCGCAGTGGCTCACGCCTGTAATCCTAGCACTTTGGGAGGACGAGGTAGGTGGATCGCCTGAGGTCAGGAGTTCGAGACCAGCCTGACCAATATGGTGAAACCCCATCTCTACTAAAAATGAAAAAATTAGCCGAGCGTGGTGGCTTGTGCCTGTAGTCCCAGCTACTTGGGAGGCTGAGGCAGGAGAATTGCTTGAATCTGGGAGGCAGAAGTTGCAGTGAGCCGAGATCGCGCCACTGCACTCCAGGCTGGGCGACAGAGCAACACTCCATTTCAAAAAAAACCAAACAAACAAAACAAAACAAACAAAAAAAAAAAACTTGGGACCATAGTGAAATTATAAATAGTTTTCTTATTTAACAAAATTCTATGAGCATCTTTCCATTTCATTAGATACTCTTTAAAAACAAAATGGCTAAAGGTTGCCTAGGTTCACCATATGGGTATATGGTTACCCAGTAATCTATCCATTTATCTCATTCTCTATTGTGGATATTGAGGTTATGAGCATTTTTGCCATTATAAGTAACTGCATGCACATGTGTTTCAGCAGATGTTTTGTGGGTGCCTTCTGGTGCCAAGGGGGCTGGGGGAGAGAGGATGAATAACTACAGTGCCCAACTCACTGCTCATGTGAAAAGGACAGACCTACAGCAAGTGGGCTTATCTAAAAAAGAGCTGGGAAGGAGCCCAAGAGAAGGACCTTGAGAGAGAGAGTCTGAGCCGAGCTTTTGTGCTGGGGCAGAGGAGAGCCAGGGAGCTGTGACCTGGGTGGCCCTGTCCCTGGCCGTCTGTCCACAGACACTGGGTGTGCTTCATTTGACTGGCCACGGGCGGGCAAGGACAGCCTCCCAAGGTCACTGCGTTGGTACGGGATTGGGCAAACAAGTGCAGAGATGGAGGCTTGTCATTCACTTTTATAATCACTTCCTGCCCTTCTCCAGAACACCCAGGGCAGCACCAGCGCACACATGTGCTCAGAGGTTGGTGATGTCAGCACTGGGCTGGGCTGTTCTCCCTTTCCTCTTTTCCCTGCCTCTAGGAGACTTCTCCCTCCCACTCTAAGGTCACAGGCGGCAAGGAGAGGCACCTTTGGCCCCTGCCACGTGCCCAGTCATTGGAAGCCCTGGCCCAGCCCTACCTACGTGCTCTGATCCTGGGAGCCCACAGCTGAGCTGGCCAGGGGGACTGTAAACATCCAACCAGGCAGAGGAATGGTTGGAGAGGCAGGTGTTCTGTCTGCCCTTCTCCAGGGCCGAGGCTTGTGGAGGTCAGACAGCTGGGAGGGAAGAGGGCCTTTTCTGGAGAAAGGAGCATGTGGCCGCCTCACTCTCAGCCTTCTCTAAAGTATGGAGACTTTATGGAGACTAATTTGAAGCCCATTTAGATGCTTCAGTCCTCCTTTCTCACCCTGCCCCAGGACAATATTTCAGCTCCATTAGCACAAGGGTTTTCCTGAACTTCCAGTTGGGAGACGTGAGTCAGGCTTACCGTGTCTAGCTCTGCTCGTTTGGAAAGAAGCCCTGCTCCCCACCTGGGTTTTCATTTCTGCAGCATGCAGTGGTAACGGGGTACAGCAGAAAGTGCATTGGGAAGGTTCCACAGGCCTAATTCCAATCCCAGTCTTACCATTTCCTGCCTGTGCAAGCCTGAGTGACTGTGGACCCTCCGTCTCCTCATCTGGTCTGTAGCCTGGAGATGATAAAGCCCCTAACCCTGACCTCAGACCCCCAGGAACTAGAGATGATGCATGGAGAGGACCCGGTAAGTGTCAACACATTGGGGTCCTCAGGAAAGTGTCATGGGGTTTATGTCAGGTGCCATTTCTTTCATTGGTGGCCTCTCTCCTCTCTCCCCTCGCCTCCCAGGAGGGGCTGTATGCTGAAATCCCCAGGGCCCCTCTCCTGGAAGGTGGGCTCCACTCCCTGGTCTGTGCTCTGTGTGGAGAAGCCACCTGTGCTGAGCAGCTTCTTCTGCAGGCAAACAGGAAGCATCTTACCTTGAGGGAGGCAGGAGAGCTGCCTGGCTGTGCTGTGTGTCTGCTGTGTTGTGTGTCCTCTGTGCCGTGGGGAGGAGGAAAGGCTGGGGAGGGAACTCCCAACACACACACACACACACACACACACACACACACACACACACACACACCCCGTACATATGCAAGACCCACTGCGTGGAAGCAACGGGGAGAGGCAGGTCCCATTCCCTTTAGTACAGTCTTGAAGAGAGGCTGAGCAACCTTTATTCATTCATCAAATGGCTGTGGAGCAATTGTGAGCCAGGCACTCCGCTGTAAAGCACATGGGCCAGTCCTTGCCCTGGAGAAGTTCATGGTCAAGGGGAGGATGGGAACCCATAACTAAGCCAAGCGGCAGGCCTGGACTTGGGGAAGGGGGAAGATCACTGGTGCCTCCCTTTCAGCCTCAGGAAACCATGGATTACCAGGAAGTCTGGACGGGACGGGGCAGAGCCCGAACTTGAGGAGGTGACACTTCACCTCTTGGTCTCCTGGCTTCTGCCTCCGCATCTGCTGCCAACCCCACTTGTCCATAACCTCTGGCCATGTTCAATATAGATCACTTTCGCTTCTAATCTCCTCCACTTTTCAGCAGCAATCAACCAAGCCAACCACTTCCTCCGTCTGAAGTAACCTCCTCTTGTCTTCTGTGACAACATGGCTCTCCCCTTGCTTCTCTCACCTTTGTGACAGTCCCTTTTCAGTCTCCTTTGCAGACCTGTCCCCTCCCATCCCAGGTAGGCACCACCTTCTCTCTCCAAGCTCAGATGGGCTCCAGGTGCGTTTTTCAGTTGCCTACTTGAAATATCTCACAGGTAGTTCAAATCCAATATTTAAAAATTAAACTCTGGGCCGGGCATGGTGGCTCAGCCTGTAATCCCAACACTTTGGGAGCCCAAGGTGGGCAGGTCACCTGAGGTCGAGAGTTCAAGACCAGCCTGACCAACATGGAGAAACCCCGTCTCTACTAAAAATACAAAATGCGTGGTGGTGCATGCCTGTAAACCCAGCTACTTGGGAGGCTGAGGCAGGAGAATCGCTTGAACCTAGGAGGCGGAGGTTGCTGTGAGCCAAGATAGCACCATTGCACTTCAACCTGGGCAACAAGAGCGAAACTCCATCTCAAAATAAATAAATAAATAAATAAATAAATAATAAATAAATAAATAAAAGTTAAACTCTGGATTTTCTCCCCTGAGCCTCATCTCCCAGTTCTTTCCTATTTCAGGAAATGCCATTATTACTGCCCATCTGGTTGCTTAAGTCAGAAATCTGGAAGTTGCCCATGACTTCCCCTCCCATCTTGTCCCCTCGAATATAATGAAAGAGCAGGTTCTATAATCATCCCCCATATGCATTCCCAGCCCTATGCCTCTCTTCTTTGCCGTGACTGCCCCAGCCAAGCCACTCTCCCCCATTGCCTGGACTCTCACAGAGCCTCCTGACTGGTCTCCTTGAACTTACGTAGCCTCTACCATCTCTTCTCCATACAGCAGACAGGTCCATCTATTCTCCATATAGCAGATGGATGATCTTAAAAGTAAATACACAAATACTCTTTGACCTGTCATTTCTCTGCTTTAAAAATGCACCCTGGGGGTCAGGCATGGTGGCTCACGCCTGTAATCTCAGCACTTTGGGAGGCCAAGGTGGGCGGATCACCTGAGGGCAGGAGTTCAAGACCCAGCCTGGCCAACATGGTGAAACCCCATCTGTACTAAAAATACAAAAACGAGCTGGGTGTGGTGGCACACATTAGTAATCCCAGCTACTCGGGAGGCTGAGGCAGTAGAATCGCTTGAACTCAGGAGGTGGAGGTTGCAGTGAACCAAGATCTCGCCATTGCACTTCAGCCTGGGAGACAGAGCAAGACTCCATCTTAAAAACACACAAACAAACAAGGCCAGGCGCTGTGGCACATGCCTGTAATCCCAGCACTTTGGGAGACCAAGGTGGGCGGACCATGGGGTCAGGAGATCGAGACTATCCTGGCTAACACGGTGAAACCCCGTCTCTACTAAAAATACAAAAAATTAGCCAGACATGGTGGCGGGCCCCTGTAGTCCCAGCTACTCTGAAGGCTGAGGCAGGAGAATCGCTTGAACTCAGGAGGTGGAGGTTGCAGTGAGCCGAGATCGCACCACTGCATTCCAGCCTGGACGACAGAGTGAGGCTCCATCTCAAAAAACAAACAAACAAAAATGCACCCTGGGCTGGATATGGTGGCTCATGCTTGTAATCCCAGCACTTTGGGAGGCCGAGGCAAGTGGATCACTTGAGGTCAGGAGTTTGAGACCAGCCTGGCCAACGTGATGAAATCCTGTCTCTACTAAAAATACAAAAATTAGCCAGATGTGGTGGCAGATACCTGTAATCCCAGCTCCTTGGGAGGCAGAGGCAAGAGAATTGCTTGAACCTGGGAGGCAGAGGTTGCAGTGAGCTGAGATCATACCACTGCACCCCAGCCTGGGTGACAGAGTGAGACTGTCTCAAAAAAAAAAATGCACCCTGTCTTGCCACTGGGGTGCCTGTGGGATCTGGCCCTGCCCCTCCTGGCCCCATCTTTTCCCACACCCCCTGGGACCCTGGGACTGCGCTGCACCACACTGGCTTGCTTTCTATTCCCTGGAAATGTGGAGACATTTCCCACCTCAGGGAAGGAATTAGAAGCCGAAAATGCCCTTCCATACTGGACCCTCCTCACCAGGACATGGTGCAGCTTCAGAGACCTTCCCGAATTCCCACGGCAGTGTGCTCACCCTTGCTGCTCTCTTATTTCTCTCTGCTTCTTCCCAGGCATTCTTCACAATTTATGATAAAGTTTGATTCATAAGTCCGATTGTTTATTTTCTTTCTCTGTCAGTAGACTGGAAGCTCCCTGAGAACAGGAGTTGTTCTGCAGTAGACAGGCCTATGCAAACCTACCCCAAAGTCTGAGGAAGTTGAGAAGTTGAAGAAAGAGGCTGAGAAAGCTAGGGGACTTTCCAACAGAAGCCATGTAGGTGTCTCAGGCGGCAATGAGATGAGATGGTGGATCCCCGCATTAGCACCCAAACCCAGGGCTCATATACCATAGGGTAGGAGTGGTTCAGATGGGATTTATAAGACAATTGAAGTGTGATATCATCAAGGTTGTTTGACCTACGAGTAGCACTTACGGACTTACAGTAAGTATCTGCTCTTACACAGGAAACAATAGATAAACTGGAAATTGTAGAGGCCCTGCCTTGGAACTGGGGTCACTCAGTTAAGTCAATGTGGCAGGTTAGCTTCCAAGATGGAGTTGCTTCAGCTTCCACAGGGGTCATGTGTTTTATTCCTGATAGGTCAGCGGCTTGTAGCATAGAGCCTGCACAGAGCAGGTGCTGACTTTGAGCCTTGGCCATGTTCCGGAGACACCCCTAGCGGCTGGGGCCCAGAGTGGAGGGTTTGCATTTAGGTCTTGGTGACTTCAGGTTTCTGACTTACCCAGCTTGATGGAGAGAGAGAGTTGTAAAACCTGAAATATATGAGGAAGAAGAGCTTGGAGAAGAGAAGGAACCAGGTTTGCCTTATAAACATTGAGTTTGAAGTGCTGGTGAGATAAGCATGTCCCCAACATTTGCCAGCCCTGGGAAGTGGAGAGTGGAGGACCCCATCTGATATGTCCAAATACATGAAAGTTAAGACTAAAGCTCACAAACTGTCATATAAAATGTGTCCTGCCGGGTGCGGTGGCTCACGCCTGTAATCTAGCACTATGGGAGGCCGAGGCGGGCGGATCACCTGAGGTTGGGAGTTCGAGACCAGCCTCGCCAACATGGAGAAACCCCGTCTCTACTAAAAATACAAAATTAGTCGGGCGTGGTGGCGCATGCCTGTAATCCCAGCTACTTGGGAGTCTGAGGCAGGAGAATCACTTGAACCTGGGAGGTGGAGGTTGTGGTGAGCCTAGATGGCATCACTGTACTCCAGCCTGGGCAACAAGAGCGAAACTTGGTCTCAAAAAAAAAAAAAGTGTCTATTCTCCTAATTCTCCTACCTCCCACTTTCATCATGGCCTGGAGCTCCAGGTTTGAAGGAGGATTCTTAGCCGCCTCTGAATGTTGCTGCCACAGCACAGCCCACCCCAGCCTTTGGCCCACGCCACAGCTCCACCTCCCTTTCTCTTCCCCACCCTGCTCTGTATCACACGTGCATGTGGGTGGGTGACCTGCCCAAAGGTTTGAGCTCTCTCTACCTGCTCCCGTCTCTGCTATCAGGACTCTTGCCAGCGCTTCACCCAGTCTCAGGCTGCATAGGGCAGCGGTGCTGTGTGCCCACATGGGGAGGAGGCCATTTGGGCCCCAGAAGTGGAGAGTCTCGGGATCTGGGGCACGCAGAGTGTGGTGGAGAAGCAGGGTGCACGGGCTCCATGTTGGTATGTTCCTGTGGACTCTGTACCCTGCAGGGAGGGGTGCGGCTGTAGGTGAGCTAGAGCCCGACCCTCTCAACTCTGGGTCAGGGTGGCTGGTCCCCACTGCTGTGTGGACATGCAAGTGAGGGAGTCTCTGGGTCAGCTGGAATCATGAAGACGAGAGTTCAGGGAGGGTGGGAGTGGTGGAGCCTCAGCAGAGAAGTTGACGGTCATTGATGTTGAGGAAGTAGATTGTGTGGAGGGAGGAGAATGGCATGGTGTTTGCGCTCCCCACCAGCCTCACTTACACTTGTGGACACTGCGGCCGGTGTCCTGAGGACGTGTGTTGGGAATTCAGCCACGGGGAATGGAGGTCCCTTGGTTCATATAGTCACAGGCTCTGTATTCTAACCCCAGCTTTGTAATTTTCCAGCTGTGCAACCCTGGGCAGTGGCTTAGCATCTCTGAGCTTGCCTCCAGATCCGGATCTGTATGATGGGGTTATTAATGCTTCATAAAGTAGGTGTGAGGAGGGATTGAGGTACTATTGGGAGAAACTTTGTAACTAAAAGGCAATTGTATCATTTGCATTATTACCAGTGACATGAGACATAGTCACACAAAAATTGAAATGTCATTTGTTTTAAAACCAGAAATTGCCCAACTTAGGGCCCTCCTGTCTCTCACTGGGTGCCCTGCAGGGGACCAAGAGCCAGAGCAAGACTGAGAACCTGGGGCAGAAGCGCAGGGAGGAAGGAGGTGGGGCCTGCTTACCAACCAGGCCTCGGCCCCTTCCCCTTTCAATCCCAGGCCCCTGCATGGCAGGGAGAGGCCAGTTCCACCATGGCAGGTTCTTTCTAGGCTGGTGTGCAGGGTGGGGGCCTCCAAGGAGCAGGGGCATGGGGAAAGGGGCTGCAGGCGCTGGGCCTAGGAAGAGAGGCTCTTATCTTGTGGGCAGGAAGTGTGAGGTGTTGAGCAGCTAGGGAACCCTGGGGAGGCGGCGGGGAGCAGGAGGGGTGTGTGTTGTGGTGAGGAGGAGCGGAAGTCGGAAGCTCCAGCCGTCACAGCCACATTCACTGGGCAAGCCGACTGTGAGCCAGGAAGTGCTCTTGGGGAGCCCAGGCCAAGCCATCCATTCTTGGGTCCTTTGGAGGTGAGCTAAGTGGGTCTGCCTAGGTTGGGGCTGGTGGAACCTGTGGGAGCAGGGAATGTGGAGAGTCACATGTGGGTCCTTGTGGCAGGGGCTGGGGCAGGTGGGCAGGGGAGAGGCGAGGGCTCTGGCAGTGCCGTGTGCACCTGCCATGAGCCTGGGCTAGGCTAGGCCCCTCCTTCCCCCTTCCTGCTCTGTGTCCCGTCCCCCTCCTCCCTCAGCCTACCCCTCCTCATCTGACCCTTCTCTGATTCCCTGCCCTGGCCCCACGGACCTCTGTTGTTTCCCTTCCCTGGCTCCCCGCAGAGCCTCTGGAGGTCTGCAATAGTGAAGGGTGAAGGAAGCTCCTTGCTAATCCTCTTGTGAGTGTCACTGCGTCCCCAGTGACTGCTCTGGCTGAGTACCCAGTGGGGGCTTTTGTGGCCAAAGGTCCCAAGTGATTCTCGACCCTAGACTCTGGAGAGAGGGAGTCTGGAAGGCCTGGGTTTGGGGTGGGGGTGGCTCTGGGTGTGGTTGCTGCAGGAGCTCAGAGTCAACTTGGCCATCAGGGGGCTCCCAGCTTCATCTTGCCTTCCAGGACCATCCTGGAGAAGCTCGAGGAGAGGTAAGGGGACCCTCCTTACTGGTTTAGCTCTGGCTTAGGCCTGTTGTCCTGATGGGCAACAGGAACCACTGAACTCTCAAAGTGTGCCTGTGTAGGAAACTAAGGCCCACTGTAGTCATTATTGTTATAGTGAAGGTAGCTGCATGGAGGGAAAGTCCCCTGACACTGCCATTCCCCCCTTATTCCAGGGCCTAAAATTCCACAGTTGAAGTCACTCCTCTGCTAGAATGCAGGGAAGGGTGGCCTGTCATTAGCTGATGATAAATACTCCTCCGTTCATTGGACCTTGGACCAGCTTTAAAAAGTGGTCCCCAAGCAGGCCTGTCTCCCAGCTGCCTAGGACTCTAGAGCATCCCGTGGCCCCCTCCTCCTACAGACAAGGAACCGCCTAGCATGGGGATCAGAACACAGGCTGCTGAGCTCTTTGTTGGGGAAGGGGGAGAGACCCACAGAAGGGGTGAGGGATGTGGGGTGAGAGGACCCAGGGAGGAGAGGCCCAGCCTGGCCCCAGCCCCCTAGGGGTCTTTGTCCTCCCCAGGCAGCAGCTGTACTGGGTCCCCTTTGTCATTCTGTCCCTACCCCCGTGATCTCTCCCCTGGATACTCTCTGCCTACCTCAGACCGCCATCCTCTGCTCCCTTCCTGAGCCTCTGCTGGCCTCACCACAGGCCTTCAGTAGCACTGTCTTCTCTCTCTCTCTCTCTCTCTGTGTGTGTGTGTGTGCGTGCAAATTTGCATGATGGCTCTTTCTGTGTGGGCAGGATGTGGGGCCTTCTCGAGTCATTTCTCTCACGGTGCTTCAGACCCCAGGTTCAGACAGAGGCCTCTGTCCTGCAGCTCCAGGCCAGGGAGTTCCACTCATGGTTCCTGCCTGCAGCAACATCTGTAATTCGGCAGCTTCTCGGGCTGCAGAGGGACAGGACAGGTCACCTCCTAAGTCCTTGGACCGGCCAGAAGCCTTCATACCTTTTCCATAGGAGGGAAAACATTTCCAGGGTAAAAGGAGGGAGCGTTTGCTTGCTGAGTCTGGAAGCTCAAAAAGGGAAACAGAGACAGGCACCCTCCGGATGAAGGTTCAGGGCTGACTCCTTGAGGAGGCTGAGAGCTGAGCCTGACCAGGAGGGCTATTTGTTTGTTTTTGTTAATTTTGGCTTCTCTAAATGGACAGCAAAACAACAAAATTAAACTGAGCAGGACACGGTATTTCCTGAGCACCCACCAAGGGCCAGGCCCAGCACTCAGACCCATTCCAACTTTACAACAAACCTGTGAAGTATAGCTTTATTGGGTCTTGGTTCCTTATTTTACAGAAAAGGAACCAGGTGGAGTTTTTCACCCAGAGCCACATGGCTTGTCAGCTGTAGAGTTAGGATGGGATTCTGCTCTGCATTCTTCACTATGACCCTGAAGTGGGCAAAGGAGGGTGGTCAGTGCAGGGCACCCAAGGCCATCACCTTCCTACTCAGGGCAGGCTCATACCCCAGCCTCTGTGCCCGGTCTCCCCGTTCTTCAGCCAGGGTACAAGGCTGCAATGCCAGGCTGAGGGTGAAAAACAAACTCACTGTTAGAAAGCACCGTCCGGGTGCCAGGTGTCAGCTGGGTTCCTTCCTGCCCCCTTGGGTCAAAAAGAAATTGCCTTGAAGCCGGGGGTGGGGCAGGTGGGAGGGACTCTGCCTTCTAGTCCCTCAGCCATTGCTTTCTGTGTGTTTCACCTCCCACAAGAGGGACATAAGGCTTAGCCCTTGCAGTATTCTCCATGAGAAACATACACCCCCTCCCCACCGTGGTGAAGATTCTCTGAAATGTAGTCAGCTGTGCTCAAGAAGAGTGGCTGGTTGGCAGCAGAGTGGAGCAGTGCTCTCTCTTCCCCACCTCGGCTCCCTCCCCTCTGAACCCTCCTTAAACTTTCAGAGCCACCTCAGAGCTCAGAAAAACTGAAGGGCCACTTTAATGTAGAGGTAACAGAACTCAACTGATGTGACAGGTGGCGATTCCTTTGCTGCGAATTCCTTTCCTTCTGCTTTCGTTCTGGTTGGGATAACAGACAGGAGATTTCAAGAGAGATTTTGCTAAACACCAGGGGTGGAAAAACACAAGTAAACCAAGAAAATTTTAGATGCGTAAGACCTGGGCTCTGCTGCCCAGTTTCTGGCCTGCCTCTGCCTAGAGGGTGCCATCCTACCTCAGGGATCAAAGGCTAGTTCCATCCTCCACCCTTCTGAGATCAGACCGCCCTCACCTGGGTGACCGGTAGGACTGCCTTTTTGGCCTTAGGAGGTGACTTCACCTTTTAGGTCATCCTACCTTTCCATTCAGGCAAGAGCAATTAAAAAACAGAAGGAAGACATCTTTTAAACACACAGTTACACAGTGCCCCCTGCACAAATGGAGAGCACAAACAAGACAATTGAATGGGTCCTCCTTTCTGTTCGGGTTGCTGCCTGGGAGCCAAGACCCACAGGGACATTTTGGCTGCTGACCTGGTAGGAACCTACCTCTGGGGGAGCACTGCCCTTGGAGCACTGGACTTCCTGGAGAGGGGAGGATGAGGTGATTGGTCATGGGCAGACTGGCCCCCGTGGGGAAGCCTTCATATTATAATGATGCTAATTCTCTTCTCCAAGCCTCGGTCTTCCCCGTCTTCTGGCCTGGTTGTTGTGGAGGGAGAGTTCTGAGGATCCATCCCATCAGTGTGTCTCTCCATTTGTCTGTCCATTCATCTAGCCATCCCCTCTCTTATTTTCACAAATGTTCTACAACGCCGACTCTCAGTCAAGGAGGCGCTGTACAGGAGTTTGAGTGACTCAAGTGAATTCAGGAATGTCCAAGAGAATTGATCAGTGGGGCAGGAGGAGAGAATGATGCTTAAGAGAGCTGTAACCTGGGTTCGCACACCAGCTCAAGTCACAGGGGGGCCTGAACCTCTTACGTCAACGCTAACCTTTAAGTTTCTAATCCACTTGAACTAAACCCCTCAAGTCAATGCTGATCTTTAAATTTCAAATCCAGTTGAACTAAAGTATGCCCCCAGACCTTGTGGGTCGGAGTGGTTGACAAATCAGTTACATAATGTGACTATGCCATTCAATATTTTCATACTGAGACACAGTGGCGAACAGGAAACATAAAGAACCTGCCATCTTGGTGCTTACCTTCTAGGCAAACTAGAACCACGCGGGTAAACACACTGGCAACTACACACCGGGATAAACGCTCAGAAAGTAAAAGCGAGGGGTGGAGTATAGTCACATTGAGTTTAATTGGTTTAAAAAGTCATAGCCGGCCAGGTGCTGTGGCTCATGCCTATAATCCCAGCGCTTTGGGAGGCCAAGGTAGGTGGATCACCTGAGGTCAGGAGTTTGAGACCAGCCTGATCAATATGGTGAAACCCCATCTCTACTAAAAATACAAAACTTAGCAAGGCATGATGGCGGGTGCCTGTAGTCCCAGCTACTTGGGAGGCTGAGACAGGAGAATCGCTTGAACCTGGGAGTCAGAAGTTGCAGTGAGCTAAGATCATGCCACTGCACTCTAGCCTGGGTGACAGAGCAAGATACCGTCTAAAAAAAAATGTCGCAGCCAGTCAAACTACATGCCTTGTCCCCACTGAATACCTGATCTGTCTCCACCCTTCCTGTCTCCATTGCCTTGGGCTCCCCTCCACTGACCAGTTCCTCACCCCCACCCCTCCCAGGCTCCTCAGGTGCTGCAGGCCCCAGAGATCTGCTCTCTTCTCTTTGCTCGGAAAGCTGCTGCAGCCTCTGGTATTTATTTTTTTTCCTCTGAAAAAACCCAGCAAGGAACGCTGGTTTTTTTCTGGGAAGGCAAGTCCAATCCTCACTTGTATCTAGTATCAGCATTAGCGTGTACCTAGAGGGCTGCTTTATGTACATATACATATCTATTTGCAAGTACATATGTGCAAAGAGAGACAAGTGGGGTTTCCTCTCATCTTATGAAAAATTCAGGATGTCCTTTCTAGCAGGCCCAGCCCCGCATTCCCACTCCCATTCCCATATTGGCACGGGAACGTTTCTTGCCAAGTGAGTTGACTGATGGTGAGAGAAGGTGGGTTGGCGTTATCCTGGCAAAATGCTCTGGGGCTCATAGGGCCATGAGGCTGGCACTCATTCAGGTACAATGTGTGGAGTTGGGTGAATGAGAACAGGAGAAGGGATCAGGGATTTTGCATGGCAGGAGAACTATTTGGGCCCAAAGACCAGGACTTTACAGAGACGTGGAGGGTGGCTTTGGGGTCTGGGAAGGGAGGCAGTTGAGTAGAGCTAGGGATGTCCTATGTTCTGGTACCTGTAAACCAGGTGCTTCTCCCCAGCTTTCCCCTCTATCTCTAAATAAACATGTCTTCCTAGTCATTTATTATACCCCATGGGCTGGTGTCTTGAGGAGGCGCAGTGGGATGTGGTGGGGTGAGTCACCTCCTTGCTCACACTCGGTTGCTCTCCACCAGGCAGGTTTGGGGAGGGAGATTTGGGGTCCAGGGTGTTTTCCCTAGTATAGACAATAGATCCTGAGGCTCCTCATCCCTTCTGCCTTAGAAGTAGAACCGTCTCAGGCCTCTTGCCCAGAGAGCACTGAGGGTGACAATGGGCAGCTGCATGGGGAGCAGAGAGTGGTATGGACTTAAGGAGTAAACCATACAAATCCTCTGCCTGTTACCTGGAGGTAGTGGTGGGAGGTGGAGAGGCAGAACCTAGAATGATGAGTGAAGGCTGGATCCATAGGAGAAGAATGAAAGGCAAGACTGTTAATGGAAAGGGATTCCAATCCAGACCCCAAGAGAGGGTTCTTGGATCTCGTGCAAGAAAGAATTCAAGGTGAATCCATAAAATGAGGGCAAGTTTATTAGCAAAGTAAAAGAATAAAAGAATGGTTACTCCATAGGCAGAGCAGCGCTTGGGCTGCTGGATTAAGGATACCCGTATCTTGAGCCGACCTCTTATCTCATCCTGTGACTTAGAATGCCTAGCTTCCCGGGAATGCAGCCCAGTAGGTCTCAGCCTTATTTTACCCAGCCCCTATTCAAGATGGAGCCACTCTGGTTCAAACATCTCTGATGAGACCAAATCTGGTCCATTTGATTCAGAGCATCAAGTACAAGATTAAACATAAGAAAGGGCCTCTCCTCTCGGAAAGTCAGCCTGTTGGGGAGGCTGCCTTAACTAACAGGTGGAAGGGCCCTGAAGGCCGGTCAGGGACCATTCCGGGTGGGCTGGAACATCAGAATCCTGAGGGTGTCATCCAGCAAGTCTAGATTCTTGTTATTCTAAAACAGGAATGCAAGGGTTGGGTCAGAGGGAGGGGTAAAAACCCAGAAAGAGATTTCTTTTGGAGGCACTTTTAGAAAAAGGATACTTTCAAGGTGAATAAGAAACTGAAATGCATACTGGCCCTCCTTCCTTCTCTCAGGTGCCCTCCAGAAAAAAGGCGTGGGGCAAAGCAATGTTTTCTAGGTGACCTTGAATAACAGCTGGACCCCCTGACCTTCGTGAGAGAGCGCTGAGGGTTACCATTTACTGAGTGTCTAACAGTGGGCCAAGCCTGGGCTGAAGGCCGCGCGAATCACCTCCGTTAACCCTAGCTCCCCACTGCAGTGGGGCTCCCAGATGCTAAGGAACTTTCCAGGCTTATCCACTCAGTTGTATGTGGCAGGACGAGGGTTTGAGCTGCAGTCCATGTGGCTATTGATTCAGCTTATGTTCTCTAGTGCTGGGCAGGGAGGAGCTGACCCCCATGGGTTTGTTATGTGTGCTGGTTAGGGCCCTGCATGCCAGTCAAGCTCCTGTCCTACAGCCTGCCTGTGGGAGGATCTCAGTGTGAGGTCTGGAGCCCTGGACGAGGCCACCTGGGCTCACTCTCTTCATACTGGAGCAGGGAAAGGGCAGAGAGAGCTGCAGACCGGAAGGTGGATGGTCTGGGGTCGGAGTCCGGCCCCTGTCACCAGCTGTGAGTCATTAAGCCAGACTCAGGCTAAGGCTTCCTCATCTGTTAAACAGCGACACGCAGGGGACTGCTCATCTTTCAGGTGCGAGGTTGGGGGAGTGGTGGGTGGGGACAGGCATGGTTAACTGCATGTGGAAGGGGCTGTTGTTCTTGGGTATCTGGAAGTCACACGTGGTTATAAACTGGGAGCATGTGTGTGTTTGTTAATAGTCTTGCTCCCCAAAATATTCTAATATAGCTCACAAGCACGCACGTAAGCCTTCAAGATAGAAATCTGTGAGTGAAGAAAATGAGGCAAAGGGAAAATAAGAAAAGACAGCTGCTGGGTGCAGCGGCTCACACCTATAATCCCACCACTTTGGGAGGCCAAGGTGGGCAGATCACTTGAGGTCAGGAGTTCGAGACTAGCCTGGCTAACATGGTGAAACCCCATCTCTACTAGAAATACAAAAAAAAAAAAAAATTAGCAGAGCATGGTGGTAGACGCCTATAATTCTAGCTACTCGGGAGGCTGAGGCAGGAGAATCGCTTGAACCCAGGAGGCAGAGGTTGCAGTGAGCCAAGACTGTGCCGCTACACTCCAACCCGGGTGACAGAGCGAGACTCTGTCTCAAAAAAAAAAAAAAAAGACAGCTGCCAGGGGAGTGCTTACGACATGCCATAAGGACCTGTGTACTTGACCCTGCACTTCCACTTTGTGGAGAGCCAGCACCATGAGACAAACAAGTTACAAGCTTCACAGTGTGCTTTGGATCAAAACAAGCCAGCTATTCTGAGGAAGCAGGGCTGCTCTGAGAGCCGTGTAAGCGGTGGGCTGCATGCAGGGGATGGAAATGCATGCTTCTAGAAAACACCCTGCGAGGTTCCTGGGCTCATCTGATAAGGGCCCACCCAGAGTGTTAGTGCAGGCTGTGCACACAGCAGCTCTGGGCAGATGTGAGGCAGTTCCAGGCAGACATGGCTGCCACATCCCAGCCTCTTCCTCCCTAGAAGGCAGAGATCTCCTCCCCATGCAGCAGGCAGTCTGCTGGGTGGTAGGCAGCAGGGCTGAAGCATCCTCCCTTCATGAGGGCTTGGGCTGAGTTAAGCAGAGAGCCCCTTGCTGCTTCCACCTGGGCCAAATTCCAAGCTGCCAACAGCTTACAAGGACAAAGAAGCAGGCTGTGAGCCAGCCTGGTGAACAGGGTAAGGCCCCAAGGATAGGAGCCTTGGAAAGTGGAAGTAAGGCAGGCTGTGGCCTTCATGTCGTGGGTGCCTGCTTCTTCCATGAGTCTGTTGCATTCTCCTCACCTCGTCTGTGTCTGTTTGGCTCCCACATGCTTTGGTTTACATGTCCTTTGTGGCTTGCAGCTGCTTCCTTGATACCTAGAGGCATTTCCGCCTTCAGTTCCTGCTGCCAACCACCTCGGTCTCCACACTCTCCAATCCAAATGCCCAAGAGAAGGATCTGATTTGGCCAGTTTGTTCTTTTCAGCTAAGCCACATGGGCTACCTTCAGCCAACAGATGGGTGTCTTTGGGGCAGGTGCTGCCCTGGTGCAAGTTTAGAGATTGTGGGATCAGATGGAATATGTGGTACACTCCTTACTCCCAGCAGGGCTGTGGAGGGCAGTGCTAAGGAGCAGCAGGCATAGATGGGGAAGACACTCCAAACACATCTAACACACTACACACGTGCCTCCAGAGGCTGACAGCCCTTCCCTAACCTGCACTTGCTTTGGGCATTTCCAGGGTAGATATGGATTCCCAGTTTCTCCAGCGGCCAGTGCTCCCCCTAGTCCACACAGTGAGACCGTGAAAGCAGATGCTCCGGGGCACTCCTGGGCAGCTTTTGCTCAGTGGATGATGGGTGACTACAGACTCCCTGACCACCCCCAGCCCATGGAAATTCTCAACCTGTACTTGGGAGACAGCCTGGAGCCCCACCCAGGAGAGTGCCCAAGGGAAACGTGCAGCCATGAGGATCCACCGGAGCCTTTCGAGGAGCAAACCTGGGCCACTGACCCTCCTGAACCTACCAGACAAAATGTTCCTCCCTGGGGCTCCGGTGTGGAGCTCACACACCTGGGGAGCTGGGTCCATCAGGACGGGCTGGAGCCTTGCCAGGAGCAAACCCGGGCCACTGACCCTCCTGAATCTACCAGACAAGATGCTCCTCCCTGGGGCTCCGGTGTGGAGCTCACACACCTGGGGAGCCCCTCTGCCCAGAGGGAGCACAGGCAGAACACAGCATCACCAGGGTCACCAGTGAACAGCCATCTACCGGGGAGCCCAAAGCAGAACCGGAGCACGTCCACACAGGTAGTGTTCTGGGCAGGCATCCTGCAGGCCCAGATGTGTGTCCTAGACCTGGAGGAGGAGCTGGAGAAGACGGAAGGGCTCAAGGCTGGGCTGAAATGCTGTCTCCCCACGCCCCCTGTGGACCTCCCCGGGGACACGGGCCTGCACTCCAGCCCACCTGAGAATGAAGACTCAGGGGAAGACAGCAGTGAGCCTGAGGGAGAGGGCCAGGCATGGCTGAGAGAGGGAACCCCAGACTCTTCCCCACAGTGGGGAGCTGAGGAGGAGAGCATGTTCTTCAGCAACCCCCTCTTCCTGGCGAGTCCTTGCTCAGAGAACAGTGCTTCTGGAGAGTGCTTTTCCTGGGGGGCTTCAGACTCCCATGCAGGTGTGAGGACTGGACCTGAGAGCCCAGCGACTCTGGAGCCTCCCCTCCCAGAAGACACAGTGCTGTGGGAGCTGGAAAGTGAGCCAGATTTGGGGGACGGCGCTGCTATCAGTGGGCATTGTACCCCTCCATTCCCTGTGCCCATCTATAAACCACACTCCATCTGCTGGGCCTCAGTGGCTGCCGCTGAGGGGGCTCCTGCAGCACCTCCTGGTCACGGGGAGAGTGAGGTAAGCCCAGTCTTGGGAACCAACCGGGGCTGTGCTGGGAACACAGAAGGGAGGGTCTTCCTCGGGGGTCACCAGGCCCAGAACATTCTTTTCTGACGCTAAGAGCTTTGGGGATAACCTGCATCAGTATATAGCAGGGTAATAGAGCAGAAAATCAGGACCAGTGTTGTCTTCAGAATGATAGGACATTTTATCAATGCCATGATGTCAGCTGATGTCAGCTGATAATTAAGTCCATAAATGTCTCCATCTCACCAGCTCCAAGGGGCCATGCCTAGATACGTTTGGAGAACAAACAGCTCCTCCAATTGCAGCATGTTCCAGGCCATTCTCAGATTCTTCCCCTCCCATCTCCAAGACATTCCCAACTGTAACAGGGCAGCGCTCAGCCTGCAAGGGTGACCTTTGCCCCTAACAGAGAGATGCCTATTTCAAAAGTCCAGTCCTCTCTCTTCTTGACAGATTTCAGCATGTTGTTACTTTTAGCTCACCATCTGTCATTATTCCCCTGTCCAGTGTCAATAGATCAGGCCCATATGACAATGGCAGAGATTCTTAATATCAACTAAGGATGGGGACATGCTCTGTGAGACAATAGGGAGCACAGTTTTCCCAGGGAGGCCTCTCCTTAAGAGATAAGGAGACTCAATATGGTAGAGTGTGGCTGTAATTTTCTAATATCTCAATTCCCTGAGAACAATGAAGAGCTATTACCCAGAGCAGCTCTATTACCAGAGCAGCTCTTGGAGCCCAAGATCAGAGAAGCTCCTGGGTACTGATGGGAGTCCTCTCCACCATGGGCCAGGGCCCCCAGTGTGGGGCAGTTAGGGCTGTGCCTGTGGAGGTCCATTTTCTCAGGACTTTCTTTTTTTTTTTTTTTTTTTGAGACGGAGTCTTGCTATGTTGCCCAGGCTGGAGTGCAGTGGTGCCATCTTGGCTGACCCTCCACCTCCCAGGTTCAAGCGATTCACCTGCCTCAGGCTCCCAGGTAGCTGGGATTACAGGTGTGTGCCACCCCACCCAGCTAATTTTTGTATTTTTAGTAGAGATAGGTTTCACCATGTTGGCCAGGCTGGTCTTGAACTCCTGACCTCAGGTGTTCCAAACACCTGGGCGTCCCAGAGTGCTGGGATTAAGTGAGCCACTGCGCCCGCCATGGACTTTCTTGTTCTAAGCACTAACTTCTCAGAGGGAAGCCTGGGAACGCTATAAGTTGCAGGTTGGCTCCTGTCTGGGAAGGCAGAGCCCACCCAGCCCAGTGCCTGGGGCTATCACCCTCCCTAAAACACAGCCCCTCCTTGGGCTGGCACCACCTGAGGCAGGGCCATCAGGGCAGACTGTGAAGGGAGGAGGCTTCATGGGATTTGAGAAAGGCCCTGGGAGCAATTTTCCTCTAGTCACCTCTCCTCTCCTTCTCTCCTCTGTCTCTCTCTCGACTTCTCAGGGAGATAGGCTTGGTCCTGCTCCATCTGCAGCACCGTGTGTGGACGAAGCATTGACCTGGGAATCAGGATGTGTCGGATCTGATCTTGGCCCTGCTGCACATCCTGTGCAACCTTGGGCAAGTCACTTCCCCTTTCTGGGCCTTACTTTCTCCATCTTTGGAGGAGGAATATGAGCCCATTCATTTCCAGGGCCTAGCACCAACAATCCTAGGATGTGGGGCTTCTCACATCAGGACTCCCCTTCTGAACTGAGGCTCCAGCCTGGGTGGGAGGAGGATGGAGGGGCTTCTGCCTACTCATGGCATCCTTCCCCTCCCCTCCTTTCCCCTTCTCCCTGCCTGGCCTCTCCCCCATCCACCTCTCTGTGTATCCAGGGCTCATGGGAATGCCTTTGCCTCTCTCAACAGGCCTCTCTCAGCCCTGAGGGCTGGCAGAGAGGAGGTCCTTTTTGGCCCCAGGTGACTCTTAACTCCCAGGACAGAGGTGAGCCCTAATAAGGGGGTTTGGGAAATTGGGTCCTGGGAGGATTTGGAATTTGGAGTGGGGACAAAGATCATTCTTGGATCCATGGTTGCCATTAATGGGTCCCATTATATTGTGTTTAAGCCAGACAGACTTGGGGTTAAATCCTGCCTCTTTAAAATTAAATGAAGGAAACGTACAAAAGGACCAGCATTTCTTACCGCTGGGTCTTAATGGTTTAGCAAAGGTCCTGAGCCCTTAGTTGCCTGGAGGCTTGAGTCCTGGGAGCCCGCTGTCTGCTGCCTCTGCAAGTGGGAGAGGTCACTGCCCGAGGGAGGACAGGGCATGCTGCCAGGCTCCAGGGGAGGAGCCCCAGGGAGGGAGCCTCTGGAGGTGGTGCCCAGGCCGTTCTCCTGCCTCCTGCCCTGTGCCCGCCTCACTTCATGTTCTTCCTCAGATGAGAGGGAGGGTGGACACCCCCAGGAATCTCTTCCCTGCACCTTGGCCCCCTGCCCCTGGAGGAGCCCAGCTTCTTCTCCAGAGCCTAGCAGCCCAGAATCTGAGAGCAGAGGCCCTGGTCCCAGGCCCAGCCCTGCATCGTCCCAGGAGGGCAGCCCGCAGCTTCAACACCACAGCTCAGGCATTTTGCCCAAGTGGACACTAGATGCTTCACAGTCTTCACTCTTGGAGACGGATGGGGAACAGCCAAGTTCCTTGAAGAAAAAGGAGGCAGGGGAGGCCCCAAAACCAGGCGAGGAAGTAAAGAGTGAAGGAACAGCCAGGCCTGCAGAGACTGGAGACGTCCAGCCTGACATTCACCTGACTTCTGCAGAACAGTAAGTCTCAGACTAACTGGCTCTCATGCTCCTAATTATGGATGCATTTAAGAATATTCTAGTCTGGATGGAGGGTGAGAAATGCACATTGGAATTAAACATACCCATATTTATTAAGCAAGGATTATATGAGTGGGTACCAGGAAGAGTTTTGAGAAAGACCGTAAGATTCAGAAGCATCAGAAACAAAACAGCAGATAGTTATACACGTGGAGGCGAGATCTGAGTGTGCTGGTGCAGGGCTTCAGAAGAAGCATCCACAGCTGGAGACCAGGAGAGGAGGAAGGGGAGGAGGTGTCCAGGGAACCTGAGCAAGGGCGTGTGCCTGCCCAGAAAAACGGGAGCCATGCTGGCAGGCCAGGGAAGTGCAAGGTCAGAGCTTGTAATGTGGGGATTATGGACTGCTTTGAATTTGAGGAGGTATCTGGGAGGCATTCACCAAAGAACCTGGGCCTGGGGCACTGGCTCGGATCTCATCAAGTGGAGGTTTGATGGGGACCAAGGGAATGGATCTTGGGGCCCAACATAGGATTGTGTAACCCCAGAACTGTGACCAGAAGTAGGAATAGGCCAACTGAGAAACCAACCTAGATGTCCACTTGTCCCAGAATGCTGCCTCAAGACTATATGCCCCTGGGATCTCCACACTGAAAAAGGCATTTTGTTTTCTAATTGGCTGAATGTGAGTCATGTTAATGGGACTAGCAGGAACCAGCAGTGGTTCATGTCATGGACCTAATGGTGCAGTCCATGCAGGTTAGCTGTGGCAAGGGTTCCCCGAGCTCAGCGCCTTGAATGGTGGGGCCCGGAGGAGCTGGACCCAGGCCCTTACTCAGGGAAGAGACAGAGTCACAGCCAGACTGACTTAGCCTGGCCTGGGACCAGGAGAACCCCGAGAGGAAGGTATTCATGCAAGGTCTCCAGGTCTGGGGCCCTGCGCTTCCTCAGGTAAAGCACAGCCATGTTCCGAGTTTATCTCACCTCAGGTGGCAGGTGCATCCCTGTGAGGCCCCTAGCGTTGTTTTCTCCAATGCAAGGCACGTGGGATTGTCTCCCTCACCTGTCCTGTGGTCCTCCTATACCTCCTTGTCCCTTCCCCACCTCCCAGCTCTGGCTCTAGCCTCCACTCCTAGATCTGGAGCCTAGAAGGCTGTAAGGGGGCTGAGAACAGGAAGCTAGGTGGGCTCTAGTAATGGCAGCAGCTGGGGTAGTTCAGGAGGTGGTCCTCAGCCTCTCCCTTCCCCCACCTAGCAGCCTGGATGACAAGGAGACTGAGTGGTGACCTATGACCCAGTGTGAACAGGTCCGGGTGACCCCCAGCCGACTCAGAACCTCCCAGTCCAGCACTAAGACTCTCAGATGTCACTCAATCCAATCTAAACCTGACTCTTCTGCTTCCCCCACAACGTCACAATCAGGTATTCTAGTTATTTAAGCATTCATTATCCAAGTGACACAGGAAGTTGAACCAGTAAGCAGGAGTCATCATAATATGAAAACGTTCCCTGATAAACAGACGAATAACATTAGGTTTCACTTAAGCACCCTCTCCACCTAACACAGACGGGTCAGGGTCTTTGCTGGTGACTTCTCACTGCCTCTTGAGGCTCATGAACACTACATAATGCAGGAGAAGCACAACAGAAGCTAACAGAAAAGTGTAAGTACAAATCCTGTCAAAAAACATGATTTCATAAGGTCTGTGAAAGTGATGTTGAAAGACCTCACAAGTCACGTGGAAAACCACTGACAAATCGGGAACCAAAAGAGATTGTCCAGTGAACAATGGAAGAGGAGAAAATAAAAATAAAGAATAAATTGTCACATCTAAAGAGAATTACTCGAAAAATCAACTGACGAAGCCCTAAAATATGCTTTTAAAAATGACCTAGTCAATTAGTGTTGTTACTAAAATAATACTTAGATGAGGGAGCACTTTGAAAAAAAAAAGTATGCAAATATAAATTATCATAAAATTGTACCCTTTATTTTTTTGTTTTGTTTTGGGACAGAGTTTTGCTCTTGCTGCCCAGGCTGAAGTGCAATGTTGCGATCTTGGCTCACTGCAACCTCTGCCTCCCGGGTTCAAGTGACTTTCCTGCCTTAGCCTTCCGAGTAGCTGGGATTACAGGCGTGTGCCACCATGCCTGGCTAATTTTTGTACTTTTAGTAGAGAGGGGGCTTCACCATGTTGTCCAGGCTGGTCTCGAACTCTTGATCAGACTTGTCTTGAACTCTCGAATCCACTCGCCTCAGTCTGTCAAAGTGCTGGGATTATAGGCCTGAGCCGCTGTGCCTGACCTCACTTTATTATTTTATTTTATTTTATTTATTTATTTTTTTGAGATGGAGTCTCACTCTGTGGCCCAGGCTGGAATGCACTGGCGTGATCTCGGCTCACTGCAAACTCTGCCTCCCAAGTTCAGGCCATTCTCCTGCCTCAGCCTCCCTAGTAGCTGGGACTACAGGCGCCCGCCACTGCGCCCGGCTAATTTTTTGTATTTTTAGTAGAGACGGGGTTTCCCCGTGGTCTTGATCTCCTGACCTCGTGATCTGCCCGCCTTGGCCTCCTAAAGTGCTGGGATTATAGGCGTGAGCCACCACGCCCTGCCTATTTTATCTTTTTAACTTGAATTTTCTTTTCTTTCTTTTTTATAATTTTTATTTCCATAGGTTATTGGGGAACAAGCAGTGTTTGGTTGCATGAATAAGTTCTTGAATGGTGATTTGTGAGGTTTTGGTGCACCCATCACCAGAGCAGTATACACTGCACCCTATTTGTAGTCTTTTATCCTTTAACCGCCTTTCACCCTTTACCCCTGAGTCTCCAAAGTCCACTGTGTCATTCTTATGCCTTTGCATCCTCATAGCTTAGTTCCCACTTATGAGTGAGAACATAGGATGTTTGCGTTTCCATTCCTGAGTTACTTCACTTAGAATAATAGTTTCCAATCTCATCCAGGTTGCTGTGAGTGCCATTAATTCATTCCTTTTTATGGCTAAGTAGTATTGAATCATATATATATATATTCAATAATATATATGCATATTCAATCATATATGTGATTCAATTATATATAATTGAATATATAATAGTATATATATATATATACACACACACATACACACCACAGTTTCTTTATGCACTCATTGATTGATCGGCATGTGGGTTGGTTCCATGCTTTTGTGATTGCAAATTGTGCTGCTATAAGCATAAGCATGTGTATGCAAGTATATTTTTCTTATAATGACTTATTTTCCTCTGGGTAGATACCCAGTAGTGGGATTGCTGGATCAAATGGCAGTTCTACTTTTAGTTCTTTAAGGAATCTCCACACTGTTTTCCATAGTGATTGTATGAGTTTATATTCCCACCAGCAGTGTAGAAGCGTTCCCTATTGACCTCATCCATGCCAACGTCTATTTTTTGATTTTTTGATTATGGACATTCTTGCAGGAGTCAGGTGTTATTGCAGTGTGGTTTTGATTTGCATTTCCCTCATCATTAGTGATGTTGAGCATTTTTTCATATATTTGTTGGCCATTTGTATATCTTCTTTTGAGAATTGTCTATTCATGTCCTTAGCCCACTTCTTGATGGGATTATTTGTTTTTTTCTTGTTGATTTGTTTGAGTTCATTGTAGATTCTGGATATTAGTCCTTTGTCAGATGTATAGATTGTGGAGATTTTTTCCCACTCTGTGGGTTTTCTATTTACTCTGCTGACTGTTCCTTTTGTCATGCAAAAGCTCTTCAGTTTAATTAAGTCCTGGCAATTTATCTTTGTTTTTATTGCATTTGCTTTTGGTTCTTGGTCATGAAATCCTTACCTAAGCCAATGTCTAGAAGGGTTTTTCCAATGTTATCTTCTAGAATTTTTATAGTTCCTGGTCTTAGATTTAAGTCCTTAATACATCTCGAGTTGTTTTTTGTGTAAGGTGAGAGATGAGGATCCAGTGTCATTCTCCTTCTTGTGGTTAGCCAATTATCCCAACACCATTTGTTGAAAAAGTGTGTCCTCCTTGTGGCTAGCCAATTATCCCAACACCATTTTTTGAAAAGTGTGTCCTTTCCCCACTTTATGTTTTTGTTTGCTTTGTTGAAGATCAGTTGGCTGTAAATTGTACACTTTAAATGAGTGAATTGGGCGGTATGTGAATTCTATTTCAAAACAGCTGTTATTATTATTATTTTTTTGAGACAGGATCTCACACTGTTGCCCAGCCTGGAGTGTGAGGTACAATCATGAATCACTGAAGCCTCAGCCTCCCAGGCTCAAGTGATCTTCCCACTTCAGCCTCCCAAGTAACTGGGACCACAGGCGTGTATCACTACACCCAGCTAATTTTTACTTATTTTTATTTTTTATGGAGATGTGGTCTCACCATGTTGCCCAGGCAGACCACAAGGCTGGTCTCCAACTCTTGAGCTCAAGCAATCCTCCCACCTCGGCCTCCCAAAGTGCTGGGATTATAGGCATGAGCCACTGCACCCAGCCTGTTACTGTTTTTAATGGCCTTTATGATCTTACTGTGAAAATCAAGGATGAATGCAAGATGTCTTATCCAGCCAGAAAACTTGTGCTGGGAAAATTAAATTTTAGGCATTGTGTTTACTATAAGATTTAAATAAACTTATTTGTACATTTACCAAGATAAAGCTCCAAGTAAACCTTTTCATTATTTACTATGAAAGTATGTTCTCATTTTAGTTAGATTTAGTTACTTCTATTTTGGGTTGGGTGAACTTTAATTTTTGGCATGAAGAAACTTCCCTTTTCAGAGGCTGGAACTTCTCTGGCTACCAAGCCTCTGAACCTCTCCACGGGGCAGCCTAGTTTCCAGATGCATAAGGAAGATGGTTCTTTGGTTTCTGGCACTGATTGACATTCTGTCACCATCACCCAAAGACCTTGTGATGGGCATGGGGTTAACCCTCCCATTAACCCTGACCCAGCTGTGTTAGATAGTGAGGGTGTTTAAGTGAATTCTAATGTTATATATCTGTTTATCAGGGATTGTTTTCTTTTTTTTCTTTTAGACGGCATCTTGCTCTGTTGCCCAGGCTGGTGTGCAGTGTCACAATATCAGCTCACTGGAATTTCCGCCTCCTGGGTTCAAGTGATTCTCCTGCCTTAGCCTCCTGAGTAGCTGGGACTACAGGCATGTGCCACCCTGCCTAATTTTTGTATTTTTAGTAGAGACAGCGTTTCGCCATGATGGCCAGGCTGGCTTCGAACTCCTGGCCTCAAGTGATCCACTTGCCTTGGCCTCCCAAAGCAGTAGGATTACAGGCTGAGTACTGCGCCCAGGCCCCTGGAATGTTTTCATATTATGATGTCTTCTGCTTACCAGTTCAACTTCCTAATTGTATCACTTGAATAATGAATGTTTAAATAACTGGAATACCCCACACTTGATTGTAATGTTGTCGGGGAAGCAGAAGAGTCAGGTTTAGATTGGATTGAGTGACATCTGAGAGTCTTAGTGCTGGACTGGGAGGTTCTGAGTCGGCTGGGGGTCACCCAGGCCTGTTCACACTAGGTCATAGGTCACCACTCAGTCTCCTTGTCATCCAGGCTGCTAGGTGGGGGAAGGGAGAGGCTGAGGACCACCTCCTGAACTACCCCAGCTGCTGCCATTACTAGAGCCCACCTAGCTTCCTGTTCTCAGCTCATCCTTACAGGTTTCTTGGCTCCAGATCTAGGAGTGGAGGCTAGAGCCAGAGCTGGGAGGTGGGGAAGGGACAAGGAGGTACAGGAGGACCACAGGACAGGTGAGGGAGACAATCCCACGTGCCTTGCATTGGAGAAAACAACGCTAGGGGCCTCACAGGGATGCACCTGCCACCTGAGGTGAGATAAACTCGGAACATGGCTGTGCTTTACCTGAGAAAGCGCAGGACCCCAGACCTGGAGACCTTGCATGAATACCTTCCTCTCGGGGTTCTCCTGGTCCCAGGCCAGGCTAAGTCAGTCTGGCTGTGACTCTGTCTCTTCCCTGAGTAAGGGCCTGGGTCCAGCTCCTCCGGGCCCCACCATTCAAGGCGCTGAGCTCGGGGAACTCTTGCCACAACTGACCTGCAAGAACACTTGACCCAGAGCTCCTGCATGTCTATCTCAAGTGAGAATCTGAGGACACCGATGAACTCTTCTTGGCTTCCTGGGAGCCCTATGCCCCAAGCACAGTCCCCAGAGGAAGGCCAGAGACCACCAGCTGGAGACAAGCTAGCTAATGGCGTCAGGAACAACAAGGTAGCCTGGAACTTGGCCTCACGCCTCTATCGCCTGGAGGGCTTCCGGAAGTCTGAAGTGGCTGCCTACCTGCAGAAGAAGTAAGGGGCTTTGAGCCTGGGGAAGGCTGGAGGCTGAGGCAGCCAGGGAGGAGCTGCTGAAGGGCTCCCTCCACTGGCCACCCTCCCCTTCCCGTCCCTGCCCTGTTCCCTTCCCATCTCCCCTCCTAACTTTTCCCCCATACCCTCACTGTATCTGCTGCTTACTCTCAGTCATGGTCCTCATGCTCTCCACACCCTTGGTCCTTGGTCCCCACTGCCTTGCCAACCAGACTCCACAGGTCTCTCCCAGTGTCTCCCAGTGTACACTGAATAGGGTAGCAGGGCATACCAGACCCTGGCTGCCCCCTTGCTCTGTCAGGACCCAAGGCCCAGCGTGCCTGCACCCTTCCCTTGCTCACCCCCACCGCATAATGTGTGCAGGCCCTGGGGGCCCCAGTGCATCTGCAGCCCCAGCCCAGGCCCCTGGTGCAGACTCCATGCCCCTTTTCCCTCTGCAGCAATGACTTTAGCAGGGCTGTGGCTGAGGAGTACCTGTCCTTCTTCCAGTTTGGAGGCCAGAGTCTGGACCGAGCCCTCCGGTAATGTCTTTGGGCCCTCTCTGGGGAGGCTGTGGAGGATGGCATGGGGCAGTGGCACCAGCCTGAGGCTGGGATCTGATTGGCCCTAAGCTCCCGGGCTCTCTCCTTGACCCTGGCCCTCCTTTGCAGGAGCTTCCTCCAGGCCTTGGTGCTCAGTGGGGAGACTCAGGAACGGGAGCGAATCCTCTACCAGTTCTCCAGACGCTTCCACCATTGCAATCCGGGGATCTTCCCCTCAGTAGGTAGGGAGGGGCTGGCCCTGACAGCAAAGCAGGGAAACTTTGGGGTGCCCATGTCTGCTTGGGAGTTCAGTAGGTGACAGTGAACTGGTGGGAGTGTGTTGGGGGCTGTGGAGAATGGAAGCATTCCAGGGGTTATTCGGTTACCCCACGCAGTGTGGGCAGAGGAAACAGGAGCCCTGGTTCCAATGAGCTTTCTCTCCACTTACCTATCTCTGGGGTAGATTCTGTACACACCTTGACATGTGCAATCATGCTGCTTAACACGGACCTGCATGGACAGGTAAGACGGTGGAGAGAGTCCCTGTGGGAACTGAGGCTGTAACAAGGGGTGCGGGGAGGAGAAGACCAGAGGCCTGAGACCGGGCAGGGAACACCCCTGAGGGATGTGGGCCTGGGGAGCTGGAAAGGGTTCCATGGTTGCTGGCTGGGAGGTTATTCTATTGGGATGGGGTGTGTGCTCGAGTCATCCCACTTCTCCGTGGCTACAGAACATTGGGAAGAGCATGAGCTGCCAGGAATTCATAACCAACCTGAATGGGCTGAGGGATGGCGGGAACTTCCCCAAGGAGCTGCTGAAGGTATGTGCCACGGGGTCTTCTTATGAGCCTCATGTAGGACCTGGAGCCTTGGTTCTTTGTTCCAAGGGAGATGCTGAGCTTGGGACTGGCTTTGCCAAAATATCCTTGAGAGAACAGGACTTGTTTATTGAAGGGCTAGTAAAAGTGTATTCCCTGGCGGGCAGCATCAGAAGCATCTTGGAATTTGTTATCCATGCAAATCTGCAGGCTCCCTGTGCTGGACTTATTGAATCAGACTCTCTGAGACTGGGACCCCTAAAATATTTTCTTAAGTTTTCAAGTCATTCTTACCCCTTCAAAGTCTGAGAAGGGCAAAGCTACACATGGTGAAAGTCTGGAGCTCAGACTTGGGAGCCTGGTGTTCCTGGGTTTGAATTCTAGTCTTGGGCAATTTGCCCCCTCTTGGCCAACTCAAGTTCTTCCTGAGAGTATTAACCACTTACCATGCCATTATCAAGATGAAATGAAATCTTCCAAGTGCTCAGCACGGTGCTTGGCACATAGCATGTGTGTCATAAGCAATTAAAATCATTTGCTGTTTCATCACAGTCACGCATCACTTAACGATGAAGGTGTGTTCTGAGAAATGCATCGTTGGGCATTTTCACTATTGTGTGAACATTATAGAGTGAACCTACACAAACCTAGATGTACAGCTCACTGCACACCAGGGCTATATGGGATAGTCTATTGCTCCTGGGCTACAAACCTGTATGGCATGCTGCTGTACTTAATACTGCAAGCAATTCTAACACAGTGCTGTATTTGTATATCTAAACATAGAAAAGGTACAATAAACACATGATAGAAAAGATTAAAAATGATACATCTGTATAGGACAGCTCCATCACAACCTTACAGGACCACTATCATGTATGCAGTTCATCCTTGACTGAACCATCATGATGCTGTTATATGGTACATGGCTGTACTTCATGAACATTTACTGAACACCTACTATGTGCCAGACTTTTTGCTAGGCACCGCAAGAGCTATAGAAGCAAGCGAGATAACATCTACGTTAATATGTCAAACTTTTAGTGCATCATTCATTCATTTACTGCACATTTATTGTGGGGATTGGTCAGCCAGTTTCTTCTCCATCAGATCCCTCCCAGTAGAATGCCATGTAGGTAATTCATTTCTCCTCCATGAGAACTAGTTAAGGCCTCAGTAAGCATGGGCAGGACAGGGACTTGTCTGCCCTGGTCATCATCTTTTTTTTTTTTTTGAGATGGAGTCTCATCCTGCACTGTCGCGGGAGTGCAGTGGTGTGATCTTGGCTCACTGCAACCTCCGCCTCCCGGGTTCAAGCAATTCTCTTGCCTCAGCCTCCTGAGTAGCTGGGATTACAGGTGTGCACCACCACGCCCAGATAATTTTTTGTATTTTTAGTAGAGACAGGGTTTCATCATGTTGGCCAGGCTGGTCTCGAACTCCTGACTTCAAGTGATCCACCCGCCTCGGCCTCCCAAAGTGCAGGGATTAGAGGTGTGAGCCACTGTGCCTGGCAGGTCATCTTTATGTCTCTAGCACCCAGCATAGTGCTTGTTGCTGGGAAATACTCCAGAAATACTTTGTTGCACGGATGGATGGATGGATGGATGGATGGATGGATGGATGGATGGATGCTTGCTTACTCAAGGAGGAAGGGCACCTATGTTGTGGGTGGAGGAGGCAGGCTGTACACATGCCCCTATCCTACCTCTGCCAGACAAAGAGACTTTAGGCTCCACAGCCCTGAGGCTCCCCTGCCCACCTGTGTGCTTCTGTTCCAGGCCCTCTACTGGTCTATCCGCAGCGAGAAGCTCGAGTGGGCCGTGTGAGTGAGACTCCCTTTCCCCTCTCCCTCTCACCCCTCTCCCCTGTCTTTGGACTGTCCTCCCTCTGTCACCCACCCGAGAGTTAGAGAAACTCAGATAGTGCTCCCCTTGGAGTGAGGCAAAGCCAGAGGCAGGGCTCTGGGGAGAGAGCATAGAGGAGCCCAAGTAATACCGGAGGGCCAGAGGTAGTGGGGCGTGGGGTATGGCAGAATTTTCAGGAATTGATGGGTTCACTGTGAAGGAGGACTCCTTGTGGGGGGTCCTGGGGTGTGGCTTCCCAGGAAAAGAGAGGTTGCTAAGGCTCTGGGAGGCAATGGATACCTCCCAGTTCTCTTTGCATAGTCAGCACTTCCAGCCCGATTCTCTGATGTTCAGGGATGAAGAAGACACAGCCAGACCTGAGAAGGCCCAGCCGTCCCTGCCAGCTGGCAAGATGAGCAAGCCCTTCCTTCAGCTGGCTCAGGATCCCACAGTGCCCACCTACAAGCAGGGCATCCTGGCTCGGAAAATGCATCAAGATGCAGACGGCAAGAAGAGTGAGTGTCTGCTGCCCACAAACAGGGTGGCGTGCTGGGAGCAGCCCTGCTCAGGGACCTGTGCCGATGCATGCACAGGTGTGCAGAGAGACAGCCCGCGTTGAGGACAGGCAGCCAGCCCATGTTCCTTCCTCAGTGCGTACTGAACAGTGACCATGTGCTGGATGCTGTGTGAGGCACTAGAGGGTAGGTAGGAGAACCCAGACAAAACAGGCCTAGTTATTCCTGGGCCCCAGAGTCCCTGTAGTAAGGTAGAGATTAGACAAGTGTGTCAATGTCTGCGAAAAAAATGTAGCAAGAGCTGAGTGTCTAGGGGCTGAATCAAGTGAGGAGAAAAAGGTTTTTGGTTTTGTTTTGGAAGCGGGATGTGGCTACAGGGAGAGGTAAGGCTTCTGGTAAGTGATGGTATCTGCGCTGAACTTTGGAGGAGAAGAGGGTCTGGAATTTGGAAGCTGGGCAGAGGGCATCCCCCACAGAGAAAACAGCAAGCCGAGTTTGCTCAGAACATGGGGTGTGTGAAAGGGAGGTACACTTGAGGCAAAATTGCCAGGGCCTGCATTTGGGCCTTATTCCACAGGCAGCTGAAGGCTTTTGATTATGGCACCAACATGTCCAGAGTGGTGATCTCAGCAGACTAATGTGCAAGCACAGATTGAATAGGCTGGGGCGACCAGGATGGGAACTAGCATTGGCTGTGAAGCCGCCGGGGCCCTAGGGCTGCCTTTTGTCCAAGGAGCTTAGAATGGATCTTACCACACAAGACCAGGGTGGAGAGGTAGGGGGAAAAGAGGGCAGGTGGTGCTCAGAGTGGGGTACACAGGGAAGGGCACCCCAAAGCTGGGCTCTGCGCCCTTGAGCCCCTCTAGATGGGTATGCAAGGTCAAGATCATCCTGCAGGGACTAGAAAGCTGTCTGGGAGGAGCTGTGTTTGTGCCTGGGTGTTTGCCACTACTTGGGGTAGTGGGTGTGTGTTTGGAGTTGGAGAGAAGATGATATGTATGAATATCTATATTTGGATGTGAGTGGTTCTATGGTTTTGTTTCCAGCGGGCATTGCCTGTGTGTGGAGAGACTCTATATGTTTGTTTACGATTGTATGTGTTTTCTTGTGTTGGCATGTTCTGCATTTGTGTGCATCCTGGTGAGAGACTGGAGGTGGTGTGAGGGACAGGGGGCATATGCACACTTGCGTGTGTCTGAGTGTGTCTGGATGCTGGTGCCCCCACCTACAACATTTGTGTTCTGTTCCTGGAACAGCGCCATGGGGCAAGCGTGGCTGGAAGATGTTCCACACCTTACTGCGAGGGATGGTTCTCTACTTCCTGAAGGTAGGAAAGGAGCCAACACCCCTGTCAGAATGGGAGACTGAGAGAGGCCCAGAACAGTCTGGAGGGTGGGCAGCTGATGATAACCTCTTCTCTGAGCCCCTGTGACTGGTAGCAGGGAGAAGACCACTGTCTGGAGGGGGAGAGCTTGGTGGGGCAGATGGTGGATGAGCCCGTGGGGGTGCACCACTCGCTGGCCACCCCCGCCACGCATTACACCAAGAAGCCGCACGTCTTCCAGCTGCGCACGGCTGACTGGCGCCTCTACCTCTTCCAGGCACCGTAAGTCCCTGGGGTGGGAGACTGTGGCAAGGCCTTGCCCTGCCCTAGTTCTCTCTCCCCTGACCCTGCTGACACCTGAGGCTTGTGGGCCCCAGGGGGTCCTGGTGGGAATGGCCGTATGATCAGAAATTCTTAGAAAGCGGCAGCAGGAAGAGGAGCTGGGGACCAGGGATGAAGCCCAGGCATCGCCTACTTCCTCCCCATCCTTGGCCAACTTTGCCAGCACAGTATGCCTTTTCCTTGTCAGTGGGATAAAGCCTCCCAGTTCAGAACACAGGATTCCGGGAAGTTGCTAATGATTGACCATATCTGGCATTTGTTATGAAATCTGTCACCTTCTCAGATTGTCCTCTTTATTTTTTATTGTTTATTTTTGAGACAGAGTCTCGCTCTGTCGTCCTGGCTGGAGTGCAGTGACTCTCACCTCGGCTCACTGCAACCGCCGCCTCCCGGGTTCAAGCGATTCTCATGCCTGAGCCTCCCGAGTAGCTGGGATTAAAGGCGGGCGCCACCGCGCCTGGCTAATTTGTGTATTTTTAGTAGAGACGGGGTTTCACCCTGTTGACCAGGCTGGTCTCGAACTCCTGACCTCAGGTGATCCGCCTGCCAAGGCGTTGCCACCGCACCGGGCCTCCAAATTTTCCTCTTTATTGATAAGAAATGCCACGGTCAGAGGTCGGGTGCCCGGCTAGTGGCAGGGCTGTAACTATGGGAGGCTGAGTTCTGAGCAGCTGGCCAGCTGTGCAAGCAGCCACAGGAGGGGGCGGGAGGAGGGTGACAGGACGGACTCTGTGTCCCCGGGGACCAACGACCTCCTTTGCCCCAGCACTGCCAAGGAGATGAGCTCCTGGATCGCGCGCATCAACTTGGCTGCGGCCACGCACTCCGCGCCGCCCTTCCCCGCCGCTGTGGGCTCCCAGCGCAGATTCGTGCGGCCCATCCTGCCCGTGGGCCCCGCCCAGAGCTCCCTGGTACGGCCTCCGGGAAGGGGTGGGGTCCGGCGGAACTGGGAATGTGCACCTGGAGCCCCAGGACTAACTCGGGGAGGCTGGAGGCGGGCTGCGCACTTGGCCTGGGAACCGAGGCGGCCAGGGGGGCGGCGCGCCCGGGCCCGGAAAGCGGCGGAGGGGACGCCCGGGACAGCGCCCCTCACCGCCCGCTGCTCGCAGGAGGAGCAGCATCGATCCCACGAGAACTGCCTGGACGCTGCCGCGGACGACCTGCTGGATCTACAGAGGAACCTGCCGGAGCGGCGGGGCCGTGGCCGCGAGCTGGAGGAGCACCGCCTGCGGAAGGAGTACCTGGAGTACGAGGTGAGCGGCCGAGCCCACCTCCCCGCCGCTGCGCAGCGCCCTCTCCGCCCTCTCGTGGCCGCCTCGGTCCCTGCAGCCGTCACTGCCCTGACCGCGCCGGGGCGGGGAGAGGCGCTTGCGTGCGGGCGGGGCCCGCGTGCGCCGTCTGCAAAGGGGCGGGGGCTCCCACATGGACACCCGCGTGCACGGGCGTGCACAAAGAGTGTGTGTCCCCACGCACTTAGGCCTGTCGCCTCTCGTCCTGGGG
Source organism: Homo sapiens (assembly GCF_000001405.40). NCBI lineage: Eukaryota > Metazoa > Chordata > Mammalia > Primates > Hominidae > Homo > Homo sapiens. The sequence continues at coordinate 113,199,474 of NC_000002.12, forward strand.
GCACATAGCAGCTGCTTGTCTGGAAACACCCATAGCAGATGTTATTTTACAGTTTTCTTTTCTCCTAAGAGTATATTTGGCTTTTCCCAAGTTGAAGGGAAAACTGTATTTCAGCTCAACTGTTCCTTCTAATACCTACCAAATATTAATAGGTAGTATGGATGGAGCTTGTCTTCCTTGCATGGATTGTCTCATTCAATTAACAGCTCTGGGTAGGTCCTGTTATCCTCATTTTACAGATGAGGAAACTGAGGCACAGAGAAATTAAACTACTCTTCCAAATCTGGTAAATTTACATGCTGCTCTAAATGCCCCGTTTATGGTCTTAACTAAGAAATGACCGTGTTTTTTTGTTTTTGTTTTTGTTTTTGAGACAAAGTCTCGCTCTGTCGCCCAGGCTGGAGTGCAGTGGCTCGATCTCAGCTCCCTGCAACCTCCGCCTCCCAGGTTCAAGCGATTCTCCTGCCTCAGCCTCCCGAGTAGCTGGGATTACAGGTGTGAGCCACCACACCTGGATAAGTTTTGTATTTTTAGTAGAGACAGGGGTTCACCATGTTGGCAAAGCTGGACTTGAACTCCTGGCCTCAAGTGGTCTGCCTGCCTCAGCCTTCCAAAGTGCTGGGATTACAGGTGTGATCCACTGCCCCGGCCAGTAATGACTTTGTTGACTCTACAGCCCATGTTGAAATGTTTTATCCCTTAGTCTCCCCCAACCCTCACCCATCCACCCACACTCCCCAATTCTGCTTTGGTGTGACGTCAGTTCATCTGGGATCCTAACACTGGGTGCCTGCTTCAGGGATCCTGGGTGCCTGCTTAGGGTGAGGGCCCACTGGGCAGGAAGGGTAGGTGAATGCAATGTGAAAATAGAGGGAATCAGAGGCCACCCAGAGGCAGAGACCAGGAAGTGGGAGTCAACATCGCCTCCTGCCTGTCCCCGCTGTGCCCGCATGCAGCCCTCTGCCTGTCTTTCAAGGTCCCAGGCTATCCCTTGGCTTGTTGGTTGTATCCATGGCTGTGAACTCCCCACTTCTCAGAGGCCTCAGGGTGTGGCTGTGAGGACCCAACCTCTTCCTCCCACTGACCAGCTGGGACCTTTAACAAGTCACCAGCCCTCCCTTCCGCAATGATTTGTCCCCTCCCAGGGCTGGCATGAGGATCCAATGGGATGGAGGGTGAGGAAGCACTTTGTAAACTGGAAACCATATCCCAAGGATGCTAGCTGCAGGGGCCTCAGGAGTACAGTGTTAAGTAGATGAGGGTAGTTAGCATCATGCTCCACAGATGCCAATTGTTAAAATGCTATTTAGACCCAATTAGGGCTGTACAGATGTGAGCTGTTTGTGTGTAGGGCTGCAAAGATCTCAGGCATAGTGGGTGACACATCTTTTAGTGCCTCAAAGATGGAACATGGCATAGAGATGTTAGTTACAGCACTCCAAGGGGTTGGTTATTATTAGAACAGGGCTGGGCTGATATGTGTCATTATAATACTATCCAGAGGTGTGCTCTGCAGTCTGCTTATCCAAGCATTATACTGACACTCACGGTTGGTCCAGCCCTCTTTCTGTCGAGGTCTGTATCGCCATAGCTTCATGTACCTGTGAGCTGTCCCTCACGATTCTAGCCTCCTCCCAACCTGGAGCCAGGATGGTGCTAAGGTGGTGGGGCCTGTGTGTTGCAGAAAACCCGCTACGAGACCTACGTGCAGCTGCTGGTGGCCCGCCTGCACTGCCCCTCTGATGCTCTGGACCTGTGGGAGGAGCAGCTGGGGAGGGAAGCTGGAGGCACTCGGGAGCCCAAGCTCAGCCTGAAGAAGTCCCACTCGAGCCCGTCCCTGCACCAGGATGAGGCTCCCACCACGGCCAAGGTGAAGCGCAACATCTCAGAGCGCAGAACCTACCGGAAGATCATCCCTAAGCGGAACCGCAATCAGCTGTGAAGCCAGCACCACCTCAGAGACACTGTTCCCTGCTCCAGGGTAGACCTGAGATGAACCTCCCTGGAGGAGACTTATTTCAATGAGTCCACCATGACGGATGAGGCACCTCCTTTCCCTGCTGAAGGACAAACCTTGTTTCCCTGTGGCCCTCATTCTTGTGCTCCCTGAAGCTTTCCTAATATTGCTGTGCTCCCCACCACCCCCATGGCAGTCCCTCCGCAGCCCCAGTCCCTGGCCACGCCCAAGGGAAGAGGGAGGTGAGGACTTGACTTTCCTCCCAGAGCTCAGCCCATGTCACCCTCCAGGCCCCAGAATCCAGAGTGGCCTCATTTCCTAGACTTGCTGAGAACTCAGCACTTGTTTGAGAACCAGTGCTTATGTGGTGTGCCCTTGGCTTCTGGGGGAGAGCTTGGGGCAGCAGAGGCCCCTGGGCAGCCCAGCCAGGGGAGCCACAGCCCCAAGGATGGTCTTGCTCTGGGAATTAGGTGACCTTCCTGGGGAGGCCCCAGGAGAGTGAATCAGGGACTCTTGAGAAATTCCTAACCAGCCTCCTGTGACCCAGGGAGCAGGGTCGCTAAGGTCCTGCCCACTGAGGGGACAGCCTTCTGGGCAGGGACCTCGGGGGGCTTCAAGGGCTCTGCACGGCTGTGGGGCCCTGTGCCTTTGTCTCCTTGTGTCTCCTTTCCCCCGAAGTAGATGAAACAGTCTCACATACCCAACTGCTCATCAACAGAGCAGAGCTGATGGCATGAGTGAGGGCTGGGCGGGGTGGGGCCTCCAGAGCTTTGCAGGGAACCCTGGAACCCTAGGAACAAGGAGCCTTTGTTCCAACAGAGCAGAGAAGGAGGTTCTCTATGTTCAGACCACTGGAGAGGATAGAGAGGTAAAAGGTGGCGACAGTTTCCCTTAGGGGTCTGCCTGGCAGGAGCCACAGCTCAGGAGAGTTGTGAGGGATGGGACGGAGGCTGGCGACCAGGCGAGGCCTAGGCCAGGCTCGGGAGACTTTTCTGTGCTCCTTTCTACACATGCCTTAAACCTTCCTTCCTGTGGGGTGCCTGGACCCCTTCCCCATCTCTGGCAGCTCAGAGGGTCTCTGCTGCTCTCCCCTGGGAAATCCCCTCATCCTGCCCTCTGGCTGCCTCCCAGCTGGGCTTGTTCTCTGAGGGAGGTTCCGGAGACTCATGGACTTGGGGCTCTGCCTGTAGGAAGGAGGCTGGGCCGGAGGGACCAGCCACCATTGTCTCTGTTCAGCCAAGTGTGCAAGTAGGCTGCCCGCCAAGAGGGGGCCTCTGCTACCCGCTGCTGCCTGCCGGCTGACACACTGCCTCCCCAGCCTTCCTGCTAGGCCACCCTCCTCCCTTCCCATGCTTGTAACCAGCTCTGGGGCTTGCACCTCCACAAAGTAAGGTTGGCCCTTGGAGGCCATGTTTGGGTCTCCGGCCAGGGCCTAGGGCTAGGCCATGCACCCAATGGGTGCACAATAAATAACAGGTCAACAAAGAGGGAGGTGTGTCAGTGTGTGAGGAAGGGAGGTCAGGCAGCTAGGACCACCTGCAGTGTGGCAGGCTTCATCCCTCTTTGCTCCAAGTGTGTATGTGTGTCTGTGCATGTGTGTAGTGTCTGTGTCTGTGTGTTCATGCATATGCAGGAGTCACACGGTCATAGGCCATCAAAGCTGGAGGAGACCTCAGAATCATTCATTCACCTACTTGCTCATTTATTCATTCATTCATTTTGCAGATAATATGGGACGCTTTCTATGTGCCAGTACCAGGGGATTCACAAATGAATTAAACATGTCCCTGACTCCATGAGTTGACAATCTTGCCCACTGGTTTCCTGCTCTCAGTTTACAGAGGCACTTTTATCTTGCTGGGGAAGTGTGCTGAAAAGACACATTCCCAGCCCACACCCAGGGATGCTGATTCAGTCAGCCTGGGTCAGAGGGATAGATAAATATGTTTAAAGCTCCTTGGGTAATTCTGATGTGTAAGTAGCAGTTAGCTGCAGTAGAGTCCAATTGCCTCATTTGATTGAAGTGGAATCCCAGCATCAAGTGGACATGACTTTTGGCCCAAGACTGATGCTTACAAACTAAGTGGAGTAGGTTATTTGACCTCACTGAACATGCATCCTTTTTTTTTTTTTTTTTTTTTTTTTTTTTTGGAGACGGAGTTTCGCTCTTGTAACCCAGGCTGGAGTGCAATGGTGTGATCTTGGCTGACTGCAACCTCCACTGAATCAAGCGATTCTCCTGCCTCAGCCTCCCAAGTAGCTAGGATTACAGGCGTGTGCCACCACGCCCGGCTATTTTTTGTATTTTTAGTAGAGATGGGGTTTCGTCATGTTGGCTAGGCTGGTCTCGAACTCCTGACCTCAGGTAGTCTGCCTGCCTCGGCCCCCCAAAGTGCTGGGATTACAGGCGTGAACCACCACACCTGGCCTATGCATCCTTATTTCTAAAACCATGATAAAAGGTGAAAGTCTGAATGCATGTGTGTGTGACACTTTGATGCTCCTTTGCTCATGTAGAACCGGCACCTCTCTTTCACCTGAGCACGTGGAATCTTCAGAGCCAGATGATGGTGGCTGCCTGGCCTGCCATAGTCAATGCTGCCCAGGCACCTCTGCCTGGAGGGTCTGGGTTGTGGGCTGCAGTTATGACATGTGACCACTTGGAGGCAGGCTTGCATCTTTCTAGCTTCTGGCTGCTCAGGTGTCCTGCTGTGGAGCTGAGCTGTGCTCCCTGAAAGGCAGGAAGTTATTATGTGTGCCCCTGTGCCATCACCGAACCAGGACCTTCAACTTCGTAAAACCCACAGTGGCCTGGGCCAGGACTCCCACCATCTAGGGAAGCCTCTCCTAGGGAAAAGACTGGGGCTCTGACATCTTCCTGCAGATGGAGAGAAAGAAAGACATCTCAGAAGTCTATGGGGACAGCCTACAGCTCCCCACAGGGTTGCTCCAGGTAACGCTGGAAGGTGAAAGCTGAGCAGGCTCCAGTCCCCATCCTAGGTATGGAACAGATCAAACCACCACAGGCCTATGTCTGACCTTGTTCCCACCCCATGCTCCTCTCCCACCTGTGTCCTTCTCTTTGCAGGAGAAGGGACAGACAGAGGTTCTCAGTGATGAGCTCAGGCTCTGGAAGGGCACTTGAAGTTTGGCTTTAGTTCTTCCTTTCCCATATAGGGGAGCTCAGCTTCCAGGGTCCTGGGCCTGCTGTGACCCAGGTTGTTACTCCTGATATAACTGCTTCCTGGGCTCTCATGATCTCAGCTGAGCCTGGCTTTCTGCTGATGATATTTGTTTGTTGCTTGCCAGGCACCAGGGTAGATAAAAAGATCACCAAGACCCGCACCTTTTTCCTTAGGAGGGTCTGAGTCTTCAGGAGACGGAGACATATGGAATGTGTCGGGGTTGGAAGGAGCAGGACTGGAGGGTCGGGGTGAGGGGGGCAGAGGGAAACAGGGCCGTCAGGGTGGCCTGAGGCCAGATCATACAGGGTCTCCAATGCAGCCAAGGAGAGTGGCTTTTTGTGAATGTGCAGTGCAACTTTTTTTTTTTTTTGAGACAGAGTCTCGCTCTGTTGCCCAGGCTGGAGTGCAATGGTGCGATCTCAGCTCACTGCAACCTCCGCCTCCTGGGTTCAAGAGATTCTCCTTTCCCAGCCTCCCAAGTAGCTGGGATTACAGGCATGCACCACCATGCCCAGCTAATTTTGTATTTTTTAGTAGAGACAGGGTTTCACCATGTTGGTCAGGCTGGTCTCAAACTCCTGACCTCAAGTGATCCAGCTGCCTCGGCCTCCCAAAGCATTGGGATCACAGGCGTGAGCCAACGTGCCTGGCCAGTGCAGTGCAATTTTTAAAGAGAAGAGTGCCAAGCTCAGGGCTTGGAGGACAGCCTAGGGATTTTGTTTTAAGAAGATGAGCTGGGCGCGGTGGCTCATGCCTGTAATCCCAGCACTTTGGGAGGCTGAAGCGGGCGCATCACCTGAGATCAGGAGTTCGAGACCAGCCTGGCCAACGTGGTGAAACCCAGTCTTTACTAAAAATACAAAAAATAGCCGGGCATGGTGGCACATGCCTATAATCCCAGCTACTCAGGAGGCTGAAGCAGGAGAATGGCTTGAACCCAGGAGGCGGAGGTTGCAGTGAGCTGAGGTTGCGCCATTGCACTCCAGCCTGGGTAACAGAGCGAGACTCTGTCGAAAAAGAAAAAAAAGATGAAATGCCTTGAAAAAGTAAGGCCAATGGGTAGGGTCAGAATATGGCCTGCAAATGCACTGTACTATTTGTGTAACTTATATGTAAATCTGAAATTATTTCAAAATAAATACAAAAAGAAAAAAAGGCAATATCCCAGAACCTTGTGAAAACCTGGCCGTAGCAGGTCCTTTTTCCTCCTGCTGAGCTGAGCAGGCATGCTCACAGATCCTCAAGGTTTCTTGAATGGCTACTGTCCTCCCCACTGGCCCCTCTGCCAACACCTCTGCCCCTCAGCTTTTCTGATGCCCATGCCCCCTCACCAGCTAACTGTGGCTTGCACCTTTACCTGTTCCCTTCATTTTCCCTTCTCCAGAGGAAGAGGTGCTCTCCACAAGCCTGTGACCAACTGTTCCCCTCAGCCGGCACACTGGCTCCTCTTCTCCTGCCTGCCACAGACCTCTCTCCTTCATGGGCCCACTGGGGCTCTTTGAGCCTATTCTCTACCCCCTTCATTATCATGCCTTGCAAACACCATCATGAGCAAAAATCAAAGCTGGTGTTAGACTCTCTTGCTTTCCATAGCTGACCCTGGCTTCCCTGCTTTCTGTGATGAATTCACGGTATGTGTGGGCTTTGCCAACTGTTCCCAGCCCTTACCAGGTTCCCATTCATACCTGGCTCTAATTCACACCTTACAAATCGGCGTCCACCCCACCTTTGCCTGAAATGGCACCTCCTAGGGCAATTGATGGCTGCAGTCATCAACTCTGATGCCTTCTCAGCCTTCTTCCGCCATCACCTCTCAGCGACCTTTGGCCTTGATAGCTATGTGATCATCTACCAGACCCTGCACCCAGGCTCAGCCTGATCTTGCCCCAGTGGCCAGGCCCTTGAGTGGGACTGCCGGGAATTGAGTCCAGCTTTTCTAGCCATCTGACCGTGGCCAGTTAGCCTCTTATGTTCTGTTTGCTTCTCTATAAAATGGGGATAATAACACTACTTATGTCACAAGGTCCTCATGAAGATTAAGTGAAATTATGCACGTAAACATCTCAGAACAATGCCTGGCACAGAAGGGACACCTGTGAGGTTAGCTATTAATTCATAGCCTCACCAGACTTACCCCACGTCTGCTCCCCTCCTCCTTTGGGCTCTGGCTTAGGCTCTGCCCTCATGCATGCCATCCTGCTTGGATGCTGGGTAGCTTTGCACTTGGCTCTGCCTTGGCCTGCAAATAACAAATCTGAGCTCAAATGAGCTTTAGCAGAAAAGGACTTTGATTGGCTCCAATAGCTGAATAATCTGTATCCAGGTCAGGTGAGGCTTCATCTCGGGCTTCACTCTGATTCAAGGCCCCTTTTCTCTCTTGTTCTTTTGGGGGCTCCATCTCCCAGGCCTATGAGCAGGAACAACCCTCATGCTTCCAAGATGGCCCCAGGAACTCTCAAGATCCATTTTCTTGGTGCAAATATAGCAGAAAGTGACTCTCTGCTTCCTGGAAGTTTCAAACTCAAATCCAGGAATAGTCTCCTGTAGCAGCCTGCCTTGGGCCGTGTGCCCATATCTGAGCCAGTCACTAGAGCCAGGGGTTTAAGGAGATCAGAGTCCACTTCTGGAGAGGATGAGAGTGAAGTCAGCACCACCAAAACATAGGGACCAGCTGTGGAGAAATTGTGAGTACTGGAAGGACAGGATAGGAGGAATGGATGATGGGGAGAAAACCGACTAATATGCAGATGCCCTTTCCTCCAAGAGGCCTTCCCTAAGTCTTCCTCCTTCAGTTTCTATTACATGAAACTCTGTAACTCTCCTCTCCTCTCTCCTCTTCTTTTTTTTTTTTTTTTTTTTGAGATGGAGTCTTGCTCGGTCGCCCAGGCTGGAGTGCGGTGGCATGATCTCGGCTCACTGCAAGCTCTGCCTCCCGAGTTCACGCCATTCTCCTGCCTCAGCCTCCCGAGTAGCTGGGACTACAGGCGCCCGCTACCATGCCCGGCTAATTTTTTTGTATTTTTAGTAGAGACGGGGTTTCACCGTGTTAGCCAGGATGGTCTCAATCTCCTGATCTTGTGATCCGCCTGCCTCAGCCTCCCAAAGTGCTGGGATTACAGGCGTAAGCCACCACGCCCCGGCCCTCTTCATTTCTTTTTGCCTCTCTGCTTCCAGAGCAACATAAACTCCCTGTGGGCAGGAACTGGGATTGTTGATTTCCACTGCTTCCCCAGGGCCTGATATCTAGAGTCGAAAGAATGCACATCTCAAAACTATGTCCTGGTTCTTTTTCTACTTTCTTGCATATTCTTTTTCAGGCAGGAGTGCAGTGGCACGATCTCAATTCACTGCAACCTCTGCCTCCCGGGTTCAAGCAATTCTCCTTCCTCAGCCTCCTGAGTAGCTGGGATTACAGGCATGCACCACCACACCCAGCTAATCTTTGTATTTTCAGTAGAGATGGGGTTTCACCATGTTGGTCAGGCTGGTCTCAAACTCCTGACCTCGTGATCCGCCGGCCTCTGCCTCCCAAAGTACTGGTGCATATTCTTTTTCTGTCTTTCCTGCTACTCCCTCTTGCTCTTCCCACCCCTAAACTATGTAGCCTCAAAGATCTTACCTGGCTGACTGCTGGGCTTTCAAGATAGTTTCTGGAAGAAGTCTCTAAATCTAAGCCTTCAACTCTCATCTCTGTTCTGAATTTCAGACCTGGAATTCTAACTGTCCACAATACATGGCTCCTCAATATATCTTCCTGAAATTACAAATGACCATACGGTACAGGTGTTACTATATTACCTGTAAGACCACACTCGGTGTCATCTCCTGCAAACTAGTCCTCTCCTGACTCCTCTGTTTCTGTGAGTGATTCTGCGATGGCTTGAGGTCATCCGTTTGCTTTGAAAGATCACACACCAGGATACATACAGAGATGTGACCCGGATGGATGGACCTTTGCCTCACAATCAGGGTAGAAGCCTCTGGTTTTCTTATTTCTTTGTCCTCCTCTGTGGTGTGACACAGGTTCAGGAGGAGGTACCCAGACACAGAAGAGATGCTTTCCCTGTGCAGGCTTGCTGACAGTCTTGCCCACCACTCCTGGCCTCCTCCCTCTACATGTCCACATTCGCTGCTCTGACCCTGAGTTGGACCCAGCTAGGAATTGTGACTTCAGTTACTAGTATTTCCTCTGAGCCTCTAGTCATGGTCATGGGCTAATCTGTATATGAAAACCCACTTGAAAGAAATCCCAGTGCTGAAGAAAGAATTGAAACATACAGATCGTTTCTTTGCTCAAGGGAGTGTGGATTTCAGTGCTCTCACTGAGCAGAGGCTGAGGGTGACCACCTTGGATCTTCCTGCAGGACACAGCCCAGAGAAACTGAGCCTGAATTTGCTGCCATGTTTTGAGGACATTATCCACGCTAGTCTCTTTCATCTGGGCCGAGGTGGGTAATTTTCCTTAGAGTCAAGTACTAGAAAAAGTTTTGCTTCTTCTAAGAGCTGGTACATTGCCCTCTTGTGAATGAGAGCCATGTATGTGACCACAACACCCTTTCAGTTGACCACTAAGAGACTGAAGGCCAATTCCGGATCAACTTTACAGCCGCCTACGGCCTGCTATACCACCCATGGCATAGTTTCTGTGGTCTGATGCTTTATTTTTTATTGCATTTTACTAATTTATGGCATGCATATCATATGAGCAGTCTCAAATCCTCCCCAGAACAAGGTGAGGAATATATTAATATTTAAAATAAAATAAACAAAATGTCAGTGTGTGTGTGTGTCTTAGGCTGGAAATTCCTTAAGGGCAGGGACCATGTCTGTTTATATAGCACCTGGCACAGTGTCAAATTGAGGCTTAACACATGAATTTTGACGAAGAGCAGAAAGAAGCTGCAGAGACTTAGGCCTCATTCTCCCACCGATAGTCATCCAGACCAGTGTCCCCTTCCTCATGCCTGACGAATCCTTACCCCACTCCTAACCATACAGATTCACTCCCCACAGTCTACCTGGTCCTCATACCAAGCTCATACTCGCTCACAAACCCAGCCACACCCACACCTGCTCAGAGGTTCACCCCAATCACCCAGCCCACCCTTTCACCCACTGTCCCCACCGCCCTGCAAGCCCGTCCCAGGCTGGGCAGCCGCGTGTGGTGCTAGGAAATGCCACTGGCATTTGAGGCGTTTGAGGTGCTGTCCCCACACGTGCCTTGGCCCTGTGGGGGCCTCCAGCCAGGCGGGGACCTGGGAGAGGGAGGGAGAGGATAAGCCGCTTCGAAACTCCAGATGCAGCAGTTAAAAAGAGGACAGAGGCAATGATCCTTCAAATTGCCACATCTGTATAATCTGCCTTTTATTTTCTGCTTCATGAAGTTTTATTTCCTATTATTTATTCACCTCCCCGCCCTCCCCTCCCCCGCCTCCACTCCTCCTTAGCAGGCGACATGCTCAGATGGGCCCTGAGCCTTGGCCCGGGTCTGGGTCCACCCCCATTCCCTCCCTGGGGCTGGCTGCTGGGAGGAGGCACCTGCTCCCCGCTTCTCTGACTCCCTATCTTCTACTTTCCCTCCCTTCCTTGGGACATTTGGGTACTGCATCCCCCCATCATTGTGTTTCAGCCTCTAAAGTCCCCTCCCTCCATCCTCCAAGTAGACCTCTGAGAAAATGTGTATGCATCATAGGGATCATGGAGGTGAGGCCTGTTCCTAAAGCCTGTATCACTGTCACCTCCCCCAGCAGTCCTAGAACTCACAGCCAGGTGATGTCCCTGGCCCTCTCCTTTCCTCTGCTTGCCATTTCCCACTCTCCCCACCCTGGACCCTTCTCTCCCTTTTCTAGTCCTCCAACCTGTGGTTGAGGAGCTGGGCTGGTCCACCCTGGGTGCAGGGGGCTATCAAGATGGGAAGGAGGGGACCAGCCAGATGTGCAGGGAGGGGCAGCCTGTAGTCTGTTTTCAGGCCTTGGGTACCCACTGCCCCCTTCCCCACCCAGGTGTAAGAACAAAGCAGCAGCTCAGAGAGAGACCCAGGCCTTCTGGTTCTAGGCTTGTGGTCCGGTTAGATAGGTTTGGGGCAAGTCTGGAAGACGGCGGTTGGAATGGGGTGAGAGGGTATTTGGGAAAGGATGCTGATGATGTTTCATTTCTTCCTTGCCCAGCACCGCCTTACTCCTCCCAGACACAGAAGCATAGGAGGCCAGGGGAGCAGCCTTTTTCCAGGAAGACAGGTCGGACTTCAGGCTTGAGGGTTAGAGTTTGCAGTTGCTGTTCCTAGTGGCTGCTTCTTGGAGAAGACAGTGATCCCAGATAGAGGCCTGGGATGACCATGAGGGATTTTGCAAGTATTATCTGAAAACCAACAGTATTTTGTATTTTATGTGCAACTGTCTTCTGATGTTCACTTTCCCACTTTGCTCTATAGTTCTGTACAAGTCTCGTTTCTTAAGCTGTTTTTTGTTCGTTTGTTTGTTTTTGTTTTTTTTCCCCTTGGGAGCTGGGAGGAGTCCTTTTGGGTTCATCTTGTTTTCTCCTGGTGCCTACCAAAGGGAAACGTTCATAGCAGGTAGTTCATAAAAGACTTCTGAATAAATGAATGAATGAGTGAATCAACTAATGTAAGGGCTATAGCAGAATCCTCATGCCCCAGCCTATACTAACTGTGGCTAGCTGGCTGTCCTCTGGTTTCTGCCCCATCCTGGAATTTTTTGGAAGCCTGGCTTTAGCTCGGCAAGCTGAGTCAGGACCCAAGCTCCCATCAGGCAGGGTGGGGCACCAGAAGCCGAGCCACTCCCACCCCAAACACAGAGCAGATTCCAAATATGGAAATATGGTGTTTGCCTGATGGAAAATTCCCGGGGAAACTTTGGAGAAAGAGGGCTTCATACCTAAACCAGTCAGATGAGGCCCTCAATGCTTGTCACTGACCTGGGTCACTACTGCGTCACAGCGTTGAGCTGGACATTTTTCTGGCTCAAGCCATGCATTTTACAGTTGAGGTAAGTGAGCAGTCTCCTGGGGTCGCCAGAAGGGAAGGGACAGAAATCCGGTCACAACCCTACACTCCAGGTCTGGGCCCTTTTAGCAATATCCCTCAGCCAATCTCTCCCAGGGGGAAAACAAAGGCAATAACCAGGGGCCGTGTTATTATGATATGATAACTAACAAAAGTTTAATAACACCAACCAGTTCAGCCCCTGGAATAACAGACCAGGCCGACCCTTTCCCGCTGCCTCAGCAAAGAGGGTGTTTCTAGGGAAGAAATGGCTATACTTTGCAAGTAAACACTTTCATCACCTTCATGACGACAAGAGCTCCAGGCCTTGTTCCTGCCTTCTTTCTTCCTCCTTGTCTGTTTCTCTTCCTTGTTTTCCTCCGGTGGGGAAATGAGTTTCCATTCTGACCAAGCTCATCTGTTTTAAGGATAATTTCTTTCCCGCTGCAGTTAAGTCTTCTGGGTGCTCTCATTTCCCCAGGGGGATGGATATATGTGGGGGTATTAATGCTACCCACAGCTGGGGGCCTCCCCACTGGGTTCCTCTAGGAGGTGAGGACAGGGGAATGATGTGACTTTGGGGGGAGGATGAGAGGGCCTGGACTGTGAGGTCCCAATCTGTGCTCCTAGCAAGGGCTGTCTGTGGCTGTCAGTGAAGCTTGCTACCAGGCCCCCATCTCCAGCAAAAAAAAGCAAACAAACATAAAACAAACAAAAAAGACGGTATTTATAAATGAACTTGTCTCTCACTGGGGCGGCTCCGGGCGTCTGGGCAGTAGGCGGATAAGCCTGCGCCCACGAGGTCGTGTTCAGGAGCAGGAGCTCGGGCTCCTGAAACTGGAGGGGAGGGTGCCTTGTCTGGGGGAGGTGCCTTGGCTTCAGGGAGGGTGCCTTGGCTGTGGAGAAGGCAGGAGAGAGTCTGACGGGAAGAAGACCATGGAGGAGGAGGGGAAGTGGGGGGGTCTCGGAGGGGGTAGGGGAGGGAGGCGCGGTGGGGGGGTGTTGGCTTCATGCTGTTACTAGTTTGATTTATCCCTAATGAGTTCTCAGCACATGGCTGCTCCCGGCTCACTCCAGGGGCCAGCCGGCCCGCCCCGACTCTGCAGCAACAGCAGCAGCTCGCTCAGAAAAGAGCCAATTTCCACACTGCACAGTCCGCTTCACTCAGGGGGAAATCACATTTCCCCGGGAGAGCCGCAGGCAGCGCTTCCCTCCACAGCCTGGCTGGCTGCCACCGGGCACAGATGCCAAGGAGCTGGGTCCCCCACCTCCCCTTCCCTCCCCATCCAAAGCCCCTCTTGCCACCTTCCAGGAGGCCTGAGCCCCTCCACCGTGGGCCTTAGCCCCTGCTGCTTCTCAAGGGTAGGAGAAAGAGCGAGGTCAGGGGAAGGAGAGACCTGTCCGCCCTGTCTGCCTGCTCCAGCTTCTTGCAGGAAGGAGAACCAGGCACCCTCCTTCTATGTGAAGGGCATGGAGATGTAGGGATGGGGTTGGTGACAGTGGTGTGTGCCTATGAGAGTGGGGACTCGTGGGGACAGGCGTCTGCCACCCAGGAGGTAATGACCTCCAGCGTCTGTGTCCCAGTGGTCCCCAAAGAGCCGCAGGAGCTGTAGACAGTAATGAGAAGAGCAAGAAGCCAAGGAGAGGGCCATGGGGCGAGGGCGATGGGGAGAGGACAAAGGGGAGAGGGAGATGGGGAGAGGGAGAAGAGGGGAGGGTAATGGGGAGAGGGAGAAGAGGGGAGGGTGATGGGGAGAGGGAGAAGGGGAGAGGGTGATGGGGAGAAGGTGATAGTGAGAGGGCACTGGAGAGAGGGAGGAAGGATGCTTCCTGGCATTTCCTGAGGAGGTCAGGGACTCCGAGCTCTCCCCAAACATTCCCTGTCTCTTTCCCTCATTCATAGCCCTGGAGACACGAATGTCTCTCAAACAGTCGGGAAAGGAATAATTGCTGTAGACTCAGTAGAAAAGGAAAAAAACTAGAAAACTAGAAGAAGTGAACAAAGGAAGGAGATAGAGGTGAGAGAGAGGGAGTTTCTTCCATGAGAACCATAGCCATGGCGGCTCGGTCACTTGGCGTCAGAAGGTAGCACAGCAGCCTGGGGCAGAGGAGCCACCAGCTCCTTTATGGAACATGGAAGGCTTTATGACCTTAAAGGTTAGAGAGGGGCTGCCAAAGGGCACCCTGAAGGGAGATTTAGGGCCAAGGATGGAGGGAAGTCTGAGATCAGCCTGGCACAAATCTGCCTGGTCCCAGTGCTTCTTCAGTTGAGCTCTGGGCCTTGCGTCCAGTCACGCTTTGCAGGGAGGGGCAGCAGAAGTCACTGTGCCCCAACTGGCCAAGTGACTTCTGCCGCCCCTCCCTGCAAAGCAAAGAGTGTCTGACATCTCTCAGAAGCCTGGCCATATCCAGATATCTGAGGCCTGACAATAGGATGCAGACTAGGCCTTGGATTAGGGGTAAGGCTGTGGTCCCTGCTCCTCTGCTGACTCGCTGAATGACCTTGAAAAAGTCAAGTTATCTCTTGGTCTCAGATTCCCCAAGTGCAAAATAAAAGGGGGCCAATATTCAGAATCAGAGATGTAAATGGATGTGAATGGGCTTTGTATGGAAAAAGAAACTAAGCCTGTGGAGAGGGTTATTACCACTTCTGAGGCTGAGGCAGGACAGAGATGCTGTTAAGCTGTGGGTGCAGGAGCTGCCTAGGAGGGAGCTCAATCCCTCCCTCCCCGCGGCCTCCCTCAGTCCTGATTGACAGGACTGATGCTGACGCCCAGGCCCAGTAGTAATGGCGTTGAGGTCTGCAGTCCCCTTCCTCTGGTGCCCACCCCCAGAGGACAAGGAAGTGTGAATTATCTTAAAGAAGGCTCATGGGTTTTTGTTTTGTTTTTGTTTTTTTTTGAGATAGAGTTTTGCTCTGTCACCCAGGCTAGAGTGCAGTGGTGCGATCTCAGCTCACTGCAACCTCCGTCTCCAGGGTTCAAGTGATTCTCCTGCCTCAGCCTCTTGAGTAGCTGGGATTACAGGCATGCGCCAACATGCCTGGCTAATTTTTGTGTTTTTAGTAGAGACGGGGTTTCACCATGTTGGCCAGGCTGGTCTCAAACTCCTGACCTCATGATCCACCCGCCTCAGCCTCCCAAAGTGCTAGGATTACAGGCGTGAGCCACAGTGCCTGGCCAGGAAGCCTCATGTTGGTATGGATGGGAAAGGTGTGTGTATTTTGGGTGGTGGAAGTGGGAGGATGGTGAGGGCAGGTGGGAGAGGGGAGATCTTAGCAACAGCCTCAACCTGTCTGTCTTTCTGTTTCTATTTGGAGGCTCCTGCTTCCACTTCCAGTAGGTTTCACTAACTCCTCTTGCCTGAAGTTGTCACCAGGGTTGAGTGTGTGTTTTTGAGTGTGTGTTTGGCACACAGAGGGCAGAAGATACATGTTTCTTAGTCTCACAACTCATGGCAAGGATATTGGAGAAGTAAGAGATGATGTGACAAGGGGAGGGGTTGGAACTAGCCTGGGGGCTGGCTTTGTAGGTGAGGACTCCCAGTTCCGCTGTCTCTAGTCCTGGAACTTTGTGGTAGAGGTTACGGGGTCACAGCAATTCTGTTCATCTGGTGGGCCCCAGGCAGGGTTCCAGCTGCCCCCTTTCCCAGCAAGAAACCCACTGACCTGCCAGAGTTGGTTGGTCCACATGAATTTCCTGCAAGCTCCTAGCACCCTGGGCTGGCCTGGCCTGTGCTAGAACCTGAGGATGAAGAGGAGTGAGGGTAATGGACCAGGGAGAAGTTAAGAGTAAACTGCCTGGGAAGCTCAGGTGGTCTCTCTACATGAGCAGTGAAAGGGATTATTCCAGGGGGAAGGGATAGGCCCTCAGTGCTCTCAATGCCTCAGCAATGTTTTGGGCCCATCCTCATCCCCAATTCTCCTACAAACACACATACCACCCCCAGAGAACCCCTGGCTCCCCTGCACCATAAAGCGACCCCCCTTCACCTGCGACCACTCACAGAAGCCGCCCTCCCTACCCCAGGTGAAAGTGGCCCCTCGGCCAACCCTCAAAGCCCCCTGCGTGTCCTCCCTGTCCTTGCCATCCCACCTTTCTTCATTGCGTCCCCCCATGTGCCAGCCTGACTCCTCCCAACACCACCCCAAATGCCGGGGCACGTCGAATTGTCTTTCTTTCGCCCGATACATAAATGGCCTTATTTTCTGAGCCCGAAAAGGGGACCCATGGTTTGACCATGGGCAGAATATTGGATGGGTACTAGCCAAGGCCTGTTACATGGGGAACACATCCCACAGTCAACAAACACCCGCTCTGAGCAGAGGCTCCTGGCAAGCCCAGCTCACCTCCGGGAAAGAAAGGCGAGTTTTAAACCATGGTCACCTTAGTCAAAGCACAGCCCAAGCCCCTTTATTGGTTGTGAGTTGGAAAGGGTCTGCCGGGGGTACAGAGTGTCCCCAGAGGGGCTGTGGCTGTGAATGCAAGGGATCGCTCTATGGGCTCCTTGGGATGCTGTGCTCAAAGTGATTCTTGGGTAGGGAGCCCTCGGGATCCCAGAGGTTTGTGGTCAGGAAGACTCTCAGATGTCATGGATTCGGAGTCGCGCTGCAGAGGGAAGTTCTGCCATTGAAAAACCAGCCGCATCTCAGATCCCTTCAGAAGAGATGGATTTTCTTCCAGGAGGGTTCCCCCTGCCATGCCATCCATGGCAGCATCCCTAACCGCTCTTTGGGAGGCCTAAGGAGGTAAGAGCCCTCTCTCCCAGCCTCTGTCCTCCCAGCCCTGGAGTCCTTGGGCCCCTTCTATCTGACTCAATCCCAGTGTTGTTTGTCCAGCTGCCCATATTCACCTGGGCATCCCAGCTGCAGGCCCCTGCCCCCTTGTTCCAGCTGTGTCCCACATGGAGAAGGTCCATGTGGACACCAGACAGCCCCCTGGAGTGCAGAGCCCGAGCTGTCACATTGCATTTCCCAGATTTCCTGGAGGTGGTTGGCCTAAAGTGCTAAGTCTCTACAGCCTCCCTCACCTTGTCCTGGCCACACTACACTCTACCTCTCCATTCAGTCAGGTCAAATCTTTAGCAAATCAAAAGAAATTAAATCCCCAGTGGCAGCTCCAGAACCTCCACTGGGTCTAGAACCATTTGGCATCCCTGATGAGGACTCTGGGGTTTTGGGTAAAAGCGTTGGGCTTAGAGTAAGAGGACTTGGTTGAATCTACTACTTTTCATCTTGGACAAGACATCTCATTTTTTTCAAAGCCTCAGTTTCCTCATATGTAAAATGAAGCTGTATGTAAAACAGGGCTAATTTCAGCTTAACTTATATGAAGCCTTCCATACTGTGCCTGGCACACAAGAGAGCCCAGTCTTCTCTCTCCCTTCAGAGCTGTTTATGCAGGCTCCAGTCACAGCTATTCCCGGATCCCTCACTAACCCACCCTGCTGATTCTCTGGCTTCCTGTTAATAACAACAGCAACTCCTTGTGGGGAGTCTATGGTTGGCTCAGTACTGTGCTATCCTTGCATTTGCTCAGTGTTGAAGAACTTGGGATGAGTGAGGTACCCAGCGTTCAACGTGAATTAAAGGCAGAGGGAGAAGGCCAAGCCAGAGCTCTGGGGCATCAGATGGTCCCTTCCAGCCCACGGCCCCAAAGTGAGTTTGTCGGCTACTCAGCTCTGATGTTCTTGGGAGAAAGCCCAGCCCCGGGATGCCTCCTTCCCCAGCCAACCCCAAAGCCTGAGATGAAGAGCAATGGTTTATTGAGTCATGTGGTAATGGCAGGTTGTCTTTAAAAAAAGAAAGAAGCATCAAGGAGAGAAGCCCCACAGGGCAAAGAGAGACATTTCACTCAGAGGCCAAAGTCTGGGGGTTAGAAAGAAGGAAGCTTGACCCAAACAAAGTTTCATTTACAGTATATACAGTCAGGCCTTGGGGGCAGGAGCTGCTGGGGAGCAGAGAGGGACCCTCTATCGCTGGCTTCAGGGGGTGCCTTGGGTCCCTTCAGTAGCTGGTGGGCGTGAGCTGCAGGAAGCACATTTGGCTTGGCAGGAGCTGTCAGGAAGGGGAAGCGGGTTTCCTGCGATTCTGCCTTGTTCTGCCCTGGGTGAAGCCGCACACCACACCTCACCTCCCAGGGGCCCAGGCCCTGTGGAATGTCTGTTTTAAGCTCCCTGGGGCTGGCCTGGCTGACGGCAGCTGCCAAGGGGATGCCGCACTGCAGGAGGACCTGGGGTGGTGCTATACCTTCACAGCAGCAGGCAAAAGAGGTCAGCTGACAGCCTGGTGGAATTTCTGAGGGACTCGCTCCAGCCCTCAGCCCATGCCCAAGAGGGAGGTGTAGAAAGAGCCAAGCAAATGGAGTGGAGAAAGAGGACAGCCAGAGCCTCCGTGTGGGGCAGGCGGGAGGCTGAGGGAGGTGACTCCCTGGGTGGCTGGTGAGGAGAGCCTCGGCACCAGGCTGTGACTTGTGGGCTGGAGGGAAGTGCTTATGGTCCATAATTGCTAGAGTTGTGTTAATAATGGAGCCATGGAGGTGCCCTGTGCACCCCTTGGGCCCGGGCAGGAACCATTCGCCATCCCCCCAAGTTCCTCGGCTATTGCTTCTTCTCTCCTTTGGTGGGTACCGGCTGGGGGCTACATTTCTTCTTCAATTTTGTCTTTTTCAGCATGGCATGGTTCTCTTTCCCTGGGACTCCTGCCCCTCATTAAGGAGTCTTGGAGGACAGTTTGGCCTTGTCCAAGGTCATCCTGTCTTTCATGGTTCATTAAATTAACCACACAGGGAGTGTGCCGCAATGCTGGACTTGTGGTTATTTTTCATGTAATAAATAAAGATTCCTTTGTGTGACTCTCTGGGGCCTGTCCCAGGCTGAGTCCTCCTGTTGCTCAGTCGCTCCCACTGTCCCCATGGCAACTACAGATGGTCAAAGGCCGTGGCAGTGGTGGGCGGTGCACTCGGCCTTGATGTGGAACTGTAATAATATGGGGAACCTGGACACATTAAAAAAAAATAACAACAACACTGCTGGTCAGAAAGGAAAATTGCACCATAGCCTTCCCTGCATCTGCTGACCTTTAAGACAACACAAGTTAATCATTCATTTCTCTGGCCTATCTGATCATCGAAGATTAACTCCTCTCCAGCCCTATTTCCTCCTTCTCTGGCCTCACCTTTGAGTTTCTGGCCAGAATGAGAACAGTGGCTTCTTGCCCCTTCCCCCTATGGCTGCTTTGACCTTCAACACCCTCGTTGCAATAGGGAGAGGGCAATAGAAAACAATTGCATGTGGAACCCCAAAGAATCAAGTGCACTGAGAGGTCATTGGGATCCTCCCTAGCCTTGCCCAAACAGTGCCAGGACAGAGAGTCTTCTTTCTTAAGACCCAGGGAGATTAGACTGCTGAGGGGTCAAAGGGGATCTGGGCTTGACGGCCCTTAAGGTGAGGCTCTGCACACCTGCAGGATGGGCAGCCTGGGGAGGCTCAGTGGGAAGGTGCCTGAACCCTGGCATGTCTCATTGCCCTCGTCTTTTCTGGCTAAATTGAATGGAAAGCTGGGTTGGAGTTGAACTCATCTGGCAAACAGGGCCCAGGTCTGCCACCTTTCAAGTTATTTCTGGAATACAAAGAGGTAATGGGAGGAGAGGGGGTCTTGGGGAATGGATGGTTCCTAGCCTGCAATGGTGCCTGTGGGGTTGGCCATCCTTGGATCACTGCTTCTGTCTGGCTCCGGTTTGCTCTGATACACCCAAGGCCACCACTCAGGGAGGCTCTAGTGGGATCCCTCAAGTCCCCCCATTGGTGGGGTTTTGCTTTGCTGAAAAGCTTCTCTTCCCAGTTCAGGACCCCAGGACAAGAGAGGGGTGAAGAGAAGCCTGGAAGCTCGCTGAAGCTCACTCTCTGGACCTCGACCCTGAATACTGTCTTCATCTCAGGCTAAATATGGGGAATGTGGTGGAACAAAAGATTTCTGTTTAAGGGTTTGGTGCTGAATCATGAGTATTTCTGAGCCACTTAGATGGTTAATGGGGGCAACAGGATGGCATTCTTGAAACTGGCTCCCAGGAAGGAGGGCAGTTACATTCTGGCGGGTGCCCTGCGTCAGTGTCTGCACTGTGGGACTGTAAGCCGTGGAGGCAGGAGGTCCTCTCTTAGGCTTTTCTCAAGTCCTCCCTTGTCCTCCCCTTCAAGGCCTGAGCCCTGAATCTTACACAAAACAAAGATTTAAAAGACATGGGCTTGAGAAGCAGGAGGGAAACGAATGCCTGGAAGCCTCTGGACTTCTGCCCTCTTTCCCCAAACAACCAGGTACACTGCCCTCCTGCTGCCTTCTTCCATCACAAACAGCACCATCTCCCAGGCCCTCTGTATAATCTGAGGACTCCCAGCTTTCAGGTAACCTTTGACCCACCCTTGCCCCCCACCACTCCATCCATCCTGCCCAGCAGAGGCCTGGGCAGCCCCAGGGACTTACTCAGCAAGCTGGAGTTGGGGAAGCGCCAGGCCTCGCTGTAGGAGGAGTAGGGGGTGTGGCCATAGGCATTGCCAGAGTATTCACTTCCTGTTGGAGGCACACAGGGGAGAGGCCTGTGAGGTGAAGGGCATCAATGCAGGGCTGGGGTGTGGGAAGGTCTGCAGGGCTGGCAATGGGCAAGCTCAGGAATGGTTGGGGAGACAGTTGGAGCCACGGCAGGGACAATGGAGCTCAGAAGGTCCCTCTGTCATCCCTTTTGGAACCCATCGATCTGGAAAATTTGGGGCAGTGTCCTTTTCCGTAGGTACTGGAGGCACTGGCTTGACATACTACAGCCCTCCCAGGAGGCCCAGAAGGTAGATGTTATAACTACCCCCATTTTCCAGATGAAGAAACTGAGCCTCTGGGATCTGCGGAAGCTCCCAGAGCTGGAGGGTTTGGTGGAGCTGGGAAACTGTGCTGTGAGTGTAGGGCCCAGGGACTAACTGCTCCTTCTGCTGCCTGGACCTTCTGGAGAAGGGCTCTTCTGGGAGGGCCCCACAGCAGGGGTATGGGGTTAGGGGCCAAAGAGGACATCCATATATATGAACCTTTTAGCCTCGCTAGGTATGAGTGTGTGTGTTTGTGTGCATGGGGGGCTGAGGGGAGGTGTGAGGGTTAAGGATGGGAGAGGAGGGAGAGCCCCAGAGGGCACACACCCTCAGGAAGCTGTGTCCTGGGACTTGGAGTAGTTTGTTGTTCCATCCTGAGTCTGCCGCTTTAAGCAAACTCAACGTATAAATTTACACAAAGTAAATCAGATCACCTCCTTCTGTTAATGGATTCTTGAGTTTTCCAAAGGAATTATTTACCGAAGAAATTACTTAAGAATTCCCTTACATAACAAAAACAAAGTCAAACTGATCACCACAGCTACTACCGGTGCTTGGTAAAGAGCTTAAAGTTTGTAAAGCACTTTCCCATACATTATGATCTTTTATTCTCAAGACTACCCCATGAGGTACTCATGGATACTACCAATTTATAGAAAAGGAAACTGGAGTGCAGCATGATTAAGCAGTTTGCCTCAAATCACACTGTTGTTAAATGTCAGAGTAGAACTCGACCTTAGGGCTCTTGACTCCAAATTGCAGATAATCCCTTTATTCACTTATGCGATAATTCCATTTACAAAGCTAGATTCCTGCCAACCCTGAGACTCAATGAATGTCCACCCAGCCTTTCAGAAACTCACCTACGATTGGGAGCTATGTGGTTCTGAGTCTCCTTCCCCAGACTCTTTGGAGGGGTTGCTCGAAACTCCCTGACTCTGGAGCTGACCTGTCTAGAGTCAAATCCTTACTTCCCATTTCCTGGTTATGTAAACTTGGACAAGTCACTTAGCCTCTCTGAGTGAGTGACTTACAGGTGAACCTTGGTTTCCTTATCTGTAAAATGGGCCAAATAATTATCCCTATCTCATTTGGTTTAATGAGAATTAAATGACAAAATATGTATTAAATGCTTAGCACCATGCTTCAAATATACAGGGAGTGCTCAATAAATCTAAGCTTTTATTATTTTCCCATTAAACAGGTGCGAAAATAAAGCTCAATGGAGGCTTAAATCAGTCATCCAACCAGTCTTAAGGCCTGGGTTGGGGTTAGTGGGAGCTGCTTTATTGCCAGACAAGTAGGCATTTATACAGGAAGAAGAGAGATGAAGAGGAGCAGCCTAAAGCAGAGAAAGGCTACTGGATCCTCTCCTTGTCTAGGAAGTCAATGACGGACTGAGAACACAGTAAGAAAGTTCCTTAGGGGCAGAGACTAAGTCTAACGTAAATCAAGCAAAAAACATGGGTAAAAAAAGGAAGGGGGTAAAGAAGTAAAAAAGCAAAGAAAAAAAAACCTAAGAAATAATCTAATCGAAACATCTATTTAACAGATGAAAAACTAAGAAATAATCTACTCTAAACATCTGTTTAACAGATAACACAGCTGTGACATAGGGAAGTAAAGACATTTGGCCAAGGTCACATATTCAGTGAAAGCCAGAACTAGAACCCTGGCCCCGTCCTTCCACAATGGCACTCTCTCTTGCATCTCCCAGTGCCAACTGCCTCCTGTTTAACTCAGGTCTCCCGGGTTTCAGCCGATTCTCTACTGGCCACACAGCAAGGGCCCTCTCACCTTTTACCACACCCTACCCAATGGCAAACACAGTGAGCTCTAGAGGACAAGGGAGAGAGGTGGAAAACATGATGTGTTTACCCTCTCATTTTGTCACTCATTCATGCATTCACTCACTCACCCACTTATTTATGTATTTAACTACCATTTACCGAGTACCTCAGTCACATGGAACCTGGGGCAGGGGATGGAGCTCGGTAGGTGGTACACACCTGGGTGTGGCATCTTCCCGTCATCAGATGTGCCTACCTGCTTGCAGTCACAGCAGATGAAACGTCTCTGCCCCGATGAAAGGCCAACCCTGCCTCTTTGCTCTGCATCCCACCCTACTCACCTTTCCAAGGATTTGGCCGCTCCAATGATCCCGTTTTCTGTTTCATCAGTCTCTCCCTTCACCCTGCAAACATATTCTGCTATCTTCTGTCTTTAAAAAATCCTCTTCCTATCCCCACATTCCTCTCTAGCTACCAGTGCCTTTCTCTGCCCCATGGTCTCTGCCTTCACCTTCTTATCCCTTCCTATCAGGCCAACTCTGATCCCCTCAAGTCCCCACAGTCTCTAACTCCATCATACCAATGGTCACTTCTATATCCTCAATTCCCTTGACCTTTTAGCTCATCCCTGTCTCATGCCTTTGGGTTTGTGATGCCCAGTCTTCTGTTTGCTTTGTAACTCAGTTGTCTTTCCTACTCATTCTCCTTGCTGTTCCTTCTCTGTTAGAGCTCTAAATTGTTGAAGAACCCCAGGCTTGGTTTCTAGTAGTCTTGTCATTAAATGACAGCTTTGTGCAATGGCTGAAATTTATACTCTAGTCAGGATTCTTTCCTGGCTTCAGACACACATGATGTACCTGCTGACTTATTAAAACTGGACATTTAGTAGGCATCTCAATCATAACACGGCCCAAAAAACTCTTGATTTCCACTTGCCATCTACTACATCACTTCCCCTCCTGGTCTGCCATATATATACTTGCCACCATCATCCATGCCCCAAACCTACAAATGATTCTTGTTTCCTCTATTTTCTCATCCCAACAGCCAATCTACCAGCAAGGTTTGCTGGCTTTGCAACCAAAATATATTTTCAGGGTCTCTTTTTCCCTCCTTCACTGCTAATTCCCTAACTCAAGCCACTGTCATCTCTTGCAAGAACTACTGCAACTGTCCCCTAACTGGTCTTTGTGCTTTCTCTCTTGACTATGTACAATTCATTTTCCTAGAAATCAGAGTAGCCTTTTAAAACTCGACCCAGCCACTACAATTTTGTGCTACCATGCTAAACTAGTTCCTGCCTTAGGTCCTTTGCCCTTGCTGTTCTTTGGTCCAGGGATGGTCTGCCCCAGTTTATCACTTGAATGGTCACTTTGAACACCTTCTCAGAGAGGCCTCCCCTGACAGCCCAATCTAAAGTAGTTATCTCCTCTCCCTGTGGCTCTTTATTACATCATCCCATTTTATTGTCTTCACAGACAATAAATTATTATGTTCATTCATTGACTTATTTATTGTCCATTTGTCTTCACCATTAGGTTATAAGCTCCAGGAATAAAGGAATCTGACTTATTCACTGCTGTATCCCCAGCATCCTATACAGTAGACCTTCAACCAGTATTTGTTAAGTGAAAAAGTGGTAAATGGATGGAAGGATGGAAGGATGAATGAAAGTGTGAATGATGGAAGGATTGATGATGAAAGGATGGATGGGTGAAAAGATGGATGGAAAGATGGACAGATAAAAGGATGTATATATAGAAAGATGTATAGATTAATGGAGGAATAGATTGAAAAGGGGATGAAAAGATGGATATAGGAGAGGAGGGATGGGTGGAAGAATGGATGATGAAAGGATAGATGGAAAGACAGATTAAAGGATAGTTCTATGAAAAGATGAATGGACGAATGAATATGGATGGAAAAATAAAAGGATTGATGGAAAGATGGATGGATGGAAAGATGGATGATAGATAACTGAAAAGACAGATGAATTAAAAGATGGATGGAGGGACCAGGCACAGTGACTCACACCTGTAATCCCAACACTTTGGGAGGCCAAGGCGGGCAGATTGCCTGAGGCCAGGAGTTCGAGACCAGCCTGGCCAACATGGTGAAACTCCGTCTCTACCAAAAATATAAAAATTAGCCAGGTGTGGTGGTGGGTCCCTGTAGTGACAGCTAGTGGGGAGGCTGAGGCAGGAGAATCACTTGAACCCGGGAGGCAGAGGTTGCAGTGAGCTAAGATCACACCACTACACTCCAGCCTGGGCAACAGAGCAAGACTCCGTCTCCAAAAAAAAAAAAAAAAAAGGAAAGAT
Organism: Homo sapiens; assembly: GCF_000001405.40. NCBI lineage: Eukaryota > Metazoa > Chordata > Mammalia > Primates > Hominidae > Homo > Homo sapiens. The sequence goes on from NC_000002.12 coordinate 113,224,574, forward strand.
GGATGGAAAGATGGAAGGATCGGTGGAAAGGTGGAGGATGACGGGATGGATGATGAAAGATAGAAGGATAGATGGGAAAATGCATGGATGCGTGGAAAAATGTATGGGAAGATGAATGAGTGGAAAGATAGATGACTGGATGGATCCATGTGTCTGGAGCTGCTGGTTCTGCTCTAGAACTGGTTGAGAATCATTGACTGTTAATGGAGTCAAAACAAAAAATAAAATAAAATAAAATAAAATAAAAAAATAAAATAAAATAAAATATAAAATAAAATAAAATAAAATAAAATAAAATAAAATAAAATAAAATAGAAACAGAAGGTGAATAGACAAGGGAAATCTGTCCTAGCCCTTTTCCTGTGCTCCTCTCTTGCAGCTTGTGTCTTTATTTCTGGTATGGTAGGAGGCAGTATGGTGTAGAGGAAAGAGCTTTAGACTTGAAATTGAAAAATCCGTGTTTGCATAACTCAGCCACTTAGTATGATTATGACCCTGAGCACACCACTTTGCTTTTGCTTCAGTTTCCTTATCCATAAAACTGGGATAGTATTAGCCTCTTAGTCTTATGGTCAGGGTAAAATTAGAAATAAAGTTATACATATTTGAATGGCTAGACATGCAAAAGTACATAATAAGTGATCACTTCCTTCCTTTCACAATTGATTGATGAATGTCTTTGGCATGCCTTGCTTTAAGCATTTATCATGTACCTAACATGAATGCAGTAGGTGTTCGATGAAAGTTTATTCACTTTAATTGCAGGAGTCCCCATTCAACCAACTGGGAGATTGCAAGCAGTGGTAAGAGACGGACATAGAATTTTTCCACAAAAAAATTTCCTTAAGAATTCATTTGCACAGTGCCATTCCTAGGAACCAAGTGATTCATTTAAATAGTATTGCATTTTCTAAAACTGATTTTCATGGAACTCACTGGGAGCCCAACTGTGTAGGGCAAGGTCCCTCCTTTGTGGATTTCACTTGCAGTCAGTGTCCTAGTTGTGCTATTTTTTTTCTTTTTCACAGAACCCACTCAGGATTCTTTCTGGAAACAACCTGGGGGACTTTGATGAGAGGCTCAAGCCTTCTAGCTACCTCACAGGTCAGACTCTGGGCCCCAGGAACCCCTTGCCCTGGGCCTGCCCTCAGGGAATGATTCATAATTAAGAGAAAAGCCTTGTGCTTTATGTTTCTTCCTCCTCCTCTAAGCAGGCGGCAGGGGAAGGTGGAGGGGTTGGAAGGGGAATGGGGGGAACCGACTGGAGACTGGGATTTTGATTGAGAGGCCCCATTATCCACACTCTTAAAAAAATAACCGAATCTTTTCCTTTTTTATCTTGACCAATCTCATTTCACGCTCCAGAAGAGGAAGGGAGGGAGGGAGGGAGTCCGGGGCCAGGAGGGACAGAGGAGTCAGTATTCTGTATTTTCAACGCTGCATTAAGCACATCGCCACGGTAACCAGGCAGCAACAAGTGCCAGCTCAGCAGGTTCCCAGGGAGCACAGAGCATTTCTCCCTCCCTCTTTCTCTCCCTCCCTTCCCTCTGCCCAGGAGATCCCAGCCCACCTGCCTCTGCATAGGGTGCCCAGAGTGGGTGGCTGGCAAAGATTAACTCCTGCCGGCAAGGAAGGGAAGCAGGCCTAGGTAAATACGCCAAGTCTCTGGGGTCACAGCCAGAGAGGCTGGCCTAGGGCTGGCATGGGGGTCACAGATGCCTTGTGTTCAGAGCTCTTTCCAGAAACTCCAGGTCCCAGGCCTTTTTGACCAGTGACAATGGCTCAATTATGTCTCATCCATCCCAAAGTCTTCCCTACATGGCTCCTAAAAAATTGAGACTTGCCCAAGGAAACTCCCATTATCTTCATTTGTCCAGACCTTGTCATCTTGAATCATCATTGGATGATGACTGGCAGACAAAGAAACCCAAATGACTGGCAGGCAGGTTCCAGAACAGTCCAAATGAGGATGGAGAGCTACTCCAGGCTCATTTCATCCTCTATAGTACTCTTAGAGTACCTAGAACCCGGGTCCTATCCATGCAGGCTTGAGAGAGAGATGTGAAGCATATATTTCATCATCATCATCGTCATCGTCATCATCATCATCATCATCATCAATACCCTTCAGATTCAGATTTTACAGAACGGGTAAACTGGGATTCATCAGAGTTAAATCACTGGGAGACCAGCACTGCTTGAGGGTAGGGTTCATCTTCCACTCACAGTGTTTTGGGGCCCTTAGAGTGCTCTCCATTTATGCTCACTGATTCACTGGAAGAAGTGGTGGAGCTTGGATTTGAACACAGACCTGTCTCAGCCCCTCCCTTTTCATCATGGAGGGTAATGTAGCAGGCCTGGGAAGAAGGAGGCCGAGCTGGGGCAAGTTAAATAGGGAGTCAGGACTGCACTGGGACATCGTCTCCAGGCATTTACAAGGAGATGCCCTCTTTGGTCCATCCTTCAATGCCCTTTGGGAAGTCTATGAATAGGGCACAGTATGCCTCTTGCTCCTTGTGTCCCACCTTGCTCCAATACTTCCTCTTTGCAGTGCTCCCCTTCCTGCCGGCCCTCTCCTTACCTGCCACCATGCCTGCGATGGCAGAGGAGGCATAGCTGCCCTGTCCGCTGGTGGGGATGTGGGGTGGGTATCCGGGCAGCGTGGGCCCCACCATCTCTCGCCCTGGAAAAATACAGCAAAGAGTCGTCAGTTGGACCATGGGGGCTCCCATATGTATCATCTCACTCTCCTGAGGCTGTCTTCCTCCATGCCATTCCCACCCTCTCTACAGCCATTCTCCAAACCCACTTCCTCCTGCCCCCACTCCTCATCTGAGCCCAAGTTCTTTTCACCTCTGTCTGGTCTTCTGCAGGACAGAGGCTCCACCATGCAGGGAGCACTTGTTACTGCAGTCTCACACTGTTCCCTGTTCTCCAGTGGTTTTGTTTACGTGATTGTTATCTTATTAATCCACAAGAATGTCCTGGTATTGGAGGCTGAGGTTATGTCTTCTGTTTTCTGTTACCCCCAACAGCAGCCAGCAGAGCAGTGGGTATAGCTGGCCTCCATAAATACATTTGAGACCACTTAACTCAGAGCTCATCCCTTTCATTCCCGGCTCTGAGGAGTACCAAGAATAAGACCCTATGAAGGGATGGCATGTATGTGGGCCACTAACTCATCACTATTTTTTGGGGGGCCTGTGACAGACATTGCTAATCAACCACTATACCATTTCCCCCTGAGTAGAGGGGGCCTTCCAAGTGGATGCAATCTATCAGAGTTGCCAGGTACAGGAAACCGATTGGCTAACCCCAACCTAGAAGGAGATGTGGCGGAGATATTTAGCTTTTACATGACCACAAGCCACATATCTGTCCATTCTATTTTGAAAAGAACCATTTTTAGCAAAACAGACACCAATCTCTCTGTTTATCTATAGCTTGTGGGTCATACCCCCACCTTGGTGATACCAAATCAGCTCTGTAAAGACCTCATTTCCCGGCTCTGCTTCTCCTCTACATCGAGAAATCACTTTCCCATTTTGGAGGCCCCACCTGACCTGGCGAGCATCTCCCCATCTACTGCATATAACAATGAACATAAACATGATCCCTTGCCCCTGCCCCTCTTCTATTGCTCCTGTGTCCTGCAGGCCCCAATCAGATTCTCCTTCACCCCAAGATTCTTGGCAAGGTGACAATACACCCTGGTTTGCCAAGGTGTACCCAGGTGATGACCAGTATCCCAGCATATTTGTTAATAATGCCCATTTCATTCTCAAAATGCTCCAGTTGGAATAATGAGTTATTTGCTCTTCCTAGTTCTTGGTGATATTTACAGAGTTTCTCAGTCTCAGCAACATTGGCATGTTAGGCTGCACAATTCTTTGCTGCAGGAGGCTGTCCTGTGCATTGTAGGATGTTTAGCAGCATTTCTGGCCTCCATCCAGTAGATACCAGCAGCAGTTTTCACCCAGTGTGACAACAAAAATGCCTCCAGACATTGCCATATGTCCTCAGCAGGAGGTAGTAAGGGCAAAATCGCTGCTGGCTAAGAACCATTGTGTTGGACTATGACTCTTTTACCCAAATGCCTTCTGCCTCTTCCATTTTGGGGGCTGCTTTTTCCTCCCAGGACCTGTGTGGGCCACCTGTGAGCCCTGTTAACCAACTTACCAAATTCATCTCCTCTATGGCACTGCTTGTCCAACTATCCACCCATCAGTCCCCCCCAGGTCCTTCATACCTCAGCCCCTTCAAGGGGTGCCTGGTCATGACAGAAGGGAAGGAAGGCCCCATGAAAGCCTGTAAGTTGCCAATACTGCAGTGACTACCTCCTCCTTATCTCTCTTTCTGGAGATTCCCCAAAGACAGTGTTCATTCACTAAATACTTACTGAGTAAATACTATATTCTAGACACTTTTCTAAGCACTTGGGTATATAGCAGAAAGCCAGGATGCTAAATTAGCAAGGCCGGGCACTAAATCAAGAAGGGACATAGGCTGGGATAGGCATTTGGAGCCAAGCCCAAGGGGTCAATGAACAAAAACCAGGCACACACAACTTCTTCCCTTCCTCTAGAGGGCAGGGCCTGGGAATCAGAGGGCCTGGAGTCCTTATACTGCTTCTGTGGCTAGTTTTCTGAGTGCCCTTAGATAAGCCTAGTATGTGCCCCAAGGGTCAGTTTCTTCATATGCAAAATGGAAAAAAAAACATAGCTGTAGGCACCTTATTACAATTTCTATGAGGTTATCTGCATAATTCAGAGCCAGGGTTTCATGCTACAGGTGGACATTGATTAGCACAATGGACACATTCTAGAAATGGTTATATGCCAGTGAACTCCTACAGAATAAAGAGCCATCAGTGTTCATTGTTTAAAACCGTGTGAATGTTTTGGTAAACCTGAACACCACCTTCTAATTTGTTTGACTTTTCCTGCAGTGTCCAGCTGTGCTTGGCACTGGACCAAATGGGGTGAAACCCACTAGAATTCTACAGGTGTGTTCAGTTTACCTGACACAAGGTCATCAAGGGAACAAATGAAGGGCTGGAAACACAGGAGGGGAAAAGAGAATTTTAAGATATTTAGACGCAGAGGGAGAAATATGCAGAAGCTATACTGAGATAAAATCTGAGCTTTCTTTGAAGAAGAATACAACACAATCGACCCTCAAACTCAGCCCCCTTGGCCCTCAGATGAAGCACCGGCTAGGCAAGAGGGAAGGAGTGACAGGAAGTCTGTGAGAGCAGGAGGAGCACAGAGCAGGGACAGGTGGTGAGGGAGGGAGTGATGGAAGAAGGTGGTGGCGGATTCAGGCCTGCTTCCTTCTTTTCTCTTCCCTCCCTACCTCTTCCTCCATGAGAGAGAGAGAAAGGGAACTCCAGATCCAGGCTGGACCCTGGATGAAAGACAGCCACTTAATTCTCTGAACCACGTCTTCCTGCCTGTCACATAAGGAACTAGTTTAGATTTCAGCTTGTAAACTGGATTCACCTGACTACCTGATTGGCTGGTAGGGACCTCCTGGCACCCAGTGTTGAGAAGGATTCTGAGGCAGCCTGTGTCTGCCATGATCGGGGTGGGGAGCAGTGGGAGGTGGTCTTGACTCTCAGGTCACCTGTTTGCTGGTGCTGGCCTTGTGCCCTGCAGGGCTGCTTCTGGCCTGGCAGCCTGTGGCCCCGCACTCCCCTTCCCCCTGCCTTCATCCTGTTCCTTCTCGTTCTATTACCTGAACCTGCTGCCTCTCGAGCCTGGCAGAGTAGCAGGCAGAGTTCCAGGGCATATACTCCCCTTACAACACAGCTTAATATGGTCCAGAGGTGCCCCCACGGGGCTCCACCGCATGAGAACTAGCCCCTACATTGATCTTATAAATGGAATTCATCAGTCTCACTCCCCTGTACTCTACGATTTTTAATCTTCATCTCCCCTCAGTCACCTAATGTCTTCCCAATGGGGTAGAGGCTTCTGAATCGGACATCAGAACAGACGCCTGAGGCTTCCTGCCATGAAAGCTGGTCTTCCTGGAAAGACTGGTAAGACTTTCTTCAGCATGGCTCTCACCCAGACTATGGCACAATAAACTCTCCCAACAGCCCTACAAAACTCTTTGCTCCAATTGCTTAAATGCATAGTTTCTTCCAAAAAGCCAAGAAGCTTGCAAGCCTTCTTAGAAACAAAACCACAGAAGCTGTGGGGTGGAAACTCCATCACGGCCTAACCATGCCCTCTTACCTACTTCTCTGTTTTTAAGACTCTTCATCATAAAACGATCCTCGCTATGAATTCCATCTCCTCTACACCCAAATTTCTTTCCAACGTGGTCCTATTTTAGGAAGTTGACAGAAAGCATAGGCCCATGTTGACTGGCCGTGGAGTTCTCTAAGAAAACTCTAGCTCCCCCTACACCTTGAAATATTGGTAAATATTCTAAATATTGGTAGAGGCCAGAATCATAAAGCTATTGCCTGGAGGAATTCAGAGGGTAGAGGTGATTTCAGACTATTTTATTTTCCCCCTTTGAAGTCTGCCCTCCATGTAACCCCTTTTCAATTCCTTATCTCGTTCTGATAGCAAGGAGAATTTATGGCAACTCAGAAATCTCTTTGGCAGAACTAAATATAATTTTGTACAAAAGGATGGAGGAGGGGAATGGACTCTTTGATGATAAAACCTAACTCATGGCTTTCCTTTGAGCTGAGCTGGAGGCAGTCCCAGAGCAGCTGGGACCAGGACGGCCTCGACATTGCTGTCTTGGCCAGTGTGTTGGGACTCCAGACTGGGGCTTCCAAAGGGAACTGGCAGCAATGTTAGGGGCACTCTTGCTATTCCCCAAACCTTGCTGTTTCTTCTTTCTTGGCTGACTGGGGATGAGCTGAGACTCAGAAGGATAGTCACCTTGGAAATCACACTATCAGAGCCACCAGGCGGAAATAAGTGACCCAGAGAAAAACGCTATGAAGTAGTGAAGGAGTTGCAGGAGGCGGCAGCGAGGGTCCTTGGGAGTCACTCAGAGGCATGTGGAAGATTCACGCGGGTTAAAGCTGAGCTGATTATGGAATGAAAACTCACTGTGTCCTCTCTCCTCTCTCCTGGTCTGCAGCATTACTTAGGAATAATGTGGCCTCAACTTCCTTCTCTTTCTTTATTATTTTTTTCTTTTTTGAGATGGAGTTTCGCTCTTGTTGCCCAGGCTGGAGTGCAATGGCACGATCTCGGCTCACCGCAACCTCCGCCTCCTGGGTTTAAGCAATTCTCCTGCCTCAGCCTCCCGAGTAGCTGGGATTACAGGCATGTGCCACCACGCCTGGCTAATTTTGTATTTTTAGTAGAGATGGGGTTTCTCCATGTTGGTCAGGCTGGTCTCGAACTCCCGACCTCAGGTGATCCACCCACCTTGGCCTCCCAAAGTGCTGGGATTACAGGTGTGAGCCATTGGGCCCAGGTTCCTTCTCTTTCTTTCAAATTCACCTCTTCTTGGGAAGGTCTGCAGCCTCCTGCGCTCCTGGAACCATTCCCTTCCTAACCTTCCCCACCGCCCCCCGTCATGTCCTCCCAGCTCTCTCACCATGGCTCAGCCACGTGTTAGGTATTGAGATCCAGTCTTGACCAGAGGCCTCAGGTGGACAGTCTGTAAGGAGCTCCAGGCCAACACCCTGAGCTCAGCATGGACACCAGCCATCCCCTCCCTTGTGCCTGAGCTGCTTTCTGACTTGCTTCCTACTCTTGGCCATTTGCCTGGACCCCAGATCCTCCAAGGCTAGCACTCCTCACTCTTTTCAGAGCCTCTGCCTCTGTGCTGAATTGTCAACCCTTGGGCTAGGGGGCCCTGTGACCAGCCAGCAACCTTCAAAGTGCTCACACCTGCACTTCAGCATCATCTGGGCCTGGATTGGGGGCCACCAGCCTGAAAGATATGCCGGTGCTGCATATTTGGCTGCCTGCTTCCTACATGACTACCTGGTGTCTGCTGCCAGCTGTTTTGTCCCATGGGTTGGGTGACCTCTCAGTCCTGCAGTTGGCCTGGAGAGTGGGCATGTCCACTAAATTAACAGCTGACAGTAGTTGGAGGCGTCACCTCTGATTGACTGCATGTTGACAGGGGATGCTAACAGGATGACAGGGAGGGGACAAAGTGTAGGGGCTTTGGGAGTAGGGAGTTTGCCCTGGGCTGTTCCAGTTGCACTTTACACTACAGCCTATGTCTGCACTCTGATACATCTATCCACTTCCAGCTGCCCTACATCCTTCCCTCTCCTTCAGCTGGTCTTGCCAAGCTTCTCCGCGGCTTCCACAGCACCTGCTCCCCATCATCATGGGCACCACCACACCCTCACCCCTTGCCTGCCCCATGACCGCCGCCAGCTCTAGCCTGCCATTCTCAGAAGACATGCAGGCTTGCGTAACTCCCTGTAACTGACATGAACCTCTTCTCCTCACCCCCTCCCCTCCCCTCCCCTCCCCTCCCTTCCCTTCCCCTCCCTTCCTCTCCACTATCCTCTCATTCCCCTCCCTACCCCGCATCCCATTTTCTCTGGCTGACATAATTTTACTCAGCTCACAGGTTTTGCTCTTTTCATCACTTTGGTCAAAACAAATGACCCATCTCTGCTGCCTTCACCCTCTTGAATTCTTGAACTCCAAGTCAACTCCTCGCTTTAGACCCTTAAACACCATCTCTCTGCCCACACACTGGATGTCCCTCTCTTCTAAGGAAACTTCTCACATTAGGTGCTGGGATGTACGGAGGAAAAAAAAAAAAAAACCCGGGTGCCAGCCAGAAAGAAAATGTAGAGCCAGTTATAAAAAAGGGTCCATGGGCTGGGTGCAGTGGCTCACACCTGTAACCCCAGCACTTTGGGAGGCCAAGGTGGGCGGACCAAGGTCAGGAGATTGAGACCATTCTGGCTAACATGGTGAAACCCCATCTCTACTGAAAATACAAAAATTAGCCGGGTGTAGTGGCGCCCATTTGTAGTTCTAGCTACTCGGGAGGCTGAGGCAGGAGAATCACTTGAACCCAGGAGGTGGAGGTTGCAGTGAGCTGAGATCGCGCCACTGCACTCCAACCTGGGCAACAGAGTGAGATTCCATCTCAAAAAACAAAAAAACAAAAAAAAAAGGGTCCAGGGACTTTTATCACATGACCCTGTGGTTACTCTGGGCTTGTAGAGGTCTTAATCCTCTGGTGCAGTGGTTTCGAAGTCCAAGGGCTTTCTAGGGGCAGGGACCCCTTCTAAAAGAGCAGTTCTTCAGGGGTCTGGTGAGCATACATGTCTTCTGTAAAAGGCTTCATTTCAAGAGAGCATTGAGAGGCCCAAATTTGAAACCACTGGTCCAGATGGACTGTCTGACTCTGGGCTGCCTCTGTGACAGGTCTCACACACCCCACCCACGCACTGGTCTCTGCTCCAGCATTTCAAGGTCGTCGGGGTAGGAGGGTGTGGGAGGTGAAGAGGCATTTACTTCTGTCACTAAATACCCACACTCCTTGGAGACAGTGCCGCTATTAAAGAGATTCCTCCAATGCTGAACTGAGAGCTAGCTGGCTTCCTTCCCTGGTCCTGGGCCCCCACTGGGCCCACATCTAAAATAGTCCTATCCCTGTGGAAGCCCTTGAGGTATCTGAAGACCATATGGGTCTCTGCTTCCCACTTTCACTGCATCTCAGGCCCTCTCCAACCCAAGCCAAGCGCTTGACTCTCAGCCATTCCTCAGGCCCTGGCTGGATGAGCGAAGGTCCTTCTGCCAGGAGGAGCCAGCTCCCCTTGAGGTCTGACTCATGCAGTGCAGGCCCAGGCCTCAACCAGCTACAGATGGTGCTCCTGCCCAGAGACCTTGGCAGGGACCTTCTCCTCCCTGGGCCAGGTTCCTCATCAGCATAAGAGGTTTGATCTAGAGGCTCCCTCAGGTGCTTCCAGATTTACTTATTTTTATTTATTTGTTTTTTTCTTTTTTGAGATGGAGTCTTGCTCTGTCACCCAGGCTGGAGTGCCATGGCGCCACCTCAGCTCACTGCAACCTATGCCTCCTGGGTTCAAGCGATTCTCCTGCCTCGGCCTCCCCAGTAGCTGGGATTACAGGTGTCTGCCACCACACCCCCTAATTTTTTGAATTTTAGTAGAGATGGGGTTTCATCATCTTGGCCAGGCTGGTCTTGAACTCTTGACCTTGTGATCCACCTGCCTCGGCCTCCCAAACTGCTGGAATTACAGGGGTGAGCCACCTCGCCCGGTCGGTGCTTCCAGCTTTAAATATTTTGAGGCAGTTGAGGTTCCTGATGGGAGGTCCCCCACTCCTCTCAAGTTGTTGAATCACTGAATTTATCATGTTTAACAGATGTCTGACTGTCCTCCCGGTGATGCTGTTAAGCTAGGAATGAAGATAGCTGCATCATGGAAACACAACTGGGACTGACCCTTGGCCTTTTTAGAAATTTGATCCAGAAATGGGCTCCAAAAGCCAATTCCTTTTTCCCTCCAAAATGTTCATTTTTCCTTCTATCTATTTATGCATTTACCAAGGCCAAGTTGCTACGTTACAGCACCCGGCTCCCGGCCTTAGGGTTCCTGCTTTTCCATGGGGTCTTGGGGTGGTGCATCCCCGGCACCCCTACAGCATCCGCCCCTTCCGAGCATGTCTTCCCCGTCACAGAGAACTTCATGTTGGCGCCTCCAAAAGTTGCCGGAGGAATTAGGGAACAGGGTGGGGGTGGATGAGACTGAGGCCAGAGAGGGGGCTGGCGGTCTGCCCTGAGGACCCCCGTCCCACCCGCCGCCATAGCTGCATGGCCCCGGGACCTCCCTGTCGTACCTGAGAGGAGGGCCTGGCCCGTGAACTGCCCGTACACGGAGGCAGCATGGGGAAAGGCATTGAAGGGCGGGACCCCGGAGCCGACTTGCTGCAGATCCAAAAAGGCGGAGCTAGATAAAGAGGAAGGGGTGGAGCTAGAACTGGACACCTCGGGGGTTTCCTGCTTTATGGCGAAGGGTGAGTGAGGATCTGCCGGAGGGAGGGAGACAACAAGGAGAGAGGGGTGTGAGATGGCGGGGAGGGAACACGCACAAGCCAAGCCGTGGGATGTGGAGGGTGCGGGCGGGGCGCGGGGCAGGCTCAGCTGCCCTCAGAGTCTGGGCTGGGGAGAGCCGGGGCCCACGAGGCGTGGCAAGGCGGGGAGAGAGAAGCTAGACCTCCCTGCTGCGCTTCTGCAGCGAAAATGGAGAGACCCGGAAGGCGTGTGTGCGCCCGCCTCTCCCACAGGAGGGAGCGCGGAGACCCGGGAGCGGCCTAGGACCGGAGGCGCGACCCCTCGGCCCACCTTGAGGCCCGGCCTAGGACCGGAGGCGCGACCCCTGGGCCCACCTTGAGGCCCGGCCTAGGACTGGAGGCGCGACCCCTCGGCCCACCTTGCGGGAGCCGCCTAGGACCGGAGGCGCGACCCCTCGGCCCAGCTTGAGGCCCGGCCTAGGACCGGAGGCGCGACCCCTCGGCCCACCTTGCGGGAGCCGCCTAGGACCGGAGGCGCGACCCCTCGGCCCACCTTGAGGCCCGGCCTAGGACCGGAGGCGCGACCCCTGGGCCCACCTTGAGGCCCGGCCTAGGACTGGAGGCGCGACCCCTCGGCCCACCTTACGGGAGCCGCCTAGGGCCGGAGGCGCGACCCCTCGGCCCAGCTTGAGGCCCGGCCTAGGACCGGAGGCGCGACCCCTCGGCCCACCTTGAGGCCCGGCCTAGGACTGGAGGCGCGACCCCTCGGCCCACCTTGAGGCCCGGCCTAGGACCGGAGGCGCGACCCCTGGGCCCACCTTGAGGCCCGGCCTAGGACTGGAGGCGCGACCCCTCGGCCCACCTTGAGGCCCGGCCTAGGACCGGAGGCGCGACCCCTGGGCCCACCTGGCGGCCCGGCCGGCACAGCCCGCCTCTCCTCTCCAGGCCAGGGCCCCACACCTTCCGCCTGACAGCCAGCCAAGCTCTTCAGTCCCCCGCCCTCCACCTGCCAGGGAGGCTCCGGGCGTTGTACCTGCCACCACGGGGTAGGTCTGGTGAGTCGAGAGGTTGCGCCCCAGTGGCGTGTTGGAAGGGGTCAGGGTGGCCTTCCCGTCGTCCAGGGTGCTGTTGAGCAAGGGCAGCGGGTAGAGGCCCTGGGGAGCAAAGAGAAGTCAGCGCACAGAGACGATCCAACAAGCCGACCTTCCTGCAGACCCTGAGCCTGTGTCTTAGGACTTGGCAGCCCTCATCTCCCCAGGAGAGGTCCTCATCGCCCCCTTCTTCCTTTACGTTCTCAACTCCACTCGGCACGTTTCGTTCATGCTCATTGTCCTCCCGCATCCCTGGAATTCAAGGCCAGCTGGTAGCATGGGTGCCCAGACGTGGGATAGAGAGTCTCAGCCAGAGGACCACACCCTGGTTGGATGGCTGGTCGGCTTCCTGGTTTCACCACACTGTTGGGACCCACAGAATGCAGGACGGTGCCAAGGACTGGAGCAGTCTCCAACCGGACTGTTCAGGGTCCTTGCATCTGTTAATTTATTCTTCCCCAGATAGGAAACCCAGGCACAAAGGTTTAAGAAACTTGTCCCACTTCCAGATGGGCCAAAGATAGGATTCAGATTCGAGGGATCAGAATGTGTCTGCTCTCAACCACTGCCCTAAACTGGGTGACATAAGGACCACTTCTTACATTTGCAAAGAGCTTATATCAGAGCTTTGCCTCTGTTGTCCTAGTAGAGTCCCCCAGCAGCCCAGTGACATGGGTGAGTAATATTATGTCTGTGTTTTATATGTGGAGCCTGGAACTCAGGTAAATGGCCCAATTTTGTATAGTGAAACAGACTAAACCCGGGATTTTTCGGCTGTGGACCCAGGTGCTTTACCCACCACGTGGATTTCTTCTTTTCTCTCTCCACATCCAAACAAATAGAAGTGTGCAAGTTCGGCTTGAAAATGGTATTGAGAGTTGTTTTTGTTGGAAACACTCTTTGTCAAGTACCTGGGGGTCTTCATCAGTAAGACCTCATTTTAGATGCCTCCTGGCCTCCCCTTCCCAGGAGCACAGCTATGACCTTAGGTACTCCTTCCGAAAAGAACTTGTTTAACTAAAGGTAAGTGTACCTCATCCTCACCATGGCCTCCTTCCACTGGGGAAGCAGATAGCGCAGAAAAAAGAACACACCCATTCCCCACATACCTTCACACTCGTCACATACCTGCTACGTGAGATGTGCAAAGCTGAATTCAGGGAATGCTCAGTAGTTACATAACAGTGCCACTAAAGGCAATTGTTTTCAGTGATTTCCATCGAGCTGGGTTCTGCAAAGATCCACAGCACTTTCCGGTTGCATGCTGGGCACTTTTGGAAGCTGCAGTCAATTCTGGAGGCCACCAGGGCACCATTAGCACATAGCAGCAATTATTGACTAAATGGTGCTCTGGTTCCATGCCTTCCAAGGGGGCCCACTTAGAGGCAGGGTGGAGTTGCTTAGGGCCTTTTTTTTTTTTTTTTTTTGTAGACGGAGTTTTGCTCTTGTTGCCCAAGCTGGAGTGCAATGGTGCGATCTTCGCTTACTGCAACCTCTGCTTCCTGGGTTCAAGTGATTCCCCTGCCTCAGCCTCCCGAGTAGCAGGGATTACAGGTGCGTGCTACCATGCCAGGCTAATTTTTTGTATCTTTAGTAGAGACAGGAGTTTCACCATGTTGGCCAGGCTAGTCTTAAACTCCTGACCTCATGATCTGCCTGGCTTGACCTCCCAAAGTGTTGGGATTACAGGCATGAGCCGTTGCACCTGGCCAGGGTGTGTCTTATTGAAATTGAACAAAATACCTAATTTCTAGAGCGTATAAGAGAAGTTTAAAATGCTTTATGGATGTGTTGTTTTGACAGCAAAATATCTACTCAGAATCCTATAGCTATTTCAAAATCCAAGTAACTTAGAAAAAAAGGAAAAAGAAAACCTATATAGTCAAATCTTTTGGTGATTTTGTATTCAATGACTGAAACTTCCCAGTGATTATTGGGCTTTTTAGCTGGAATTGAACTTGAATCGGGGCAGAGCAGCACAATGCTTCAGAACTTCAGCGACTCTGAGCCCTGGTTCTGCAATGACCTGCCAAGTAGCTTTAGTCTACTTGACTGCTCTGAACCTTAATTTTCTCACCTGTATGGGAATCATAGACTCTACTTTATGAGGCTGACGTAAGCATTACATGAAATTTTGTATACTTATACATAATGTGCTTAGCACCGAATACTTGGTGACAGCAGATGCCCAATGAGAGTTATCACAGATATTATTTCAGAATCGTGAAGAGTCAGAAGCCACCAAATTCTTGATTTCTGTCAATAAACTGATATTCATATTCTGTTGATTTTTTTTGATGCATTTGTAAAATAGGGAAACAAGAGCTGTATGACTTCTAGCTATGTCTGGTCATGAAATAGCAACCAGGAATAAGGCCACATGATGTTTCTGATGAACACTTCCCCCTGCCCTTTTTTTTTTTTTTTCAGATGGAGCCTCGCTCTGTCACCCAGGCTGGAGTGCAGTGGCACAATCTCGGGTCACTGCAACCTCCGCCCCCCAGCTTCAAGCGATTCTCCTGTCTCAGCCTCCCGAGTAGCTAGGATTACAGGTGCACGCCACCAGGCCTGGCTAATTTTTATATTTTTAGTAGAGATGGGATTTTGCCTTGTTGGCCAGGCTGGTCTCAAACTCCTGACCTCAGGTGACCCATCCACCTTGGCCTCCCAAAGTGCTGGGACTACAGGTGTGAGCCACCATGCCTGGTCCCCCACTTGTTGATTTTGCAGAAAAGATAGCTGTGTTACAACCTGTCCTAAGGTCAGGTATGAATACTTGTGCTTCTTTCTTGGCTCCCCAAGCCAGAGGGCATTCCTATGCCCAGGTGAGAGAGCACGGAGTGTTACTTTGGCAGCACAGTCAGTTACCAGAGGTAGGAAAAGCAAAGGCCAGGCAGGACATGAGGGGCCCTTGCACTGGCTGGTTCTCCCTGCCTTCACCACCCTCCAGGTGAATGACTGGGTGAATAATGATTGACTGAGGAGGTAATGAATAATTTATGGACACTGCTGGACCTCAGTCTCCTCATCTGAAAGATGAGTGGTTGGAGAAGTTTAATGGTTTTCAAATGCTTTTTTTTTCAGTCTTCAAATAAGTGTTTACGTAGAAGCACCATATCTGAAACAGGTGACAGTGGACCAGTCTGAATGAAATGAGGGTTGGCAGGCCTGAGCTCCAAAACCTTCTGATTGCCCAAGCCCTCCTTGTCTTGCTTGGATTATCTCCACACAAATGGAGAAACTGGACAAGGTGGTCATGGAGGTCCCTGAAAGCTCAAAGACTTTCTCATTCCAGGATTCCCCATGTTCATATGCCAGCATGGCATGGGGGTGCTCTGTAGTCAAGCAGGGTCCTTTGGGGGGCTTAGGGATGGAGCCAGGAAATGGCTCTGGGACTCAGCGGGTGTCCAGAGTCTCATCAGCAGGGTTTCTTTACTTTCACTGAGTGGCTGGTGCCTGCACACTGAGTTTTGCAGGCTTACTCTCACAGAGTGAGCTTCCTGCAGGCCCCCCACTGCAACCCCTTTCCTTCCTGGAGCTGTGTGCTGACTGGTGCGTGAGCACCCCAGGCCCTCTCCCCATGCTGCTGATGGTCAGCTTTCTCTGCACGCTCGTGGTTGCCACAGTCAACGCTGATAAAATTGCTGATGCAGATTGCCTGCCCAGCTGCGAGTGCTGGCACGGGACCAGCAGCCCAGACGGTCACTGGAAGTGGTTGGGCTGATTATTGGCATCATCTCCATTGTCCTACTCGGTTCTTAAAGGCATATGGACTTGCCTCACTCCTACAGCAAATGACGGCATGGGCAAAGAGGGGCAACAGACCCACCCTGAAGACACTCCTCATCTGGTTGACTTGGCAGGGTTAAGGGAAAAAGATGTGATGACTAGGAGCTGAGAGCTTAGTGGTTCTGCCAGAGCTGCAGAGTCTTTGTTGGCCTCAGGGTGGGACCTCTCACATCTCTGTCAGCTTTTCACGGACACCAACCTGTTATGATTCATTTCACCTGTCCTGAGCACTAGCAAGAAAAATTCGCTGTAGCTTGTGATGTATTATTCTGGATTTCTCAACTCATTCATTTGTTCATTCATTCACTATACCATTACTGTCTATTATAAGGGGGGCACAATGGTAGGTGCTGGGAATAAAAACGATGTTTAACGTTTCATGAGGCTTCCCTGTCCTTAAGGAGTCCGCGTGTCTTTGTACCTGTCTGTCTGCTAGATTATTAAGTGACACTGTGAGAAGCTACTGAGAGCAGCATGTGGGACATGCAGAAGGGCAAGAGGCAGGAGAGATGATTCATGTCGGAGGGGCAGGGGAGGACTGACGGAGAGGGTGATGTTTGGCTGAGTCATGAAGGCTAGTGGTATTTTTCCATGCAGAGAAGTGGGAGGAAAGGCATTCTGTGTGGAGGGCACACAGTGTGCAAGGGCAGAGAGGTGTGAGCGAGGGTGGTGAGCTCGGGGCCATGAGTAATGCAAGAGCATGGGGTGTGCAGGATGAGTGGCCAAAGGTGGGGCTAGGAAATAGTGGCTGAGGTCATTATGTGAAGGCTTTGTGCTACTGCTTCAGAGTTGTGGAACGTGATGTTGCAATCTGGGAAAGACGCTGATGGCAAGGGATAGCATCATCAGGTTGTGCTGCCATCCCTGAAAGGCCCAGGCTCAAAGGTTTTGGGTGAAGGAAGCCAGGAGGGTTAGAAAGGGAGGAAGATGCCAGGGCATCTGGTAAAATAAAGCATGTGTCAGGCTTGGAGTTGCATAAGGCAGGTGCCCTGAGCCCATTGATGCAACTTCCAGCTGCTTTGATGGAGCACAGGCTCATTTGGAGAATAGACCTTCTCTGGCCCTTGCCCACCCTGTTCACCTCCCAGGGCCCAGCTTCTCACCTGCTCGCCTTTGGTGTGGCTGGGGGAGGCATAGGCCTCTGGGTAGTGCTGCCGCTCAAATGGGCACTCGAGCGGCTCGAGGTGGTGCTGGCTGAAGGCATCCGTGCGAAGGTGCTTTCGGGGTCCGCTGCTGCTGCTCTGTGAGTCAATGCTTAGTCGGCAGCTATCCTGATCACCTGGTACCCCCCGGGAAGGAAGAAAGCTTTTAGGGGACCTATCTATTCATGCTCTAGGCCAAAGTAGAGGACTGACTCCAAGCTGACTCACTGTGGAGGGAGAAAAAGGGCCAGCCACGTGGGCCCAGGAGCCTTGGCCAACTGAGGGACAGGACATGTGACAGTCACATGCAGAGCCCCTACAAAGTCCCATATCATAAGTGGAAGGGTTTCTGTCCCCATCAAAGCCTGAGCAAACTGCTCTCGTGCACCGCCCGCTGCCCTCCTGTCCCAGCACTCACTGTCATCCATTTTCCTCTTGTCGCTGCCAGGCTGAGCGATGCCCAGGAGCCCATTGATGGAGTAGGTGGAGCCCAGGGAATCCGACTGGGGTGACTCCGGGGGAGTTACAGCTGAGCTGGGGACTGCAGTGGGGGAGAGGGAGAGGGTCAGGGGTGGGAGTGACACCCCTCACAGCCCTGGGTGACTCTGGGGTAGTTACAGTTGAGCTGGGGACTGCAGGGGCTGGGGGAGAGGGAGAGGAGCAAGGGGTGGGACACCCCTTACAGCCCTGGGGTGACTCTGGGGGGACTGCGGTGGTGGGAAGAGGGAGAGGGTCAGGGAGTGAGAGTGACACCCCTCACAGTCCCTGCTGACACTGTGCAGGAGGCAGCAAGCCGAACCATGGACTGAGCCCTGGAGGGGCTCAGGTCCTTCCTCCAGGGGGCCTCCTGGTGGGAGGGATTCTTGGAGTTAGAGCTGTCTCAAGTGTTTGCACCTCTCCATAGTTCAGTGAATCTGCCCTGGGAACAGGCCAGACTTCGTCGCAGTGGCACAACTCAGTCTACACATGGGTTTGTGAATGGTACTGTGCACAGCTATGTCTGTGTGGGTGTGTCTGTGTGTGCCTCTGTGTATATGTGGGTATGCTGAAGGGGAGGTGTACACGAGCATGTGTGTGTATCCAGGTCTCTCAGCACTCACTCAGCGTGTGTCCGGGACTCAGGGACTTGGTGGCCACGCAGCTGTCCATAGGGAGGTTGAATGGTTGCTGCACTTTGGTCCGGATGATTCTGTGATGAAGAGAAGAAAGGCCATGAGAGAGAAGAGGAGGAAAGAGAACTCATGGCTGCCCCAGACCCAGTCGCCTTTTTGACACCCCTTTTGGGTATCTCCAAGGCACTTGAAACTCAACTGTCCACAGTCAAGTCTGTGACCCTACTCCGCATGCCTAGTCCTCCTCAGTTGTCCGCATTTCATGATTGGTACCATCAGTCACTCAAGGCCAAAACAGAGATGGGGCTTAACCTCTGCTTCCCTCTCTTTCCTATCAAACCCATCATCAAGTTCTGTGTTTTGACCTTGTGAACCTTGCCAACGTTGACCCCTCTCTGCGTCTCTCCATCAGCACCTTAGTGCATGTCATCACCAGTGTTCCAGGGTCACTCAGTGGCCCACGCCCATCCCCTCTTGGCCCTTTCTAAGTGATTCTCCCTACTGCAGCCAGAGTGGACTTTCTGAAATGCAAGTTGGCTTAAAATCTGCCAAGGGTTTCCCATTGCTTTATGACCAAAGGCAAGAAGATATAACACAGCCCCCAGCCTCTGAAAGGTCACCTCTGCTGACATCTTCAACTTCAGCCTACCTTGTGCTCCCCTGCTCTTTATCTACTGGTTTTCTTTTCTTTCTTTCTTTTTTTTTTTGAGATAGAGTCTTGCTCTTGTCGCCCAGGCTGGAGTCCAGTGGCGTGATCTCAGCTCACTGCAACCTCTGCCTCCCATGTTCAAGTGGTTTTCCTGCTTCAGTCTCCCAAGTAGCTAGGATTACAGGCACTCGCCACCACACCCAGTTAATTTTTGCATTTTTAGAAGAGATGGGGTTTCACCATGTTGGCCAGGTTGGTCTCGAACGCCTGATCTCAGGTGATCCACCTGCCTTGGCCTCCCAAAGTGCTGGGATTACAGGCATGAGCCACTGCACCTGGCCTATCTACTGGTTTTCTTTTGATCCTATTAGCCACAGGGCCTTTGCATAACTGTCTGAGCTCTTTTCACCTAGTTCTCTTATTGTTTTTTACTCAAGGGAAGACTTTCATGAACTTCATAAACCAAATAATCCTGTGCTACCTTGCATATCTTCATGTTCCTTTTCTTAGCAGGACTTACAGCTGCATTTTTACAATATTTTTTGTAGGTAGTTGATTAATATCTGTGTTCTCATTAGACTGTAAGCTCCGCAAAGATGGGCTTTGTGTGTCCCAGGGCCTAGCACAAAATGAATGAGTGAATTATGTGTGAATGAATTAATGAACAAGCGAGTGAGTAAGTAAATGATTGATTGAGGCAGTGAGTGAATCATTGAGGGACTAAACGAATGAATGCTTGAATGTGGGCTGGGTTAGGGGTCTGATGGCTTAGAAAAGGATCAATTCATGAAGATTCTTTTATTGAATGAAAGCAGATGTGGTGTTTGAGGAAGGAAACTGTAGATAGCACACTATGGCTGGGGGCCAGGGGGAGGGTGCCCCATAGCATGGGGCAAGGGAGGAGGCAGGGAGGTATGATATCTGCCTGGAGCCAGGTGTGCTCCCTGCCTGATTGTTCAGCATCAGGCCCCTTCCCGGCCTCTGCTCCACCCAAGCCAGGCCTTTCTTGTCTCTTTCCTGATTTCCCCAAAGCCCAGGGGCCCCAGCCTGACACCAGAGGCTGCTTTCTCTCTTACCTATTAATGGAGCTGACACTGGGCACAGTGTCATTGTCACAGACGCCCTCAGCCAGGAGCCGGTCTCGGATCTCCCAGGCAAACATGGTAGGGTTCTGGCGTTTGTAGTCCCCAATCTTCTCCACCACCTTGGGGGTGGCCACCTTGGGCTTGGAGCCCCCTATCACTCCAGGCCGGATGCTGCCAGTCTCGTAGTACCTACTCCAATAGAGAATCCCAAAGAATTACCCAATAAGCAGGTGGGGTCTTTAGACAGGGATTTAGCCAGAGCCTCCCTCCTCTCTGAGGCTTCTGGGTAGGGGTATGAGAGTGAAATGTGCCTCCAAGGCTGGTCTCAAACGCTTGATGTGCATGGAACTATCTGTTTCCCTCACTTGGGTAGGTTCATGCTACTGCCAAACCAGCACCCTCTGCTAAAGGCCTCACCTTGGCTTCTCTCTCTTCCTTCCCTCTGGCCAGTCTCTTGTGTCCTAGCATCTGCAACAGCCATTGTATGGGGCACAAAAGATTTCCCTTCTAAGAAAGGAAATCTTGGTGTGCCTGATGTGTGAATGACAGGGGCACAGCAGTTTGCTCTATCCAGCTTCTTTTGGCTAAAGCACGACTGAGGTTTTTTTTGTTTTTTTTTTTTGTTTTTTGAGACAGGGTCTCAATCTGTCACCCAGGCTAGAATGCAATGGGACAAGCTTGGCTCACTTCAAACTCTGCCTCCCAGGTTCAGGTGATTCTCCTGCCTCAGCCTCCCGAGTAGCTGGGATTACAAGCGTCTGCCACCACACCCGGCTAATTTTTGCATTTTTAGTAGAGACAGGTTTCACTCAGTTGGCCTGGCTGGTCTTGAGCCCCTGACCTCAAGTGATCCGCCCACCTTGGCCTCCCAAAGTGCTGGGATTACAGGCATCAGCCACCATGCCCAGCCAATGACTGACTATTTTCTTTGGCCACCTAGAAAGCTAGCCGAGGTCACTGGACCCTCTGCTCTGTCTTGCTGGTTCACCTTTGCTCCCTGCCCTGTCCAAGCCTGAGGCATATCCCTCACCCCCCTGGTCACTGGTTTTCTATCAGGTTTTAGCAGGTTCAAGTTGAAGCTTCTCCTCATGGACTCTGGAATCCTGACCTTGCTTGGATCCCCAGCCAGGTCCAACTTGTTAAGCTGAGCCTCCTCTTCTGGGGCCTCCACCCTTCCCCTCCCTCTATCCTCCAACTAGTTGCTTTGGCAGATCAACCGCCTGTGTCAGCATATCCTCCTCTTCTTGTTGTAGAAACTCTCTGCTCTCATCTGCATGAAAAAGAATCTAGCTCTTTAAAACTCCATTCATCTGTTACTTCCATCCAGGACTCATCTCTTCTGGGACACCACAACCCATCACAGGAATCCCCTCTCCCTAGCCCAGCAAAGGATCATGCCTTTCCCTAACTACTTCAGGAGGGGAGCCAGGGCTTTTCACGGTTCAAAGAACAGTCCAGGTCCCTTTACCTTGTCCAACCAGGGCTCCTCCTAAATCCACCTAAGGGTCAGAGCAGGGGGACAGGCACACGTACACAGAGCTGACTGGAAGCTGTGGCACAGAGGCATTTTTAATGGAAGTGGCTTTGCAGACTGGAATCTGTGACTGCATCAGCTCAGAAGCAGGCCTTTGCTGCTCCTGGTCTCTTCTGAATCTTTGGGTCAGTGGTTCTCAACCCTGGCTGCAGAGAATTAGAGTCACTTGCTGGGGGCGGATGGGCTGGGGAGTTATATGCCAAAACTTGCGCCTATTTCCCTAAAGTTCGGATTTAATTGGTCTGCCCTGGGGCATAAACAGTATTGCTATTTAAAAATCAGGCTTCCCCTGGTGACTGTAATGTGCTACCAGGGCTATGAAGCACTGATCTGGGGTCTTGGGGAATTATGGTTTGAGAAGCACAAACTCAGATATCACTCTTTTAGGGGTTAGACCTTGGGAGCTCATCTGTGTGTCCCCTCCCTAGTGGCCTAATTTCCCTAGGTCTCGGTAGGAGGAGGACCTTGGGGGAAGATTCTCTTGCCTTAGCAGGAGAGAAGCCTATAGCTAATGAGACATGGAGCAAAAGAGAAGAAGGGAGAGGGAGAAACTAAAAGAAGGATAAATGGACAAAGAAAGAAGGAAGGGCAAGAAAACAGTAGAAAAATAGTGGCTGGGTAGAGGCCCAGAAGGACCACCATAACTGTTCAGGTCTCAGGACCAAAGCTGGACATTGGGAGCAAATCCCCGTTCCCTGGGAGGGGAATTCTCTAGCTGCCCTGAGATCAGCTGGAGAAGTCAAGCCCTGCGGGGAAGGCGGCCTGCGGTGAATTTCGTGCTTACCTGCCAAGGATCTTGCTGACGCAGCCATGGCTGACGCGGAGCTGGCGAGAGATGTCGCAGGGCCTTACACCCTGGTGGGCCAGGTCTACGATGCGCTGGCGGACCACTTCCGGCAGAGGTCTGCCATTCACAAAGGCCCCTCCCAGCTGGTTCAGCCCTCCATGGCCTAAGGAGACAATATTCCCAGGGACAGCTGTCAGGGTCAGGTAGGAGTTTGGGTGGGGATTAGCTATGAGTACAGGTGCTGGTGTGTGTGTGTGTGTTTGACTGTGACCATGAAATCCCACGGCCAGGCCCTGTGGGCCCCTCTGCACCCCTTCCCCAGTTCTCACTCCCAAGATGCTGGCACAAATGGTATGTGATGCTCATCCCCCACGATGGGATGGTGTCACAGGAGCACCTTGGGCTTGGGGACTCTTCAGGCAGACTCAGCCCTTCAC